>NC_000019.10:39362086-39665116 GCF_000001405.40 Homo sapiens | reverse complement strand
CCATTAAGCCTCTTTTTCTTCCCAGTCTCAGTTATGTCTTTATCAGCAGCGTGAATGTCGACTAATACATTTGGTATTGTCAAACTTCTTAATATTTGTGGAGCGAATAGATATGTAGTATCTTGTGCATTTTCTTGATTACTAATGAGGATGAGAAAATTTTTATGTTTTGGGGGCATTCTCTTTTGTGAAATCCCTATTAATGTCTTTTCCCAATTTTCTTTTGGGATGCTATTTTTAAAATTAATTCATAGGAACTCCTTATACTTTGTTGATTTGATATTAATCTTTCATAGGTTTTAGGTACTGCAAATATCTTCTTCTAGTTTATAGTTTATCTTTTCACTTTTTTACTTTTATTTTTTAATTTTTACTTTTTTTTTGAGACAGAGTCTCACTCTGCCATTCAGGCTGGAGTGCAGTGGCTCACTGTAACCTCCACCTCCCGGGTTCAGAAGATTCTCGTGCATCAGCTTCCCAAGTAGCTGGGATTGCTAGTGTCTGCCACCAATGCCTGGCTAATTTCTTATATTTTCAGTGGAGACAGGGTTTCACCATGTTGGCCAGCCTGGTGTCAAACTCCTGACCTCAGGTGATCTACTGTTGGGATTACAGGCTTGAGACACCATGCCCAGCTTATCTTTTCACTTTTTGATGTAAAAAGTTCTCAATTTTGTGATAGTCAAAACATCTAATCTTTTTTAATGGTTAAATGGCTTTTTGTGTCTCATTCACTTACATTTTCTACTAAAAGTTTTAAAGTTTTGTTTCTGACACATAAGTCTTTGGTCCATCTGGAATTTAATGTTTGTATATAGAGCGAAGAAGGAATATAATTTCATTTTGTTTCCTATATCAGTAACCATTATTTTTCTTTCCTATGTATTGAAAAGTCCTTTCTTTCTTTGCTGATCTGCCATGTCACCTGCATCACATATCAAATATTAAATTTGTGGAGATTTGTTTGGGAGCTCTCTATTCTGTTTCATTGGTCAGTTTATCAATGAAGACCACACTATCTTAATTGCTGTAGCTTTATAAAACTTCTGATATTTGGCAGGAGAAATCTTTCCTTTTCTTTAATAATGTCTTTGACATTCTTGGCCCCTTCCCTTTTCCACATATATATGTATGTATATGTATGTATATATATACATACATATATATGTGTATATATACATACATATATATGTGTATATATACATACATATATATGTGTATATATACATACATATATATGTGTATATATACATACATATATATGTATGTATGTGTGTGTGTGTGTGTATGTGTATATATATATATATATATATATATATATATATATAGAGAGAGAGAGAGAGAGAGAGAGAGAGAGAGAGAGAGAGAGAGTCTCACTTTGTTTCCCAGGCTAGAGTACAGTGGTGCAATTGTAGCTCACTGCAGACTTGAACTCTTGGGCTCAAGAGCTCCTCCTACCTCAGCCGCCCAAGTAACTAGGACTCTAAGGCATGCACCACCACATCCAGCTGATTTTTTAAAAAATTATTATTTTTTGTAACGATGGGGATCTTGCTATGCTGCCTAGGCTGGTCTCAAACTTTTGACCTCAAGCAATCCTCCCACCTCAGGCTCCCAAAGTGCTGGGATTACAAGTGTGAGCCACCACACATGGCTCCAATTTCCATATTTTAAGACCATATTTTAAAAGCTGCTCAAGCCTGCTTTTTTCTCTTGATGCTACTTGCAAATCCCTTACTTAGCTGTGGAAATACTGTTAGTGAAGAAAATCTAAAGAGTCGAAAAATGAAATATTCTTTCTTTTCTTCCAATTGCAAAAGGGCAGACACCCTCCTGCATCATAAAGCTAGTTTTGATAAATTGGTGAACTGAGAGCATACACAGTATTATTAATTCTGTTCTAATTTCTACTCCACTGTGGAGTCTCTTGCATAGTCTTAAAAGATTATTGCTATGAAATATTCTTATACATTTAACCCATAACCTCTACAATTCTGCAGTTGTAGTTGGTTGTCTTACCTGATAATCAGTTGCTTTGCTTCATAATATTTAAATTGCCATCTCTATTTTCCAAAAGGCATAAATACTACTATAGATTTTTTAGTTAAGCCAGAAGAAAGTTCACTTTATTTACTAACATAACTTATATGTAAAGGTTTAATAAATCTCCATGCTTCTTTTCTTTTGCATCATGACAGCCACTGAAAATAATATTTCTATAGCAGCTGGGGATAAATAGACAATGACTTTTGTAGCCAGAGGTGAATGGCCCAGGGGCTCCAGCACTCCAGGTCCCACTGAGCCTACCCCACAGCTGAGGGCATCTGTATTTCCACACACCTATAGTGCACGGTGCCCCAGAACAGAGATCAGATGCTCTCCTTTATTCAAATGGGGAGTTGAGAGTATTGTCATTGTAATTAAATTAATACATACATATTTATACACTGTTAAAATCTGGTTGGATTTGTGTCCCTTCACAAAACAAATTGCTTACATGAAACCACAGCGTTAACATAATTGAGTACATCTGCTTCTATGAGATGCTCTTTTAAATTGAATTATAATCTAATTTGAAATGTCAATAAAAAATTCAAATATTCAACTCAATTATATTTAGATTTCTTTTTGTTTTGTTTTGAGATGGAGTTTAGCTCTTGTCACCCAGGCTGGAGTGCAATGGCATAATCTTAGCTCACTGCAAGCACCTTCTCCTGGGTTCAAGTGATTCTCCTGCCTCAACCTCCCAAGTAGCTGGGATTACAGGTGCCTGCCACCATGCTCAGCTAATTTTTGTATTTTTAGTAGAGATGTGGTTTCAACATGTTGGCCAGGCATAGGGAAAGGGCTGTTATTCTGCCATCTTGGTAGGAACTCCAAGAAGCTGAGAATGGAGGGTGAGGGCAAGTGCTACGGAGAAACATTCCCAGAGAAAATGAAAATAGGTGTCTGGTTGGTTTCACCAATGATACAGATTAGTGACTGCTGTCTATTTTATTTTGCCCCTCTAAAATAGGTGTTTTCATTGCCTTTTTTCCTGTCTCCTTCAGTCTTCTTTGCTTGATTTGTATAAAGCAGATAATGTGTTCCTTTGATGCACATGTTGAGAGAGATTGCAAGTGATAAGTTGTAGTCACATCATAGACACCATATCCTGATTAGATAAGACACTGCACTTTACTCTGAGGCCTGTTCCTATAATTGTATGCCTTCAGAGATTCCTTACAGGGTGTGTTTTTGGTATATGGGAAGTAGTTCTGAGTGGAACTAGTTGCCAAGGATGGCCCCTCATGACTACAGTCACAATAACCACAGCTTGTGGAGTCCTCTCCTTTTGATTAGGGCTGTCTGTGTGACTCATCTTGATCAATGTAAAGTCATAGAAGTGACACTGTCTGCCATTCAAAGGTAGGTCCTGTGATGCTGTGCACCTTCTCCATGAGCCTTTTGGAAGGCTTACCTTGGTGAAAGCCAGTCACCATTCATTAAGTCTAAGAACTGTGAGAGTCTATTTGAGGAAATTAAAGGCATGAATGGGAAGGTGAGGTAGTGAAGGAAATAATCAGCCAGTTTCCAGGTGTTCACTCAGCCCTAGTGTTGAATTGGACAAGAGTAAAGCATCCCTTGAAATCCCAGCCTAAAAGATCTCTCAAATAACGTGACTCCCATCACATGACCTACCACTCACATGAATTCAGTAAACCTGTAAAGCTGGGAGAGATCAAAATAAATGATTGCTTTTAGCCAATATGTGTTGGGCAGTTTTCTATGCTGCAATTTATCGCAAGAATAGCAGCAAAGCAGGATCTGCTCACTGTGTCCATGGACATGAATTGTGTCTATTCCAATAATAATCTACGTGTTCTCTGATCTAAAACCATGACCATTTATTTCTAAAGAGAAACCCCTGGATTCTCCCCACATAAAATGAAAAACTTTTCAAATATTTGAAAATAAGAATAATTGGTATTCTTTAAGGGGAATCACTGGGCTCCAGTGATTCTCTATTGCTTGGATTGAAAACTTTACATGCAAAACTTGTCATCCTTTTCTTCACTTCCTTCACAGCAGCCTGCACAAAGCCAGGCATAGTGTTCCTACACAATAAGCATCCTGAGAACAATGGAAAAATTAAGAAATTCCACATAATTTTCCTAAAGTTATAGGTTTTCCCCAAAGCTACTAGGTACACCTGTGTGGCTGTAAGTAGCTATCTAACATTTAAGTGCCGTGAGTCATCTGAGATTGGGTAAGTATTTTGGTTCAGACTGTCTGACGTCAACTACGTACTATAGAAGGATGCTGTTCCTAATGTCTTATCAGACATTCCATGGACCTTGTCACTCACTCCCTTTGTCACAGGAAGGTTTATCCCCTTTGATTTCTTGATGCCTCCCATAGAATGCCCTGGCCCCTTTTGGGGATGATCACGTCCTCTTTCCCCCTCTTAAAGCAAGAACCAAATCATGTACGGTTTGGTGCTGTTTTAATGACCAAGTGTAGGGGAAGGGGTTGAGGAGGGATTATTCTGTTAGCAGGCTCTAGGAATCCCATGGTCAGGTAGAAAGAGGGTTTCCTCAACAATGAGGAGTGTGATCATCTCCGTCCATTGTTGACAAGCACTGAGTCCAGGGAGACATCTCTCCACACTTGAATCATCTTCACATATGATGGCGGGATTCGATGGACAAAGGCATAAATGTATTCACCATTTACCTTTACCTTTAAGAGGAAAAATGCATCAGAAAGACAGTATGCCACCCAACAAGTTTTCAGCCTCTTCTCTACTCTGCCCTAGTACCAATAACATTCCCCAAGAAAACTCCTAGTTATACAAGCGAATGTTGTAGATACACTTCTGTTTACAGATGACATTTTGTGCCTATTTGAGACAGTTGCTGACCTTATTTCTAATGTTTCCTCTTATCTAGTGAAGTTCTACACTCTGTGTCACACAGTCCCTGTTTATTCAGCCTCCCTTCTAACCTGGACAACCCCATTACCAGCAACTGTGTCTCAGGAACTTGAGACCCTGCATCTCGCACAGGACCTGCCACAGGGTTAGTGCGAGACCATGTTCACTGAAATGCATACTTTTCAGTTCCATGAACTGTGACTGTCTTTCACTACTGATGGCACAGTTCCTCTTTGGAGTAGCCTACATCTGAGGTGTTAATGGCAAAGAATGAAACCCAGTGTTCTTAGAGAGTTAAAGGAGGACAGGTCTTGTATAACATAGGATATTATCTTCGACAACTTCTAAGCATAGGAAAAGATCCCTCACTTGAATCTGAATAAGATGTGAATCTTTTGGCCTACTCGTTAGAGAAAGTAAGAAAGTATGGATGTATTCCTTATATTGAGGCTGTATAGAGAGTCACCTTATTAGTATTAATTTTTCAAATTTAAAATGCACATATTTTTCAACCAGTTTTTTCATTTTTTGTAATTATATCGCAATGTAAGTATTGGGAGGTTGGTAATGACAAAAGGATTTATTTGAAAGCTTAATACAGCATCATTTGTGAGAGCAAAATACTGGAAACAACTTCAATGCCCAAATAAACAATTGAAGCAGAAACATGGATTGATAATGTCTTCAAGATATATTCTTTGATGAAAAACCAACTTAGTTCCTAAAGCATAATGTGTAGAGCAACATACCAGGATTTACTTAAAAACAAATGAAATCATAGACATATCTATATGCTTCCATAGGCAAAGATTTCCTCTGAAGGGGTTGGCACGGTGGCATATGCGTGTAATCCACTATATTGGAAGGCTGAATTGGGTTGATAACTTGAGGCTGGGAGTTCAAGACCAGCCTGGCCAACATGGTGAAACCCCGTCTCTACTAAAAATAAAAAAATCAGCCTGTAATCCCATCTACTTGGGAGGCTAAGGCAAGAGAATCGCTTGAATCTGGGAGGTGGAGGTTGCAGTGAGCTGAGATCACGTCACTGCCCTCCAACCTGGATGACAAAGTGAGTCTCTGTCTCAAAAAAAAAAAAAAAGAAAAAGGATTCTCTCTGAAGGAGAGCAGAGCTCTGGTAATGTTATTCGTATGAGTAGAATTGGGGCCCAAAAGTGAGACGAAGACATAATTTTTGATTGATAGAAAAAACTTTCTTCTTAAGTATATTGTATTCATTCAGCTACATGAAAATTTAAATAATGGCATAAGTAGAAATGAGCACTATGTGAAAAGACAGAGGAGATTCTCCACTTTGGGGGAAATGGAAGATGAGCCGACCTTGACCTTGGTCAGATTTGGGAAAGAGCTGAGGACGGCAGTGCAAGCAGAGGGTGCTCTGTGATGAAAACCTGGGGCAGGGGTAGTTACGGGAGATGGGCCCTGAGGGACTGGTGAGGCCAGGTCAATGAGAGCTGACTCCTGCTCTGGGATCCCAAAGAGCCTGGGTACTGCGAGCTCCTGGGGTGCTCACCTCATACTCATTGTGACACACGTAGATGCGCAAGTCAAATGGTTTGCCATCCTCAAAGGGCACATAGTGTAAATTCTCCTCCAACATCCATATCCCAAACTCACGACTGTTCATGACCACACGACGGCCTAAGTGCACTCGCAAATGGAAGGCAATTTCTGAGTCCTCATTCATCTCAGTGTAGAAATCCACCTGCAGCTGTGGTTCGTTGCTGAGGGCAAAGCACACAGCATATTGGACAGGTTCCTTCATTGCACAGACACACACTTGACACGCACACAAATCCCTTCCCCCATTTACCCAGGGTAAAATTCTCTCTGATGATACTGCAGGCCTGGTCCCTGTGGGGATGCTTCAGCTCCTCGTGCCCCCTGCAGGGAGATGCTGTGCCCCTCATCCCCAGATGAAAACTGAATCACAGTCACTGACCTGGGCCTGTGACTTGTTCATTCCCTGAAAATTCTATGCCCCTTGATAAAGAGCCACAGTCCCAACCCACTGAGTATTCTCCTCCCCTAGGCCCCATGGCTGGCCCACATGCAGTTGCTGCAGGTCTCATGCCTGGTGCTGGAGGGTCTCCAGGACCTGCACCTGCATGGGGCCTCCATCCTGCCAATTAGACATTTCCACATCACCCACACATAAGGTCAAACTCTTAGCAAATATTCTCCTTTCTCCTCCACCCCCTCCATTGGACCATGGAGTACTCACATAGAAGAGTCGATCAGTGTCCCTTTGATTATCACGCAGGAACCAACAGACAAAGACACAGGCAGTTTGTATGGCACCTGCCAGGGTATTGAGAATAAGTGAGAGGTGCAGGGTCAGGTGCAGTCTCCCTTCCTGTAACATATTCCCATGGTGCAGGAGGTTAGAGATCACAGGGCAGGCTCTGTGGACTCTCCCCATTCACTCTACCACAGTCAGGGCCCCACATTCCTGAAGGTATGGTGGACCCATAGGTAAGAGCAAGGGTTCAGGAGCCAAGAAGCCTGGATTCCAGTCCTCATTCTGCCTCTTACTAGCAGTGCAATCTTAGATCGGTTACTTGACTTCCTCAGTTTCCCTAAAACAAGGAGGATTATCATGAATTCCTACTGTGTAGGAAGTTCTCCATAATAGAGCAGTTAATACATGTAAAACTTTTACCCTAATCCCTGGCATGTGTAGGGCCTGTTAGGGGTGACCTAACAGAACAGGGGAGTCCTCCTGAAACACTGATCTGCCTTATTTTCAACTCTCACAATCATCAAGGGCAATGGACGTCCTTCCAAGAAGTGGCACACATTACTGACAGCACAGCCCCAGTACTTGCACAAGTGAAGCCTGTGGGTCAGGGACATAACTGGAGGGAATGATTGATTTCTACAATGACTACAAGTGGTTGATGATTTTTCTGTATTTTTGAGATAGGGTCTTGCTCTGTTGCCCAGGCTGACATGCAGTGGTGCGATCATAGCTCATTGAAACGTTGAACTCCTGGGCTGCAGTGATCCTCACACATCTGCCCCCTCTTGTGTAGCTGGGGCAAAAGGTGCCTGCCACTCTGGCAGTCTGATATTTAAAGTTTTTTAAAGAAAGGGTCTCACTATGATACCCAGACTGGCCTCAAACTTCTGGCCTCAAGTTATCCTCTCATCTTTGTCTCTCAGATTGGTGGGATTATAGCCGTGAGCCAGTGAACCCAGCTGCTTTGTTGATTAATATCCACTGTAAGCTCTGTCTGAACTGAGACTAGACTTGTTCCTTCATGGGTGGAGGAACAAGTTTAGACTCAGTTGAGACATAGCTTACAGTGGATATTTTACGTGATTCAGTCTCTGAAACCATGGCCTCTAATATCCTTCTCTAGCAAACCTCCTGTCCCACAATGAAAAGGACAGGATAGGCTGGGGACAGGGAAGCTGAGCCTGGGAGGCAAGAGACAGTGGTCACTCTGTGCAGACCCCACCTGAGGATCCATCACCCCCATAGTCTCCATTCCTCTTCCCCACTCTTACTGGGAAGAGACATCTACTGATCATACATTCTGCTCTCATAAGTGATCTGAAACAAGTCCTTGGTAACTCACAATCTCCAAGATCCCTACCAGTTAAGCCACCTGGGATCCACATTGCCACACATGAAAAGACACACAGTTCCTTCATCAGAAGTGCTGTTGTGTGGGGAGGAACCTTCACATGCACAGAAGGCCACATGCGTGTTTTCCCTTCAATACTCAGTCACATCCCAGCACACACACCCACAGTCACACAGAGCCATGCCACTCACTGAGTTACACACACCTGCTCACTGCGCACATAAAGATGACCATGCACTGGTCTGGCTGTGCTAACACACACTCACATCACAAAGAGGAAGACAAAGTACAATCACCCCCCTTACACTCACACAAACACCTGCTTGACCTGGTGTGCCATCCACCTCCCACCTAAAGTCACATCATCTCATCAGAGTTCACTCTCATCAGATACCACCTCATGCTCACAGAGGGTTACATTTGTCCAGGATCCACAACCCACATGCTACAAGCATCTCAGATACCCAGCCTCAGTGTTTCTCTTCCACACACCCACAACTCTCAGTAAAGCATTCACAGTAGGAATGCTCATATTTTCATCTCATAAAATACCCCACATCTTTCTTGGTTTTGTGTGACTTGAGATTATTGAAGGCTGTGCCTTTTCAACTCACAGTTAGAAATGACATTGTCCTCTCCTTCTGGGCGACCTTCGGAATTGTGTCCAGTCTTCTGAGTGAATCTCTGAGTTGCAGCACTTAAATGACCCCTTTCAGCTTTGCCCTCTGGCATCATTCCAGATTCCATGCTCCTCCCAGCAAGCTTTCCTTGCAGCATGAGAAAGGGTCAGGTGTCACGAAGAAACTCAGTCACAACCATAACTATTTGCAAGTCTGTGTCTGTAATGCAGCAGAAATGACATTGGGGAAGGTACCAGACTGTGGATTGGGTTACCAGGGAAATGCATAGATAAGGATGATGGAGTGAGGGGTAGTGATTGTAAAGCCCAGCCTTTGTGCCTCTCAAGCCTTTTCTCCACTATGCAGAATCTACCCAGAAGGTGTACATTTTCCCAATTTTGTACAATGGCTAAACAAGAAAAAAAAAGTTGGAGATTTTGGGGGAAACAAGTTAGCCCTAAAAGGTAATTCTTCTCTCTGCCTTTAAATGTTCTGGGAGAGCACTGACCTTGATCCTGAGGAGGATCTGCAGAGAGAAGTAGAGAAATTTCTTGCATGAACCTGCCCCACACTAAGCCACTTGGCTTTGCTAGGTAAGGGCCACTTTCATCTGACTGTCACACACTTGGGCTCTAGCTACACCCTCTGTTGGTGTCCATGTAAATCAAAGTTTGAGGGAGACTGTTTCTTCTGCAGATTCTGGGAGAAAGGTGAGATTTAAAAAAAATTATTATTATACTTTAAGTTCCAGGGTACATGTGCACAATGTGCAGGTTTGTTACACAGGTATACATGTGCCATGTTTGTTTGCTGCACCCATTAACTCGTCATTTACATTATTTATCCTGATGCTATCCATCCCCCTGCCCCCCACCCCATGATAGTCCCCCATGTGTGATGTTCCCTGCCATGTGTCCAAGTGCTCTCATTGTACAATTCCCACCTATGAGTGAGAACATGCGGTATTTGGTTTTCTGTGCTAGTGATAGTTTGTTCAGAATGATGGTTTCCAGCTTCATCCATCTCCCTGCAAAGGACATGAACTCATCCTTTTTTATGGCTGCATAGAATTCCATGGTGTATATGTGCCACATTTTCTTAATTCAGTCTATCATTGAAGGATTTGGTTTGGTTCCAAGTCTTTGCTATTGTGAACAGTGCTGCAATAAACATACGTGTGCATGTGTCTTTATAGTAGCATGATTTATAATCCTTTGGGTATATACCCAGTAATGGGATGCTGGGTCAAATGATATTTCTAGTTCTAGATCCTGGAGGAATGGCCACACTGTCTTCCATAATGGTTGAGCTCGTTTACACTCCCACCAACAGTGTAAAAGCGTTCCTATTTCTCCATATCCTCCCCAGCATCTGTTGTTTCCTGACTTTTTAATGATCGCCATTCTAACTGGTGTGAGATGGTATCTCAATGTAGTTTTGATTTGCATTTCTCTAATGACCAGTGATGATAAGCATTTTTTCCTGTGTTTGTTGGCTGCATAAATGTCTTCTTTTGAGAAGTGTCTGTTCATATCCTTTGCCCACTTTTTGATGGGGTTGTTTGTTTTTTTCTTGTAAATTTGTTTAAGTTCTTTGTAGATTCTGGATATTAGCCCTTTGTCAAATGGGTAGATTGCAAAAATTTTCTCCCATACTGTAGGTTGCCTATTCACTCTGACGGTAGTTTCTTTTGCTGTGCAGAAGCTCTTTAGTTTAATTAGATCCATTTGTCAATTTTGGCTTTTGTTGCCATTGCTTTTGGTGTTTTAGTCATGAAGTCCTTGCCTATGCCTACATCCTAAATGATATTGCCTAGGTTTTCTTCTAGGGTTTTCATGGTTTTAGGTCTAACATTTAAGTCTTTAATCCATCTTGAATTAATTTTTGTATAAGGTGTAAGGAAGGGGTCCAATTTCAGCTTTCTACATATGGCTAGCCAGTTTTCCCAGCACCATTTATTAAATAGGGAATCCTTTCCTCATTTCTTGTTTTTGTCAGGTTTATCAAAGATCAGATGGTTATAGATGTGTGGTGTTATTTCTGAGGGCTCCATTCTGTTCCATTGGTCTATATATCTGTTTTGGTACCAGTATCATGCTGTTTTGGTTACTGTAGCCTTGTGGTGTACTTTGAAGTCAGGTAGCATCCAATTCTGTGAAGAAGGTCATTGGTAGCTTGTTGGGAATGGCGTTGAATCTATAAATTACCTTGGGAAGTATGGCCATTTTCACGATATTGATTCTTCCTATCCGTGATCATGGAATGTTCTTCCATTTGTTTGTATCCTCTTTTATTTCATTGAGCAATGGTTTGTAGTTCTCCTTGAAAGGGTCCCTCACATCCCTTGTAAGTTTGATTCCTAGGTTTTTTATTCTCTTTGAAGCAATTGTGAATGGGAGTTCGCTCATGATTTGGCTCTCTGTTTGTCTGTTATTGGTGTATGGGAATGCTTGTGACTTTTGCACATTGATTTTGTATCCTGAGACTTTGCTGAAGTCACATCAGCTTACGGAGATTTTGGGCTGAGATGATGGGGTTTTCTAAGTATACAATCATGTCATCTGCAAACAGGGACAATTTGACTTCCTCTTTTCCTAATTGAATACCCTTTATTGCTTTCTCTTGCCTGATTGCCCTGGCCAGAACTTCCAACACCATGTTGAATAGGAGTGGTGAGAGAGGGCATCCCTGTCTTGTGTCAGTTTTCAAAGGGAATACTTTCAGCTTTTGCCAATTCAGTATGATATTGGCTGTCGGTTTGTCATAAATAGCTCTCATTATTTTGAGATACATTCCATCAATACCTAGTTTATTGAGAGTTTTCAGCATGAAGGGCTGTTGAATTTTGTCAAAGGCCTTTTCTGCATCTATTGAGATAATCATGTAGTTTTTGTCACTGGTTCTGTTTATGTGATGGATTTTGTTTATTGATTTGAGTATGTTGAACAAGACTTGCACCCCATGTATGAAGCTGACTTCATCGTGGTGGATAAGATTTTTGATGTGCTGCCAGATTTGGTTTGCCAATATTTTATTGAGGATTTTTGCATCAATGTTCATCAGGGATATTGCTCTAAAATTCTCTTTTTTTGTTGTGTCTCTGCCAGGCTTTGGTATTTGGATGATGCTGGCCTCATAAAACGAGTTAGGGAGGATTCCCTCTTTTTCTATTGATTGGAATAGTTTCAGAAGGAATGGTACCAGCTCCTCTTTTTACCTCTGGTAGAATTCAGCTGTGAATCCATCTGGTCCTGGACTTGTTTTTGTTGCTAGGCTATTAATCATTGCCTCAATTTCAGAGCCTGTTACTTGTCTATTCAGAGATTCAACTTCCTGGTTTAGTCTTGGGAGGGTGTATGTATCCAGGAATTTATCCATTTCTTCTAGATTTTCTAGGTTATTTGCGTAGAGGTGTTTATAGTATTCTCTGATGGTAGTTTGTATTTCTGTGGGATCGGTGGTGATATCCTCTTTATCATTTTTTATTGCATCTATTTGATTCTTCTCTCTTCTTTTTTAGTCTGGCTAGCGGTCTATCAATTTTGTTGATCTTTTTCAAAAAACAAGCTCCTGGATTCATTGATTTTTTGTTGGTTCTTTATGTGTCTCTATCTCCTTCAGTTCTGCCCTGATCTTAGTTATTTCTTATCTTCTGCTAGCTTTTGAATTTGTTTGCTCTTCCTTCTCTAGTTCTTTTAATTGTGATGTTAGGATGTCAATTTTAGATCTTTCCACAAAGAAATTTCGTGGGCATTTAGTGGTATAAATTTCCCTCTACACACTGCTTTAAATGTGTCCCAGAGATTCTGGTATGTTGTGTCTTTGTTCTCATTGGTTTCAAAGAACATCTTTATTTCTGCCTTCATTTCGTTATGTACCCAGTAGTCATTCAGGAGCAGGTTGTTCAGTTTCCATGTAGTTGTGCGGTTTTGAGTGAGTTTCTTAATCCTGAGTTCTAATTTGATTGCACTGTGGTCTGAGAGACAGTTTGTTGTGATTTCTGTTCTTTTACATTTGCTGAGTAGTGCTTTACTTCCAACTATGTGGTCAATTTTGGAATAAGAGCGATGTGATGCTGAGAAATGTATATTCTGTTGATTTGGGGTGGAGAGTTCTGTAGATGTCTATTAAGTCTGCTTGGTCCAGAGCTGAGTTCAAGTCCTGGATATCCTTGTTAACCTTCTGTCTCAGTGACCTGTCTAATATTGACAGTGGGGTGTTAAAGTCTCCCATTATTTTGGTGTGGGAGTCTAAGTCTCTTTGTAGGTCTCTAAGGACTTGCTTTATGAATCTGGGTGCTCCTGTATTGCGTGCATATATATTTAGGATAGTTAGCTCTTCTTGTTGAATTGATCCCTTTACCAGTGTGTAATGGCCTTCTTTGTCTCTTTTGATATTTGTTCATTTAAAGTCTGTTTTATCAGATACTAGGATTGCCACCCCTGCTTTTTTTTCTGTGTTCCATTTGCTTGGTAGATCTTCCTCCATCCCTTTATTTTGAGCCTATGTGTGTCTCTGAACGTGAGATGGGTTGCCTGAATACAGCACACTCATGGGTCTTGACTTTTTATCCAATTTGCCAGTCTGTGTCTTTTAATTGGAGCATTTAGCTCATTTACATTTAAGGTTAATATTGTTATGTGTGAATTTGATCCTGTCATTATGATGTTAGCTGATTATTTTGCCTGTTAGTTGATGCAGTTTCTTCCTAGCATTGATTGTCTTTACAATTTGGCATGTTTTTGCAGTGGCTGTTACCAGTTGTTTCTTTCCATGTTTAGTGCTTCCTTCAGGAGCTCTTGTAAGGCAGGCTTGGTGGTGACAAAATCTCTCAGCATTTGCTTGTCTGTAAAGGATTTTATTTCTCCTTCACTTATGAAGCTTAGTTTGGCTGGATATGAAATTCTGGGTTGAAAATTCTTTTCTTTAAGAATGTTGAATATTGGCCCCCACTCTCTTCTAGCTTGTAGGGTTTCTGCCAAGAGATCCGCTGTTAGTCTGATGGGCTTCCCTTTGTGGGTAACCTGACCTTTCTCTCTGGCTGCCCTGAACATTTTTTCCTTCATTTCAACCTTGGTGAATCTGGCAATTATGTGTCTTGGGGTTGCTCTTCTCGAGGAGTATCTTTGTGGTGTTCTCTGTATTTCCTGAATTTGAATGTTGGCTTGCCTTGCTAGGTTGGGGAAGTTCTCCTGGATAATATCCTGCAGAGTGTTTTCCAACTTGGTTCCATTCTCCCCGCCACTTTCAGGTACACCAATCAAACGTAGATTTGGTCTTTTCACATAGTCCCATATTTCTTGGAGGCTTTGTTCATTTCTTTTTACTCTTTTTTCTCTAAACTTCACTTCCTGCTTTATTTCACTAATTTGATCTTCGATCACTGATACCCTTTCTTCCGCTTGGTCGAATTGGCTATTGAAGCTTGTGCATGCATCACGTATTTCTCGTGTCATGGTTTTCAGCTCCATCAGGTCATTTAAGGTCTTCTGTACACTGTTTATTCTAGCTAGCCATTCATCTAATCTTTTTTCAAGATTTTTAGCTTCCTTGCAATGGGTTCAAATATCCTCTTTTAGCTCGGAGAAGTTTGTTATTACTGACCTTCTGAAGCCTAGCTCTGTCAGCTCATGAAAGTCATTCTCCATCTAGCTTTGTTCCGGTGCTGGCAAGGAGCTGTGATCCTTTGGAGGAGAAGATGCACTCTGGTTTTTAGAATTTTCAGCTTTTCTGCTCTGGCTTCTCCCCATCTTTGTGGTTTTATCTACCTTTGGTCTTTGATGCTGGTGACCTACAGATGGGGTTTTGGTGAGGATTTCCTTTTTGTTGATGTTGATGCTATTCCTTTCTGTTTGTTAGTTTTCCTTCTAACAGTCAGGTCCCTCAGCGGCAGATCTGTTGGAGTTTGCTGGAGGTCCACTCTTATTTGCCTGGGTATCACCAGTGGAGGCTGCAGAACAGCAAATATTGCAAAATAGCAAATATTGCTGCCTGATCCTTCCTTTGGAAGCTTTGTCCCAAGGGGCACCCACCTGTATGAGGTGTCAGTCGGCCCCTACTGGGAGGTGTCTCCTAGTTAGGCTAAACGGGGGTCAGGGACCCACTTGAGGAGGTAGTCTGTCCATTCTCAGACCTCAAACACCACGTTGGGAGAGCCACTGCTCTCTTCACAGCTGTCAGACAGGGATGATTAAGTCTGCAGAAGTTTCTGCTGCCTTGTGTTCAGCTATGCCCTGCCCCCAGAGATGGAGTCTACAGAGGCAGCAGGCCTTGCAGAGCTGTGGTGGGCTCCACCCAGTTTGAGCTTCCCTGGCCACTTTGTTTACCTACTCAAGCCTCAGCAATGGCGGACACCCCTCCCCTGCCAGGCTGCTGCCTCCCAGGTCAATCTCAGACTGCTGCGCTAGCAGTGAGCAAAGCTTCGTGGGCATGGGACCTGCCAAGCCAGGTGCAAGATGTAATCTCCTGGGGTGCCATTTGCTAAGACCACTGGAAAAGCACACTATTTGGTTGGTTGTGTCCAAATTTTCCAGGTACAGTCTGTCATGGTTTGCCTTTGCTAGGAAAGGGTAATCTCCCGACCCCTTGCACTTCCCAGGTCTTCAGCTCGCCCTCCTTGGCCTGCACCCACTGTCCAACCA
Organism: Homo sapiens; assembly: GCF_000001405.40. Taxonomy (NCBI): domain Eukaryota; kingdom Metazoa; phylum Chordata; class Mammalia; order Primates; family Hominidae; genus Homo; species Homo sapiens. The sequence goes on along the minus strand of NC_000019.10, from coordinate 39,649,329 downwards.
GTCCCAATGAGATGAACCAGGTACCTCAGTTGGAAATGTAGAAATCACTGTCTTCTGCGTTGATCACACTGGGAGCTGCAGACCAGAGCTGTTCCTATTCAGCCATCTTGGAACAGAATTGAGATTTGTTTTTTTCTTTGATTTATTTTTCCTTTTATTTTAGGTTCAGTGGTACACATGCAGATAAAATTGTGTCATGGGTTTTGTGGTAATTATGATTTCTTCATCTGGGTACTAAGCATAATACCCAATAGTTATTTTTTTGCTCCTATTGCACCTCTCACCCTCAACCCTCAAGTAGGCCCCAGTGTGTGTTGTTCCCCTCTTGGTTCCATGAGTCTCATCATTTAGTTCACACTTATAAGTGAGAACATGCAGTATTTGGTTTTCTGTTCCTGCATTAGTCTGCTGAGAATAATGGCTTCTAGCTCCATCCATGTTATGGCAAAAGACATAATCTCACTGTTTTATAGGACTGCATAGTATTCCATTGTGTACATGTACCACATTTTCTGTATTTAATCTGTCCTTGATGGGCATTTGGGTTCATTCCATGTCTTTGCTATTGTGCATAGTTTTGCAATGAACATTCATGTGCATATGTCTTTATGGCAGAATGATTTCTATTCTTCTGGGTATACACCCAGTGATGGGATTGCTGGGTTGAAGGGTAGTTCTGTTGTTAGCTGTTTGATGAATCACCACGCTGCTTTCCACAATGTGTGAACTAATTTACACTTCCACCAACAATGTGTAAGTGCTCCCTTATCTTCATAACCTTGTCAGCATCTGTCCTTTTTTGACTTTAATAAGAGCCATTCTGACTGGTGTGGGATGGTATCTCATTTTGGTTTTGGTTTGCTTTTCTCTAATGTTCAGTGATGTCAAGCTTTTATTATATGCTTGTTGGCCACCTGTATGTCTACTTTTGAAAAGTGTCTGTTCCTGTCCTATGCTCACCTTTTTTCATTGTTTTAAAACAGGTCTCACTCTGACAAAAAGGCTGGAGTGGTGTGGCACTGTCTCAGCTCACTGCAACCTCTGGCTTCTGGGCTCAGGTGATCCTCCCAGCTCAGCCTCCTGAGTAGTTGGGAATACAGGCTCATGTCACCATGCCAGGCTAATTTTTTCTAATTTTAGTAGAGATGGGTTTTTGCCACGTTACCCAGCCTGTTCTCAAATTCCTGGGCTCAAGCCATCCACCAGCCTTGGCTGTCCAACGTGCTGGAATTACAGGCATAAGCCACTGTGCCAAGCCCTTTACCCACTTTTTTATGGGTTTGTTTTTTCTTTCTTGTAAAGTTGTTGAAGTTTCTTGTAGATACTCGGATATTAGATCTTCTTCAGATAAATAGTTTGAAAATATATTCTCCCATTCTATAGGCTGTCTGTTTACTCTCTTGATAGTTTCTTTTGCTGTGCAGAAGCACTTTAGTTTAATTAGATTCAGTTTGACAATTTTTGCTTTTGTTGTGATTGCCTTTGAAATCTTCATCATGAAACCTTTGCTCATGCCTATGTCCTGCATGGTATTGCCTAGGTTGTCTTCCAGGGTGTTTGTAGTTTTGGATTTTACATTTAAGTCTTTAATCCATCTTGAATTGATTTTTGTATATGGTTTAAGGAAGGGCTTCAGTTTCAATCTTTTGCATATGGCTAGCCAGTTCTCCCAGCACAATTTCTTGAGTAGGGAGTCTTTTTTCCGTTGCTTGTTTGGTCAGCTTTGTTGAAGATCAGATGGTTGTCGGTGTGTGGCCTCATTTCTGGGTTCTCCATTCTGTTCCATTGGTCTAGGTGTCTGAGACCACCATGTTGGGCAGACTGGTCTCAAGTTATTTTCTGACCTCGTGATCGGCCCTCCTGAGCCTTCCAAAGTGCTGGGATTATGGCGTGAGCCACCGCGTCCTGCCCCTTTGCCCACTTTTTAATGGAGTTGTTTGTTCTTTTCTTGCAAAGTTACTGAAGTTCCTTATAGATGCTAGATATAAGACCTTTTTCAGATACATAATTTTCAAATATTTTCTCCCATTCTGTAGATTGTCTGTTGACTCTGTTGATAGTTTCTGTTGCTGTGCAGAAGCTCTTTAGCTTAAATAAATCCACTGTCAATTTTTGCTTTTCTTGAGGTTGCTTTTCGCATCTTTGTCATAAAACTTTTGTCCATTTCTACATTCAGAATGGTATTGCCTATGTAGTCTTCCAAGGTTTTTATAGTTTTGCATTTACATTTAAGTCTTTAACCCATCTTGTGTTGATTTTTCTATATAATGTGATGAAGGGGTTCAGTTTCAATCATCTGCATATGGTTAGCCAGTTACCCAGAACCATTTCTTGAATAAGAAATCCTTTTTACATTGCTTGTTTGGTCAGCTTAGTGGAAGGGTCTGATGATGGTTGTAGGTGTGTGACCTTATTTCTGGGCTCTCTCTTCTGTCCCACTGGTCTCTGTGTCTGTTTTTGTACCAGTACCATACTGTTTTGTTACTGTGGCCCTGTAACACAGTTTGACATTGGGTAATATGATGTTTCCAGCTTGATTCTTTTTGCTAAGAACTGTCTTGGTTATTCAACTCGTTCTTGGTTCCATGAGTATTTTAAAATAGTTTTTTTCTAATTCTATGAAGGATGTCATAGGTAGTTCAACAGAAATAGCATTGAATCTGTACATTTCTTTGGGCAATATGGCTGTTTTAATGATAATGACTCTTGCTATCTATGAGCCTGGGATGTTTTTCCATTTGTTTGGGTCATCTCTGATATTTTAAGCAGTGTTTTGTAATTTTCATGGTAAAAATCTTACACCTCCTGGTTAGCTGTATTCCTAGGTATTTTATTCTTTTTATGGCAATTGTGAATGGAATTGCAGTCCTGATTTGGCCCTATGCTTTGCTGTTGTTGGTATATAGGAGTTCTAGTAATTTTTGCACTTTGATTTTGTATCCTGAAATTTTGCTCAAGTTGTTTACCAGCTTAAGAATTATTTGGGCAGAGACTATGATGTTTTCTAGATACAGAATCATGACATCTGCAAACAGGGATGGTTTGACCTCTCTTTCTGTTTGGATGCCCTTTCTTTCTTTCTCTTGCCTGATTGCTCTGGCCAGGACTTCCAACACTATGTTGAATAGGACGGTGAGAGAGGGCACTGCAGAAATTGTGATCTGAAAGTCCAAATTCAATTCCTGCTCCGTTCATCATACATATTTTGAGCTGTGATTTATCAAATACAAAACAAAAAATTTCTCTGTTAATTCTGTCTTATTGGCCCCTCACTTGCAAATACAGGCCCAGACGCACCAGAGCTCAGCACCACGGACAGCACCACAGAAGAAACAGCTTTGGGAGACTTGGACATCAAGGACAACGTTAGCAAAGAGTAGATTTATTCTTTGGGGGCTTTCAGCAAAAACTGGAAAGCCCTACAGACCTTTCAAAAGGTAAGGCTTTAGACTGCGGAAATAACCTACTGTGTTTTCAGCAATGATGTATTTGCTGGGAGAAGGCCATGAACTTGGGTTGACAAGCATGAAAGAGATGTTGAGTAAGTCTCCAGAGGCAAACAAAAATCGTTTGTTCAACATTGGTTCCTTGGCTCTATGTCTTCTCTTTTTATCTGAGACATCACTCCTGGCCACCATGAGCATAGGGTAGTAGTTGGTATAAAGATGAGAGTAACAAATGGCCTATATGAGCTGAACTGAACTGGTGAATATCAGTCAAGAAAAGGCAGTCACTGTGTGTTTGTATAGCAGGGGCAGCATGTAGGACACTGTAGGTCATGCAAATACAATGGGCATCGTCCAGCGACATGTAGATATGAAATCAATCTCATGTTCTGCTCAGAAACTCATGGGGTCCAAGATAGTTTTTATCCACTCAGAGCAAGTATTGCCTAATTCCCCAAGAAATGATTTCCATGCTGATGAGGGGGCCTATGATCCATCATCAAAATAGGGCGGTGACCAAAACTGTGAGAGGGATGATATAAGGGGGAAAGTGTACCTAACAAGAACCTGAGACTTTCCAGTGACAGCGGAGGGAATTTCAGTTCATACAGGAAAGCAACAAGAAAGAGAGGCATGAAGGTGTCATTTACTGTGCATTGACACCTCAAGGTATATGAATATTAGGTTAAAGGAGGGCAAGGAGAGAGGCATACCCATGAGTAAGGTTGGAGCTGAACAAGTTGTGGCAATGAACATGGAAAGAGAGGATGAAGATGATCAAATTGACACCTGTGATAGGCCCTGCAGACAAAGAGGCTATTTGATGAGACCCTCTTCAGTCTGCATTGTTTGGCTTTTAGGTAATATGTTGTTTATCTTCTCCTAAATGGTTCTCTATTTGTGCTATGAACCAGATGACAACAGCTCTTATAGAGGGAAAAGGGCTGTCATTGTGCCTACTTGGTAGGAGCTCTAAGAAGCTGACAGTAGAAGGTGGAGCCAACTGTTGCAGAGAAACGTTTTCAGAGAAGATGAAAATACGGGTATAGTTGGCTTCAGCAAGATGTGGACCAGTGATGGATGCCTATTTTTTTTTTGTTCTTGTTTGTTTGTATTGGTTTCTTTATTTTAATTTTTATTCATGTACAAAGAGTTAGCATGGTTTCTTTCACTGAGTGGATGTCTTGCTTATTAATTCAAGGAGCATCACTTAGTCCAACTTAATGAGACCTATATCCTTTAAGTACTTGTGGAAACAGAAGCGGCACATATCAAGACAATATTTTCAGATAAGGAGATGCTGGTTTGAGCAGATGCAACAAGGGTGAGAACCCTGGCTGATTTTTTTGTGGGTGGCTCCAGTAGAGTTGTTGGTGACCCATCTTGCTTTCAGGGTGCTGTTTATTATCTTTTGTCCCTCTAAAATAAGTGTGTTCACTGCATTTTCCTATATCTGTTTTAGTCTTGTAGGTTTAATATGTATAGGGCAGATAATGTATTTCTTTAGTGCAGATGTTGAAAGAAAGTGCACATGATAATTTCTAGTCACTTCATGGACACCAGATCCTGATTGGATGATAACATTCTGGACTACAATCTGAGCCTGTTCCTATAAGTGTATTGCCTTCAGTGGTTCCTTACAGGATTAGTGCTTTTGATATATGGGAAAAATGTAAGCCAGTGAGGACTGAGTGGAAATAGTTGCCAAGGATGCTCCCTCATGACTGCATGTCAAAATAACCACATCTTATGAAACCCCCCTCCCTTTGATTTGGGCTTGTGTATGGCTCACTTTGATCAATATAATGTCATAGAAGTGACACTGTCTGCCTTTCAAAGCCAGGTCCTATGATGCCTTTCACCTTCTCCTTGAGCCTTTTGGAAGGCTTTCTTTGGTGGCAGCCAATCATCATTCCTTAAGTCCAAGAACCATGAGACTCTTATGATTTGAGGGAATTCAAGGCATGAATAGGGAAGTGACGTAGGGAAGGAGATAATCAGCCAGCCCGTAGGTGCTCACCCAGCCCTCGTGTTGAGTCAGACATGAGTGAAGCATCTTCTGGAATCCCAAACTAAAAGACGCTTCAGAAAACATGACTCTCACCACATGATCTACTACCCACATGAGTCCAGTTAACCAAGAAAGATCAGAGTAAATGATTTCTGTAAGCCAACGTGTGTTGGGAGCTTTGCTGTGCTGCAATGCCTAATGAAAGAGCAGCAAAGCAAGGTCAGCTCACTGTGTCCATGTGTATGAATTGTGTCCATCCCAAAAATAAACTACATATTTTCTGATCTAAAACCATGACCACTTGTTTTTAAATAGAAATCCCAGGATTCTGCCACATACTTTGGAAAAATCTCACAATTATTATTATTATTTTTTAGTTTTAAGAAAAATTATACTTTAGTTCTGGGTTACATGTGCAGAACGTGCAGTTTTGTTACATAGATATACATGTGCCATGGTGGTTTGCTGCACCCATCAACCTGTCACCTACATTAGGGATTTCTCCTAATGTTATCCCTCCCCTAGCCCCCTACCCCCAAACAGGCCCCAGTGTGCGACGTTCCCCTCCCTGTGTCCATGTGTTCTCATTGTTCAGCTCCCACTTATGAGTGAGAACATGTGGTGTTTTGTTTTCTGATCTTCTGATAGTTTGCTGAGAATGATGGTTTCCAGCTTCATCCATGTCCCTGCAAAGGACATAAACTCATCCTTTTTATGGCTGCATAGTATTCCATGGTGTGTATGTACCACATTTTCATAATCCAGTCTATCATTGATGGACTTTTGGGTTGGTTCCAAGTCTTTGCTATTGTGAATAGTGCCGCAAGAAACACATGTGTGCATGTGTCTTTATCGCAGAATGATTTATAATCCTTTGGGTATATGCCCAGTAATGGGATTGCTGGGTCAAATGGTATTTCTAGTTCTAGATCCGTGAGGAATTGCCACACTATCTTCCACAATTGGGGTTCTTTAAGAGAAATCTTTGGACTCCTGTGATTCTCTAACTGTTGCTTGGATTGAAATTTTCAAGTGAGAAACGTGTCTTTTTGTAAAGCTCCTGTATGGCAGCCTATACAGAGCCAGGCACCGTGTTAACATACAATAAATATCCTGAAAATAATGGAAAGTATTAGGAAATTCCACTAGATTGTTCTTAAGTTACAAAATTTCTCCCCAAAGCCACGAGGTACATCTGTGTGGCTGTAAACATCTACCTAACATTTCAGTGCAGTGAGTCATCTAAGATAGGGTAAAGATTTTGTCTCAGAGTCTCTGATGTCAACAATATGCTGTCAAAGGATGCTGTACCTAATGTCTCCTAAGATATTGCAGGGACCTTGTCATTCACTCCTGGAGTCACAAGAAGGTTTATCCTATTTGATTTCTGGATGCTTCCCATAAAGTTCCTCGGGGCCTCTTGGGGATTACCACTTTCTCTTTCCCCCTTAAAGCAAGAACCAAATTCTGGGAAGTTTGGTGATGTTTTAATGACCAAGTGTAGGGAAAAGGGTGAGGAGAGATCATGCTGTTAGCAGGCTCTGGGGATCCTATGGTCACATGGAAAGAGGGATTCCTCAACAATGAGGGGTGTGGTCATCTCCATAAATTGCAGACAGACATTGAGGTCAGGGAGACATCTTCCCACACTTGCAAAATCTTCATAGAACATGGTGGAAGTGGATGGGCAAAGATGTATGGTGTTGGCCATTTATTATTACCTACAAGAGGAAAAGTGCCTCAGAAAGACAGTATGCCACCAAACAAACTTTCAGCCTTCTCTCTACTCTCTCCTATACCTACAACATCCCCTGAGAAAACTGCTAGTTATATAACTGAACCCAAGACTCACAATCCTGTTAAAGATTAACTATTTGAGAGAGTGCTCACATTATTTCTAGTGTTTCCTCTGTTTCCTCCAGCAAGGCTGTACCACTCTGTGTCACATGGTCTATGTTTGCTCAGCCTCCCGTCTAGCTTGGAAAATCCCCATGGCTAGTGACTGTATTTCATGAACTTGAATCCCTGCATCTTGTACAGGGGTTCAAACAGGATTAACACTGGATTATGTTCATTGAATGCATATATATCTGTTCCATGAACTCTGACTGCCATTCCCTACTGATGGCCCAGTTTCTCTTTGGAGTTGCCTAGATCTGGGCTGATGGTGGCCAAGAATAAAATTCAAGTGTTGTTGGAGAGGTAGAATTGGACAAGTGTTGCAAAACATAGGCTATCATTTTGAACGGTTTCTAAGCATAGAAAGAGATCCTTCACTTGAATCTGAATAAAATGTGAATCTTTTGCTCTACTCATAAGAAAGGGCCAGAACATTTGGATATATTCTTCATTACTGAGTCTATAAAGTAACCTTCTAGGTGTCAATTTGTTAAATTTAAAATGCACACATTTTTGAACCAGTTTTTCATTTCTTTATGATTATCTTTCAATATAAGTAAGGGAGGTGGATAAAACAAAAGAATTGACTAGAAGTCTTAATACAGCACCATTAGTGAGAGCAAAATATTGGAAATAACCTCAAGGCCCTTAAAAAGAGTCAAGATTAATAATTTTAGGTAATCCTTATAATGCAATATTATGCATTCTTTAAAAACTGAGGAAGCACCATTAATAGACGGTATCTTCAAGATATATTCTTTCACAACAAATCAACTCAGTTTTTAAGGTGTAACGTGTGGAGCAATGTATACTAGGATTTTCTTAAAAACAAATGAAATTGTAGATCTATATGCTTCTATAAGCAAAGATTTCCTGTGGAAGGAGAGCAGAGCGCTGGTAATGCTCTCAGGAATAAGATTGGGTCCAGGAGTGAGACAAAGCCTTAATTTTTCATTGACTAAAACAATTTTATTCTTATGAATATTGTATTCATTCAGCAAAGTGAAAATTTAAACAGCAACATAAGTAGAAATGAATACAGTGAGAAAAGACAGGAGATTCTTCACCTTGGGGGAAATGCCAGATGAGCTGATACTGATCACGGTCAGATTTTGGAAACGAGCTGAGGATAGCGGTGCAACCAGAGGGTGCTCTGTGATAAAAAGCCTGGGGTAAGAGTAGTTATGAGAAATGGGTCCTGAAAATCTATTTGGGTCAGGCCAGGGAGAGCTGCCTCCTGCTCTGAGAACCCATGGAGGCTGGATACCGGGAGCTCCTAGGGCACTCACCTGGTATTCATTGTCTAGCACCAAGATGCTCAGATCAAATTGTTTGCCGTCCTTGAAGAACACATTGTGGCATCTCCCCTCACACTTCCAGGCCCCACACACATGGCTGTCAATGACCAAACAATGGCCAAAGTGCACTCAGAAATGGAAGGCGATGTCTGAGTTCTCATTCATCCCAGTGTAGAATTCCACCCGCAGCTCTGGGTCATTGCTGAGGGCAAAGCACACGGAGTGTTGGGCAGGCCCCTCCCTTGTAGGACACACACTCAACACACACACAAATCCCTTCCTTCTTTTCCCCAAGGCATAAAGAAGCCTCCCTGATCTCTCTGGTGATACTGCAGGCCTGGTCCCTGTGGGGCTGCTTTAGCTCCTCGTATATCCCCCAGGTGGGGAGATTCTCTTCCCCTCACAAGATGGAAAGTGAGCCACAGTCACTTACCTGGGTCTATGCCTTGTCCATTCCCTGAAAATTCTGTGCCCCTTGATAAAGAGCCACAGCCCTAACCCCTGAGTGTTCTCCTCCCTTAGACCTCATGACTGGCCCACAGTTCAGCCACTGCAGGTTTCATGCTTGGTGCTGGAGGGTCTCCAGGACCTGCGCCTGCATGGTTCCTCCATCCTGCCAACTAGAAATTTCCACATCACTCACATGAGACCACCTCCTGAGTAAATATTCTCCCTTCTTTTCCACCCCTGTGCCATGCAGTACTCACATGAAAGGGAGGATCCGTGTCCCTCTGATTGTCATGCAAGAACCAATGGACGAGGACACGCCTTCTGTGTGGCACCTGCTAGGGGATTGAGAGTGGGTGAAAGGGGCTGGGCCAGGTGTGGCCTCCCCTTTTGTGACAGATTACCATGATGTAGAAAATTAGAGATCAACAGGCAAACTGTGAGGACTTCCCTCTTTCACCCTATCACAGTCAGAACTCCATATTCCTAAAGACATGAGGGTCTCATAGTTAGGAGCTAGGATTCAGGAGCCAGGCTGCCTGGACTCCAGTCCTGATTCTGCCTCTTACTGACAGTGCCATCTTAGATCCATACCTGAACTCTGCCTAACTGTTTCCCAGGTACTAGGAAGATTATTTAAAATTCTTTTTTTCTGTACTTTCTTTACTTTTTATTTTTTATCTTTATTAGTAATTCTTACTAATGGGTGATCTTAGTGATAGAGAAATTAATATCTGTGAAAACAAGACTTGAGGATCTATCAGTGGAGAAATTCAATCCGTAAGAAGCAACACTTGTTGAAAGAGAGAGGGAAATAACAAAAGAACAGGAAACCCCTGTGTGTGGGATGCACATGCATCACTATCGTCAAGGGCCATGGGCATCTTTCCCAGAAGTTGTAAAAATTGTTGAGAGCACAGCTGCAGCACTTGGACAAATGAAGAGTGCGGGTCAGGGAAGTAATTAGAGACAACCTACAAGTGGATAATTTTTCTTCCTTTCTGAGACATGGTCTCACTCTCTCACCCAGGCTGATGTGTAGTGGTGCACCCATAGCTCACTGAAGCCTTGAACTCCTGTGCTGCAGGGGTCCTCACACCTTGGCTTCCTGAGTAGCTTTGGTGAAAGATGCCCGCCAAGGCTGGGTGCAGTGGCTCATGCCTGTAATCCCAGCACTTTGGGAGGCCAAGGAAGGTCGATCACGAGGTCAGGAGTTCGAGACCAGCCTGACCAACATGGTGAAATCCCGTCTCTACTAAAAATACAAAAATTAGCCAAGCGTGGTGGTGTGCACCTGTAATCCCAGGTACTCAGGAGGCTGAGGCAGGAGAATCACTTGAACTCGGGAGGCGAAGGTTGCAGTAAGAAAAGATTGCACCATTGCAATCCAGCCTAGGTGACAGAGTGACTCCGTCTCAAAAAAAAAATGCCCACCAAGTTGCCTGTCTGACACTTAAAGTTTTTGTAAAGACGGTGTCTCACTATTTTGCCCAGGCTGCTCTTATACTCCTGGCCTCAAGTTATTTTCCCATTTTTGCCTATCAAAATGGTAAGATTATAGACATGAGCCAGCAAACCCAGCTACTTGGATGATTAATATCCACTGTAAACTCTATCTGAACTGAGGCTACCCTTGTTCCTTTCCAGTTTGAGGTGATTCAGTCTCTAAAACCACAGTCTCCAATGTTCTTCCTCAGAGAGCCAGGACTTGCACACCCTCCTGACCTACAATGGGAATGGCAGCCTTGGGTGGGAGACAGGAAAAGACCTGAGGATGAGAGGCAGGAGATCATGGTCACTATGTGCAGACCCCACCTGAGGGACCATTGTTCCCATAGTCTGGATTCCTCTTTTCCACTCTGCCTGGGAAGAGACATCTACAGATCATACATTCTGCTCTCATTAATGCTCACAAATGAGTCATTGGTAACTCCCAGTCCCCAAGATCCCCACCAGTTCTGCCACCCGGGATCCACACTGACACACATGGGAAGATGCACAGCTGCTTCATCAGAGGCCCTGCTGTGTAAGGAGGAAACTTCACATGGACAGAAGGCCACGTGCATGTTCCCAGTTCAACACCTAGTCACATCCCATCACACACACTACCACAGTCACACAGAGCCACACCACTCACTGAGTCACACATGCCTGCTCACTGTCCATATAAAGATGCTCATGCATTGGTCTGGGTGTGCTCACACACACTCACATCACAGACAGGAAGACAAAACACAGTCACCCTCTTACACTCAGGCACGTCCCACCCATCCTGGTGGGCTTTACACCTTTTACCTAACGTAACATCATCTCAGCAGAGTTGACTCTCATCAGACACTATCACACCCTCACAGAGGGTTACACTGGTCCATGGGCCACACCTGACACCCCACAAACATCTCAGACATCATAGTCCCAGGGTCTCTGTCTTCCACACACCTCCAATCTCAGTAAAACATTCACAATAGAAACTCTCATATTTTCCTCTCATAAAATCTCCCTTTTTCCACCTTCTTTAATGTGACTTGAGATTATTGAAGGCTGTGCCTTTTTAACTCACAGGTAGTGGTGACATTTTTGCTTCCTTGGGTTGGCTCTTCTGAATTGTGTCCAGGCTTCCATGTGAATCTCTAGGAGTTGCAGCATTTAAATGGTCCCTGTCAGCCCTGCCCTCTGGCTTCATTCCTGATTCCAAAGCCCTCTCAGCAAGAATTCCCCACAGGGTGAGAAAGGGTAAGGTGTCAGAAATAGACTCAGTCACAACCACACTTGCTTGCAAGTCTGTGTCTGTGATGCAGCAGAAATGACAGTGGGGGAGGCACCAGGAGGAAAAAGAGGTCACCAGGGAAATGCACAGATAAGGATGATGGAGTGAGGTTGAGGGGTTGTAAAGTCCAGCCTCCATGCCTCTCTTTAAGCTTTCTCTCCACTGTGCAGAATCTACCAAGAATGTGTGCATTTTCCTAATTTGTACAATGGTAAAAATAGTGAGGATTCTGGTGGAAATTATTGGCAACGGAAGGTAATCCTTCTTTTTGCCTATAGAGGTTCTGGGAGAACAATGGTCTTGATCCTAAACAGGACCTATGGAAGGAGGTAGAGAAAGCCCTTGTGTCCCCCCTGGTCTCACACTGGTTCCCTTGGCTTTGCCAGGTGAGGCCAGTTCCCATCTGCCTCTCACACAGCTGGGCTCTAACTCCACCCTTTTCTTTTCTGAGTGTCCAAGGGTATCAAAATTTTCAGAGACACTCTTTCCCAAGAAGATTTGTGGAGAAAGTTGAATTTCTTGTCTAGTTCTTGATTTGTGTGTTCCTTATTTCCAGACTGTGTGAGGTACAGGTGATTGGACTTCAGTCACAATGCAGTTTTCTTCAACTGGTGTGGAGGACTCAAGTTCTCTGTTCATGATGAAAGGAAGCAGCCTTAAAACATATATTAGAATTTAAAGGTCAAGTGAATTCGAATTTCCTTTCTCCCTTGTTTCTTTCTCCCTCTTACTTCATTTTTCTCTTCAGTTTTATTGCCAGTGAATTTAAACCATTGATAGAAAAAATGTATCCCAGTTGCTAAAGAGATGTATATTATGATGAGTAACCTTTCTGAGGAACTGCCATAATATTTTCCACAGCAATCACACCATCTTACACTCCAAACAGCAATGTTCAAGGGTTGCAGTTTATCCACATCCTCACACCTGTCAGTTTTCATTTTTTAAGTAATAGCCGTCCTAATGAATGTGAAGTGGTATCTCATGATACTTTTGACTTTCATTTCCCTAACGACTCATGATGTTGGGTATCTTTTCATGTGCATATTGGTCGTTTGCCTGTCATTTATTTTTATTTTTTGTGGGTACATAGTAGGTGTATACATTTATGAGGAACATAAGATATGATACAAGCATGCAAATAATCACATCATGGAGAATGCAGCATCCATCCCATAAAGCATTTATCCTTTCTGTTGCAAGCAATCCAGTGACAGTTGTTTGGGTGTTTCAAAATGTAAAACTAAATGACTACTGGGTAAATAACAAAATTCGGCAGAAATAAATAAATTCTTTGAAACCAATGAGAACAAACACACCACATACCAGAATCTCTGGGACACAGCTAAAGCAGTGTTTAGAGGGAAATTTATAGCATTAGACGCCCACAGGAGAAAGCTGGAAAGACCTAAAATCGACCCCCTATCATCAAAATTAAAAGAACTGGAGAAGAAAGAGCAAACAAATTCAAAAGCTAGAAGAAGGCAAGAAATAACTAAGATCAGAGCAGAATTGAAGGAGATAGAGACACAAAAAGCCCTTCAAAAAATCAATGAATCCAGGAGCTGGTTTTTTGAAAAGATCAACATAATTGATAGACCGCTAGCAGGACTAATAAAGAATAAAAGGGAGAAGAACAAAATAGATGCAATAAAAAATGATAAAGGGGATATTACCACCGATCCCACAGAAATACAAACTACCATCAGAGAATACTGTAAATACCTCTATGCAAAGAAACTAGAAAATCTAGAAGAAATGGATAAATTCCTGGATACTTACACCCCTCCAAGACTAAACCAGAAAGAATTTGAATCTCTGTATAGACCAATAATAGGCTCTGAAATTGAGGCAATAATTAATAGCCTACCAACCAAAAAAAGTCCAGGACCAGATGGAGTCACAGCCGAATTCTACCAGAGGTACAAAGAGGAGCTGGTACCATTCCTTCTGAAACTATTCCAATCAATAGAAAAAGAGGGAATCCTCCCTAACTCATTTTATGAGGCCAGCATCATCCTGATACCAAAGCCTGGCAGAGACACAACAAAAAAAGAGAATTTTAGACCAATATCCCTGATGAGCATTGATGCAAAAATCCTCAATAAAATACTGGCAAACCAAATCCAGCAGCACATCAAGAAGCTTATCCACCAAGATCAAGTTGGCTTCATCCCTAGGATGCCCGGCTGGTTCAACATATGCACATCAATAAACGTAATCCATCACATAAAGAGAACCAGTGACAAAAATCACATGATTATCTCAATAGATGCAGAAAAGGCCTTTGACAGAATTCCACAGTGCTTCCTGCTAAAAACTCTCAATAAACTAGGTATTGATGGAACGTATCTCAAATAATAAAAGCTATTTATGACAAACCCACAGCCAATATCATACTGAATGGGCAAAAACTGGAAGCATTCCCTTTGAAAACTGGCACAAGACAGAGAGGCCCTCTCTCACCACTCCTATTCAACATAGTATTGGAAGTTCTGGCCAGGGCAATCAGGCAAGACAAAGAAATAAAGGGTATTAAGTTAGGAAAAGAGGAAGTCAAATTGTCCCTGTTTGCAGATGACATGATTGTTTATTTAGAAATCCCCATCGACTCAGCCCAAAATCTCCTTAAGCTGATAAGCAACTTCAGCAAAGTCTCAGGATACAAAATCAATGTGCAAAAATCACAAGCATTCCCATACACCAATAACAGAAAAACAGAGATCCAAGCCACGTGTGAACTCCCATTCACAATTGTTACAAAGAGAATAAAATACCTAGGAATCCAACTTACTGAGCACTGCAAACCACTGCTCAATGAAATAAAAGAGGACACAAACAAATGGAAGAACATTCAATGCTCATGGATAGGAAGAATAAATATGAAAATGGCCATACTGCCCAAGGTAATTTATAGATTAAATGCCATCCCCATCAAGCTACCAATGACTTTCTTCACAGAATTGGAAAAAACTACTTTAAAGTTCATATGGAACCAAAAAAGAGCCCGCATTACCAAGTCATTCCTAAGCCAAAGGAACAAAGCTGGAGGCATCATGCTACCTGACTTCAAAGTATACTACAAGGCTACAGTAACCAAAACAGCATGGTACTGGTACCAAAACAGAGAGATAGACCAATGGAACAGAACAGAGGCCTCAGAAATAACACCACACATCTACAACCATCTGATCTTTGACAAACCTGACAAAAACAAGAAATGGGGAAAGGATTCCCTATTTAATAAATGGTGCTGGGAAAACTGACTAGTCATATATAGAAAGCTGAAACTGGATCCCTTCCTTACACCTTACACAAAACTTAATTCAAGATGGATTAAAGACTTAAATGTTAGATCTAAAACCATAGAGGAAGACCTAGGCAATACCTTTTAGGATATAGGCATGGGCAAGGACTTCATGACTAAAACACTAAAAGCAATGGCAACAAAAGCCATAATTGACAAATGGATCTAATTAAACTAAAGAGCTTCTGAATAACAAAAGAAACTACCATCAGAGTGAACAGGCAACCTACAGAATGGGAGAAAATTTTTGCAATCTACCCTTGTGACACAGGGCTAATATCCAGAATCTACAAATAACTTAAACAAATTTACAAGAAAAAATCAAAC
Organism: Homo sapiens; assembly: GCF_000001405.40. Taxonomy (NCBI): domain Eukaryota; kingdom Metazoa; phylum Chordata; class Mammalia; order Primates; family Hominidae; genus Homo; species Homo sapiens. The sequence goes on along the minus strand of NC_000019.10, from coordinate 39,633,827 downwards.
AACCCCATCAAAAAGTGGGCAATGGATATGAACAGACACTTCTCAGAAAAGACATTTATGCAGCCAACAGACACATGAAAAAATGCTCATCATCACTGGTCATCAGAGGAATGCAAATCAAAACCACAATGAGATACCATCTCACACCAGTTAGAATGGCAATCATTAAAAAGTCAGGAAACAACAGATGCTGGAGACGATGTGGAGAAATAGGAACACTTTTACACTGTTGGTGGGAGTGGAAACTAGTTCAACCATTGTGGAAGACAGTGTGGCGATTCCTCAAGGATCTAGAACTAGAAATACCATTTGACGCAGCGATCCTATTAGTGGGTATATACGGAAAGGATTATTAATCATGCTACTATAAAGACACATGCACATGTATGTTTATTGCAGCACTATTCACAATAGCAAAGACTTGGAACCAACCCAAATGTCCATCAATGATAGACTGGATTAAGAAAATGTGGAACATATACATCATGGAATGCTATGCAGCCCTAAAAAATGATGAGTTCATGTCTTTTGCAGGGAGATGGATGAAGCTGGAAACCATGATTCTGAGCAAACTATCACAAGGAAAGAAAACTAGACACCGCATATTCTCGCCCATAGGTGCAAATTGAACAATGAGAGCACTTGGACACAGGCCGGGGAACATCACATACTGGGGCCTGTCATGGGGTGGAGGGATGGGGGAGGGATAGCATTAAGAGAAACACCTAATGAAAATGATGAGTTAATGGGTGCAGGCAACCAACATGGCACATGTATGCCTATGTAACAAACCTGCTCGTTGTGCACATGTACCCTAGAACTTAAAGTATAATAATAATAAAAAAAAGGAAAATAAGTAATCTAGAAGAGCAGGGAGAACATATTGTGGGCATCCAATATGAAGCACAGACTTTGTTTTTTTTTTTTTCTAGAAATAGTTGAATTGGTCCTGATCTGTTTGGAGGTATTTGGGTACTTCTAGATGATCTGTCTTGGGACCAGTGTCCTGAAGAGGGATAGGTTTCATTTTTAAAGAAGGTAGCGGAAATGCAAGGATATTTTTTGGAAAGTTAAAATTGTCCACTAAGAAATTTGCTGAGCTTCTAATTTGTCTGTTATTCAAACAATCTAAAAATTAGGGCTGCTTTAAATAAAAGACCAAAATAAATAACTCACGGAAAAGTCCCCTATCTGTTCCTGTCCAACAGTCCAAGTATATCATGTAATCACTTATTTCCCTTTCAAGCTAATGTGATTGCACTTGTTCTTTTCACTTAATAAATATGGACTCCCCTTTTTTAGTTATTTGAAGAAATATACATCCCCCTTTTTGCCTATTAAGAAAGCATATTTTGTTAACTTTTTTTTTTTTTTGCCAAGGGAGGTGCTACATAGGGTGAATTCAAGGGGTCCCAAAGAAGAATCTGAAATAATGTGAGGCAATTGGGAGGTGTTGAGAAAAAGTATTAAACATGGATTTAAAAAGCTGCAGTTTAAATGTAGTGCAGCCATTACTGTGTTACCCTGACCAATTTACCTAACCTCTGTGAGCATGATTTCCTGAAGAAAACAGAGAACAAGAGGATCCAATGCATCATAGTAATGAGACCTTATGTAAAGCTGAAAGGAGTCTTAGATGGACGTCAAGTCTACTCTCTAATACTTAAAGCATTGGGGGTAGATGGATGTTCATTTAAAATTATAACAGGAATACATTTGATTTATGTAAATTTTACTCTAAAAGATATTTTCTAAAAAATAAATAATTTATTCTAAGAGATTCAATATGACTAAAATAAATGACATGACTTTATATCTGCCAGTGTTTTATTATCATAATGTTACAATGGTAAGCATTAAGTTCTGAGAATTGGATATAAGTCACGTACTGCTAAGATCATTGATTCTCATAGGTACAAATCTAAGTCTATTTTGGATCATATCCGGGAATTGATGAACCTTCCACCCAGCCTTAACATGAAGATAAAGAAAGGAATGCGACGGGCTTGGGAGGAGAAAGCGTTCAAAGTGCTAATTTGAGATGTTTCGCATTCCAGGTCCTAAACTCAACATTTTAAAATTAGCCTCTCTATTTTAAAGAAGAGCAGGGTTTTTCTGACTTCATTCTATGGTTCTTGCTCTCTCCTATTTCTTCAAATTTCATATCATTCATTGGGGTTTACATGAAAAAAGAGAATATTTGATAAATATTAATTCCCTTAAAGATAATATTTTTTTGCCTACCCAAATTTAACCCAAGCCAATCTAAATTTCAAACCTGAACCAAACAAAAAGGAGAAAAACAAGAGAAAACCTCAAAAACATTTCTTTCAAGCTAGCTTTCCTTTCATTACAAAAATAAGTTCTCCAATTCCACGATACCATTCCAGGTACCCATTACAACTGCTGCCCTTATTGCATCAGGAGTTTGCGTCAACATTGCTTTAGGGCATGTGAGGTCATTTTTCATTCCCTTGTTGTTTACCCAGTATATGTGGGTTGTAATGTTTATCTCACTCCTTGGATGATTTCTGAAGACACAGGGTCTTGCTATGTTGACTGGGCTGGCTTTGAACTCCTGGGATCAAGCGATCCTCCTGCCTCAGCCTCTGAAGTAGTTGGGACTACAGGCCCACGCCACTGTGCTGGGCTGGACATGTAAATTTGAAGTGAATGATTAAACATGCAGCTAGTTGAAAACATGGCTGACTGGTAACAGAAAAGCTACAATGTGTTTTTGAAAGTATAAAGTGAATGATTTCTTGGGAAAAATTGTGACTTTGAATATCCGTTGTTGAAATCAGAATAAACTACATTTCACTTGCATATTCTTAAATGAATTATTAAATTTTTCAGAAGTTGGTGTTATATAGAAATACCATTTTGCAATGTTAATCTGTTTGAATCTTTGGAGAAAGTGGTTTCATTATAGGTGCATAATGCACTCTCAATATTTTAAACAAATTCTTCACTCTTCCATTTAAGGTATAACAGTTTCTTGTATAAAATGGCTGGATGTATATAAAGGAATTATGTTGTCTTGTGCTTTTAACCCAACTTCAGTAATTACTATATCTCATGTTCTTAATAGTTTTGTTAGGTCAGAGGACCAAACGAAAGCATTTCATGTTTTCTCATCATTTTAGATTTTATCATTGTGTAAATTATTGGGTTTTTAGCATTTCCTAACATGAATTTTTAATCATTTTTAAGTACACATAATTTCTTCTGTACCATTTAAATAAAATATTTTTATCACTTAAAAAAAAAACACCAAACCAAAAAAAAAAATCATTCCCAATAGGGAGGAAAGCAGTTCTGGTAAATAACCCTAACTAAAACCCCAATAGCTCAGGAAATGAATGAAAAAGAAACCAATTTTTAAACGCATTTTAAGAGACCTATGAAAAACCAGGGCCAAACCTCTCAGTTACTCGAAACTCTCTATAATGAACCAAAAGCCAGATAAGAATTCTGTAGCCTTTATGGAAAGGCCAAGAGAGGCACTAATAGAGTACACCTCCTTATTCCCTAATTCAGTGGAGGAACAGCTCATTCTGAAAAAGAAGTTTATTACACAGGTAGTTCCCAATATTAAAAGAAAACTACAAAAACAAGCTATAGGACGAAGTAGCACCTAAGAGAACCTCCTGAAGGTGGTGACTTTTTTCTTTTATAATAGGTACCAGGAAGAGTCCCCCAAAAAGGGGAAAATTTCAGGAGAACAACAGAGGCTTCAGCAGCAGCTTTACAAGCTTGTAAAGTCCAGAATCCCCAAAGTGCATCTGCTAGTTCCTATTGGCATGGCAGGCCAGGGCATTTTTAAAAGAAATGCCCAGGCAGCAAGATGAAGCAACCTCAACCCTGTCTGGGCTGTGGCAAAACCACTGGAAACAGAACTGCCCCCAGAGGCAGAGGTCACTGGGTTCAAAACCAGTCTCACAGATGGTTCAGCAGGACTGATGGGTCCCAGGGCTTAAACCTTAGCTCCAGGGGCTCAGATTGCCCTTATAGCACAGGAGCCCTGGATAATTCTGGAAATTAAGGGTAGGAAAGTAAACCTCCTCCTAAACACTAGAGCCCATCTCTCTCTTTTCTTCTCTCTAATCCAGACCTCCCCTTTATGATAGCACAAACATGCTCATGGGTAGGAAGAATCAATATTGCAAAAATGGCCATACTGCCCAAGGTAATTTATAGATTCAATGCCATCCCCATCAAGCTACCAATGACTTTCTTCACAGAATTGGAAAAAACTACTTTCAAGTTCATATGGAACCAAAAAAGAGCCCGCATCGCCAAGTCAGTCCTAAGCCAAAAGAACAAAGCTGGAGTCATCACACTACCTGACTTCAAACTATACTACAAGGCTACAGTAACCAAAACAGCATGGTACTGGTACCAAAATAGAGATATAGATCAATGGAACAGAACAGAGCCCTCAGAAATAACGCCGCATATCTACAACTATCTGATCTTTGACAAACCTGAGAAAAACAAGCAATGGGGAAAGGATTCCCTATTTAATAAATGGTGCTGGGAAAACTGGCTAGCCATATGTAGGAAGCTGAAACTGGATCCCTTCCTTACACCTTATACAAAAATTAATTCAAGACGGATTAAAGACTTAAACGTTAGACCTAAAACCATAAAAACCCTAGAAGAAAACCTAGGCATTACCATTCAGGACATAGGCATGGGCAAGGACTTCATGTCTAAAACACCAAAAGCAATGGCAACAAAAGCCAAAATTGACAAATGGATCTAATTAAACTAAAGAGCTTCTGCACAGCAAAAGAAACTACCATCAGAGTGAACAGGCAACCTACAGAATGCGAGAAAATTTTCGCAACCTACTCATCTGACAAAGGGCTAATATCCAGAATCTACAATGAACTCAAACAAATTTACAAGGAAAAAACAAACAACCCCATCAAAAGGTGGGCAAAGGACATGAACAGACACTTCTCAAAAGAAGACATTTATGCAGCCAAAGAGACACATGAAAAAATGCTCACCATCACTGGCCATCAGAGAAAGGCAAATCAAAACCACAATGAGATACCATCCCACACCAGTTAGAATGGCAATCATTAAAAAGTCAGGAAACAACAGGTGCTGGAGAGGATGTGGAGAAATAGGAACACTTTTACACTGTTGGTGGGACTGTAAACTAGTTCAACCATTGTGGAAGTCAGTGTGGCGATTCCTCAGGGATCTAGAACTAGAAATACCATTTGACCCAGCCATCCCATTACTGGGTATATACCCAAAGGACTATAAATCATGCTGCTATAAAGACATATGCACACGTATGTTTATTGCGGCACTATTCACAATAGCAAAGACTTGGAACTAACCCAAATGTCCAACAATTATAGACTGGATTAAGAAAATGTGGCACATATACACCATGGAATACTATGCAGCCATAAAAAGCGATGAGTTCGTGTCCTTTGTAGGGACATGGATGAAATTGGAAATCATCATTCTCAGTAAACTATCAGAAGGACAAAAAACCAAACACCGCATGTTCTCACTCGTAGATGGGAATTGAACAATGAGAACACATGGACACAGGAAGGGGAACATCACACTCTGGGGACTGTTGTGGGGTGGGGGGAGGCGGGAGGGATAGCATTAGGAGATATACCTAACGTTAAATGACGAGTTAATGGGTGCAGCACACCAGCATGGCACATGTATACATATGTAACTAACCTGCACATTGTGCACATGTACCCTAAAACTTAAAGTATAATAATTAAAAAAAAAGATAGCACAACAGTAAAGGGCATCTCAGGAAAAACTCGAATCCAATAGTTTTCTCCACCTTACCTGTAGTTAGAAAGACCTATTTACACGTGCTTCCAAGTCATTGTCATATTAGCTCTACTAGTCAGAAAAGCCTCCAAGTTAACCCTAGGAAATAATTCAACTGTTTACAGCCCACATAATGTGGCAGGATCACTGTCCTCTAAGGGGAGCTCTTAGCTAATAAACAGCCTGTAAAGCAAGAAGTACATAAGACAGGATAAGCAGTAGTCACTCTCCCCAAACACAAGCACTCAATTAGCTGAGCTAATAGCTCTTACAAGAGCACTTAAGTTAAGCAAGGAAATGGTAGCTAACATTTATACTAACTCCAAGTATGCTTTCCTAATTGTCCATGCTCATGCTGCCATTTAAAAGGAAAGGCATTTTCTTACCACTAATGAATCTCCCATAAAATATCACCAGGAAATTAACAGGTTATTATCCTTACTTTTTCTTACACACGAAATAGCAGGGATGCATTGTAGGGAACATCAAAAGAGAATAAATAAGGTAGCCAAAGGAAATAAATTAGCTGATCAGCCAGCTAAGCCAGAGGCAAGGAAGCCTCAAGCCATTAACACAACTAGAAAAGTCCAAAGAAATAAAACCACCTCTATCTAACCCAGGAAATTTAGTCTTTCTCTCTTCTTCCTTAAGCCAAGCTGGGAAGGGCCCTACATTGTTCTTATTTCAACGCTCTTAGAAGCAAAAGTTACAGGAATCAACTCCTAAATACATCACCTCAAGTCAAAGCCTAAAAAGCTGAGGGAGCAACCCCTAACAGCCCAGAGAATTGTCCAGAACATCAGTTGTGGAAAAATAAAAAATCATAAGCTAAAAATCACAAAAATTAAGTAACTAAAGGCTACTTATCTTACTCAGTCCCACATTTACTTCAACAGATAATATTTGTCATTTCCACACTTTACTCTCAAAATTTGCCACCAAATAATAAAACTTATTTTTAATTCGTATTTGCAGGAAATTTTAATTATACATGAAACTGCTATTGTAACTCTGTAAATCCCCAAAGGGAAATGTTTTACGTTGGGCAAGTAAGTTTTAAATAATTTTTTTTACTACACCACTCTTGTGGCAATTGTTATAGTCATGCTACTATTTGCAATAAAACTACACACTGTGGCACCCGTAATGTGGAATTCTGGTAGTGAAATTCTAATTCGTGCTCCTATGAGAATCTAATGCCTGGCTGATCTGTCATAAGGCCACTCATGGGGTAATGCTTACCTGATGCTCACCTCCTGCTGTGTGGCTCCATTCCTATCAGGTCACAGATTGTTATTGGTCTGTGGCTTGTGAGTTGGGGAACCCCGCTCTGGGGTATATCCCTTTCAGGGTTCCAACTGAAAGCCTAACTCTCTCTTCCACTTGGCGGGCACCAACGTACAATTTCTGTATCTTCAGATCCACAAGACTGATAGAAGTTCTATTCTACCACCACCTAAGAATCAACTTCTAATTTACGATACTATTTTAATTTCCCCAATTGTACAAAAGCATGTCCTTTATAGCTGTTTTAAAATCCATCACTCAATCAGGTTTCATGAACTCTGTTGCTACGCTTTTTTAGTCTCTTTTAAACTAGAACATTCTCCCTGCCTTGTTATGATATTTTTGACGCTTTTTGAATTTGTCATATAAGATGCTCCAAAAATGAAAATGAGCTTGGTGTGTATGAGAAATTGAAAGGAGGTCAGTATATCAGGCTTTTCCTGTACCACATGATATCCTCTCAGCCCCACCTCTTCATCCAGCCATTACTAAGTTGACCAGGTCTAGACAGTTTTTCACTAGCTTCATGCAGGTGCACACTGACAGTGCCTCTCCTTAGTATTTATCTTTCCAGTACCTTCCTCTTTCCAGCACTGGGCTCCTTTGAGATGGTAGAATAGGACTCTTGCAGAAATCCTCTCAGCACCCATGCATCTGCAAACCAAAGTTGTGGGAGACTTAATGCCAACAGGATGACTTTTTAACAACTGGGGATGGGGGCAGATGGATAAATACTTCCTTTCATCTTCTGGGCAGAGAGTACTAAGAAACATTTCATATTTGATGGAGAAGGGTGGAAACCAACTTTAGGCCAGAAAAAAGTCATAGAAAGAAGCTGGATCCTTATTATGGGAGCCTAAATCTCTTATTGGGCAGATCACAGTAAAGATCCATTGCTGGTAAGTGACATAGTGATTACCCATGACATAGTAAGTATCACAGTTACTAAATATTGCTTTGTATTACAATTATTAGTATCACAACTACTAAGAATAGTCACCTGTGCTTTATTGACAGAAAGTGCTGAGAGAAGGCGAATGACTTCAGTAGCTGTGGCACTAGAATTGTAGGGGTACAATGGTAATCACAGGATTGTGGAAGTACTTGCTTTGGTTTTAACTGCATTGAAATTCTTTTTAAAAAAAGAAAGAATGAAAGAAAGAAGGAAAGAAAAAGAGGGACACATTAGTGCCCACCAACTACCAATTCAAGGCACATTTTGAACACTAGATGTTCCTGGTGATAGCATTTAAAGAAACCCTCACATCCTGCAAGCACAGGGAAGAGAGTACTGAGTGCTGAAACTCATATGGAGGATGTAATTTCAAAAAACATGGCATATCTGCAAAGGAAGCTGACTGCATGGTCTCAACAAATCCCAGATGTCAAAGTTAATGCTGTGATAATGAAACTACAGTAATCAAAATACATTGATATTGGCTTAAAGGTAAACTTATAGATCAATGGAACAGAATTGAGAGTCCAGAAATAAACCTAAACATCCATTGTAAATTGATTTCAACAAGGGTGCCAAGATCATTCAATGTGGGAAGGAATTGTCTCTTGAATAAATTATTTTTGTTTTGTTGGTTTTCTTTTCTTTTCTTTTCTTTTTTTGAAAGGGAGTCTTACTCTGTGCCCAGGCTGGAGTGCAGTGGCGTGATCTCTGCTCACTGCAAACTCTGCCTCCCGGAATCACGCCATTGTCCTGCCTCAGCCTCCTGAGTAGCTGGGACTACAGGCGCCCGCCACCATGCCCGGCTAATTTTTTTTTGTATTTTTAGCAGAGCGGGGGTTTCACCATGTTAGCCAGGATGGTCTCGATCTCCTGACCTCGTGATCCACCCGCCTCGGCCTCCCAAAGTGCTGGGATTACAGGCGTGAGCCACAGCTCCCAGCCTTGTTGGTTTTGTTTGTTTGTTTGTTTTTAGCTTTTAAGCTTTAAGTTCAGGGGTACATGTGCAGGATGTGCAGGCTTGTTATACAGGTCAAGGAGGTTTGTTGTACTGAATGTATATTCAGTACATGTAAAACAATGAAGCTGAACCCTCACCTTATACCATACACAAAAATTAACTCAAAATGTGTACCCGGTTCATCTCATCGCTACTGGACAGTGGGTGCAGCCCATGAAGGGCGAGCTGAAGCAGGGTGGGGCATCGCCTCACGCAGGAAGTGCAAGGGGTTGGGGGATTATCCCCCCTACCCAAGGGAAGCTGTGAGGGACTGTGCCTGAGGAATGAAGAGCTCCGCACAGATACTGTGCTTTTCCCTGTCTTCGCAACCCGCAGACCAGGAGATTACCTCCGGTACCTATACCACCAGGGCCCTGGGTTTCAAGCACAAAAGCAGAAGTTGTTTTTTGTTTTTTGTTTTTTGTTTTTTTTTTTGCCATAACCCAGTGGTGCCTGGAATGCCAGTGAGACAGAACCATTCACTCCCCTGTAAAGGGGACTGAAGCCAGGGAGCCAAGTGGTCTGGTTTGGCGGGTCCCACCCCCATGGAGCCCAGCAAACTAAGATCCACTGGCTTGAAATTCTCCCAGTCTGAGCTCAACCTGGGACACTCGAGCTTGGTGGGGGGAGGGGCGTCTGCCATTGCTGAGGCTTGAGTAGGTGGTTTTCCACTGACAGGGTAAACAAAGCCACCGGGAAGTTCGAAATGGGCAGAGCCCACCACAGCTCAGCAAGGCCACTGCAGAAGGGTATCTCTAAAAAAAAGGCAGCAGCCCCAGGCAAGGATTTATAGATAAAACCCCCATCTCCCTTGGACAGAGCACCTGGGGGAATGGGCAGCTGTGGGTGCAGCTTCAGCAGACTTAAACGACCCTGCCTGATGGCTCTGAAGAGGGCAGCAGACCTCCCAGCACAGGGTTCAAGCTCTGCCAAGGGTCAGACTGCCTACTCAAGTGGGTCCCTGACCCCTGTGCCTCCTGACTGCAAGACACCTCTCAGTGACACCTCATACAGGAGATCTCTGGCTGACATCTGGCAGGGGCCTTTCTGGGACAAAGCATCCAGAGGAAAGAACAGGCAACAATCTTTGCTGTTCTGCAGCCTCCACTGGTGATACCCAGGCAAACAGGCTCTGGAGTGGACCTCGAGCAAACTCCATCATACCTGCAGCAGAGGGGACTGACCGTTAGAGACCCCACCTGAAGGTCACCAACATCAAAGACCAAGGTAGATAATTCCATGAAGATGGGGAGAAACCAGCACAAAAAGGCTTAAAATTCAAAATACAAGAACACCTCTTCTCCTCCAAAGGATCACAACCCCTCACCAGCCAGAGAACAAAACTGGTCAGAGAACGAGTTTGACGAGTTGACAGAAGTAGGCTTCAGAAGGTTGGTAATAACTCCTCTGAGCTAAAGGAGCATGTTCTAACCCAATGTAAGGAAGCTAAGAACCTTGAGAAAAGGCTAGATAATTGCTAACTAGAATAACCAGTTTAGAGAAGAACATAGATGACCCGATGGAGCTGAAAAACACAGCATGAAAACTTCATGAAGCATAAACAAGTATTAATAGCCTCATCAATTGAGTGGAAGAAAGGATATCAGCAACTGAAGATCAACTTTATGAAATGAAGTGAGAAGACAAGATTGGAGAAAAAGAATGAAAAGGAATGAAGAAAGCCTCCAAAAATTTGGGATTATGTGAAAAGACCAAATCTACATTTGATTGGTGTACCTGAAAAGTGATGAGGAGAATGGAACCAAGTTGGAAAACACTCTTTAGGATATTATCCAGGAGAGTTTCCCCAATTTAGCAAGACAGGCCAACATTCAAATTCAGGAAATACAGAGAACACCACAAAGAAACTCCTCAAGAAGAGCAACCCCAAGACACATAATTGTCAGACTCACCAAGGTTGAAATGAAGGAAAAAATATTAAGGGCGGCCAGAGAGAAAGGCTGGGTTACCCACAAATGGAAGCCCATCAGACTAACAGTGGATTTCTCAGCAGAAACCCTACAAACCAGAAAAGAGTGGGTGCCAATATTCAACATTCTTAAATAGAAGAATTTTCAACCCAGAATTTCATATCCAGCCAAACTACACTTCATAAGTGAAGGAGAAATAAAATCTTTTACAGACAAGCAAATGTTGAGAGATTTTGTCACCACCAGGCCTGCCTTACAAGAGCTCATGAAAGAAGCATTAAGCTTGGAAAGAATAACTGGTACCAGCCACTGCAAAAATATACCAAATTGTAAAGACCATCAACACTATGAATAAACTGCATCAACTAATGGGCAAAATAATCAGCTAGCATCATAATGACAGGATCAAATTAACACATAATAATATTAACCTTAAATGTAAATGAGGTAAATGCCCCAATTAAAATACACAGACAGGCAAATTGGATTAAGAGCCAAGACCCATCGGTATTCAGGAGACCCATCTCACATACAAAGACACATGTAGGCTCAAAATAAAGGGATGGAGGAATATTTACCAAGCAACTGGAAAGCAAAAAAAAAAAAAAAAAGCGGAATTTGCAATCCTGGTCTCTGATAAAATGGACTTTAAGCCAACAAAGATCAAAAGAGACAAAGAAGGGCATTACATAATGATAAAGGGAAAAATGCAACAGGAAGAGCTAACTATCCTAAATATATATGCACCCAATACAGGAGCACCCAGATTCATAAAGCAAGTTCTTAGAGACCTAAAAAGAGACTCTGACTCCCACACAATAATAGTGGCAGACTTTAACACCCCACTGTCAATATTAGGCAGATCAAAGAGACAGAAAATTAACAAAGATATTCAGGAATTGAACTCAGCTCTGGACCAAGCGGCCCTAATAGACATCTACAGAACTCTCCACCCCAAATCAACAGAATATACATTCTTCTCAGCACCTCATCGCCCTTATTCTAAAACTGACCACATAATTGGAAGTAAAACACTCCTCAGCATATGCAAAAGAATGGAAATCATAACAAACATCTCTCAGTCCACAGTGCTATCATATTAGAACTCAGGATTAAGAAACTCACTCAAAATCACACAACTACATGGAAACTGAACAACCTGCTCCTGAATGACTACTGGGTAAATAATAAAATTAAGGCAGAAATAAAGATATTCTTTGAACCAAATGAGAACAAAGACACAACATAGCAGAATCTCTGGGACACATTTAAAGCAGTGTGGAGAGGGAAATTTATAGCACTAAATGCCCACAAGGGAAAGCAGGAAAGATCTAAAATCGACAATCTAACATCAAAATTAAAAGAACTAGAGAAGCAAGAGCAAACAAATTCAAAAGCTAGCAGAAGACAAGAAATAACTAAGATCAGAGCAGAACTGAAGGAAATAGAGACACGAAAAACCTTTCTAACCATCAATGAACCCAAGAGCTGATTTTTTGAAAAGATCAACAAAATAGACCGCTAGCCAGACTAATAAAAATGAAAAGAGAGAAGAATCAAATAAATGCAATAAAAATGATAAAGAGGACAGCACCACTGATCTCACAGAAATACAACCTACCATCAGAGAATACTATAAACACCTCTATGCAAATAAACTAGCAAATATACAAGAAATGGATAAATTTCTGGACACATACACCCTCCCAAGTCTAAACCTTGAAGAAGTGAAATCCCTGAATACACCGATAACAAGTTCTGAAATTGAGGCAGTAATTAATAGACTACCAGCCAAAAAAAGTCCAGAAGCAGATGAATTCACAGCCAAATTCTACCAGAGGTACAAAGCAGAGCTGGCACCATTCCCTCTGAAACTATTGCAAACAATAGAAAAAGAGAGAATCCTCCCTAACTCGTTTTATGAGGCCAGCATCTTCCTGATACCAAAACCTGGCAGAGACACAACAAAAAAAGAAAATTTCAGGCCAATATCCCTGATGAATATCGATGTGAAAATCCTCAATAAAATACTGGCAAACCAAATCCAGCAGCATATCAAAAAGCTTATACACCACCATCAAGTCAGCTTCATACATGGGATGCAAGGCTGGTTCAACATACGCACATGAATAAACGTAATCCATCACATAAACAGAATCAATGACAAAAACCACACAATTATCTCAACAGACGCAGAAAAGACCTTCGACAAAATTCAACATCCCTTTATGCTAAAAACTCTCAATAAACTAGGTATTGATGGAACATCTCTCAAAATAATAAGTTATTTATGACAAACCCACAGCCAATATCATACTGAATGGGCAAAAACTGGAAGCATTCCTTCTGAAAACCAGCACAAGACAAGGATGCCCTCTCTCACCACTCCTATTCAGCATAGTATTGGAAGTTCTGGCCAGGGTAATCAGGCAAGAGAAAGAAATAAATGATATTCAAATAGAAAAAGAGGAAGTCAAATTTTCTCTGTTTGCAGATGACATGATTGTATATTTAAAAACCCCACTTTCTCAGCCCAAAATCTCCTTAAGTTGATAAGCAACTTCAGCAAAGTCTCAGGATACAAAATCAATGTGCAAAAATCACAACCATTCCTATACACCAATAACAGACAAACAGAGAGCCAAATCATGAGTGAACTCCCATTCACAATTGCTATCAAGAGAATAAAATACTGAGGAATACAACTTACAGGGAATGTGAAGGACCTCTTCAAGGAGAACTACAAACCACGGCTCAAGGCAATAAGAGAGGACACAAACAAATCGAAAAACATTCCATGTTTATGAATAGGAAGAATCAATATTGTGAAAAAGGTCATACTGCCCAAAGTAATTTAATAGATTCAATGCTATCCCCATCAAGCTACCGTTGACTTTCTTCACAGAATTGGAAAAAACTACTTTAAACATTATATGGAACTAAAAAAGAGCCTTAATAGCCAAGACAATCCCAAGCAAAATGAGCAAAGCTGAGGGCATCAAGCTACCTGACTTCAAACTATATTACAAGGCTACAGTAAACAAACAAACAAACAAAAAACAGCATGGTACTGGTACCAAAGGTTTCCTTATTTAACAAGTGGTGTTGGGAAAGCTGGCTAGCCATATGCAGAAAACTGAAATTGGCCCCTTCCTTACACTTTATACAAAAATTAACTCAAGATGGATTAAAGACTTAAACGTAAGACCTAAAACCATAAAAATTCTAGAAGAAAACCTAGGCAATACAATTTAGGACATAGGCATGGGCAAAGACTTTATGACTAAAACACCAAAAGCAATAGCAACAAAAGCCAAAATTGACAAATAGGATCTAACTAAACTAAAGAGCTTCTGCACAGCAAAAGAAACTATCATAGAGTTAACAGGCAACCTACAGAATGGGAGAAAATTTTTGCAATCTATCCATCTGACAAAGGGCTAATATCCAGAATCTACAAAGAACTCAAACAAATTTACAAGAAAAAAACAAACAATCCCGTCATAAATTGGGCAAAAGACATGAACACACACTTCTGGAAAGAAGATATTCATGCAGCCAACAAACATATGAAAAAAACCTCATCATCACTGGTCATTAGAGAAATGCAAATCAAAACCACAGTGAGATACCACCTCACGCTAGTTAGAGTGGTGATCATCCATAAGTCAGGAAACAACAGATGCTGGAGAGGATGTGGAGAAATAGGAAAGCTTTTACACGGTTGGTGGGAGTGTAAATTAGTTCAACCATTCTGGAAGATGGTGTGGTGATTCCTCAAGGATCTAGAACTAGAAATACCATTTGACCCAGCGATCCCATTACTGGGTATATACCCAAAGGATTATAAATCATGCTACTATAAAGACACATGCACATGTATGTTTATTATGGCACTATTCACAATAGCAAAGACTTGGAACCAACCCAAATGCCCATCAATGATAGACTGGATAAAGAAAATGTGGCACATATATGCCATGGAATACTATGCAGCCATACAAAAAGGATGAGTTCACATCCTTTGCAAGTTCATGGATTAAGCTGGAAACCATCATTCTCATCAAACTAACACAGGAACAGAAAACCAAACACCACATAATCTCACTTATAAGTGAGAGCTGAACAATGAGAACACATGGACTCAGGGAGGGGAACATCATACACTGGGACCTGTCAGGGAGTGGTGGGCTAGGGGAAGGGTAGCATTAGGAAAAATACCTAATGCAGGTGACAGGTTGATGGGTGCAGCAAACCACCATGGCACATGTATACCTATGTAAGAAAACTGAATGTTCTGCACATGTACCCCAGAACTTAAATTATAATTGAAAAAAATTAACTCAAAATGTGTCAACAACCCAAATGTAAGAGATAAAACTGCCAAATACTCACAGTAAATATAAGAATGAATCTTCCTGATCTTGGATTTGGCAATGGTTTCTTCAACATGATACCAGAGGCACGAGTAATAAAAAAAAATAATAAATTTGGCCACATTAAAATAAAAATTTTTATGCATTAAAAACACTATAAAGTGAGGGAAAAGATAACCTGCAGAATGGAAAATATGTATTGGCAAATCATACACTTGGTAAGTGTCTAGTATTCAGAATATATGAAGAACTTTCACAACTAAACAGCAAAAAGAAAAGCAACCCAATTTAAAAATGAGCAAATGACATGTCTGCAAAAACATATACAAATGGCCATCAAGCACACAAGAAGGTATTTAATGTCATTAGTCATGAAGGAAATGCAAATCAAAAATAGGACATCTATCTTCAGCTACCAAAGTGGGTCAGAAAGGACCATCAGATGGGGACAGTGTTAGGCATGTCTGAGCACAGATCCTCTTTGGGCTCCTTGGGTGGGGCTTGCTGTGGCTGTGGTGGGGGTTCAGGGTGTGGTTCTGAGATGAGTGGTGTTATTTTCCCAGAAGAATTATGGCTGCCTCTGCTGTATCATACAGGTTGTCATCTAAGTGGGGGAAAGCTGGCAGTTACAGGCCTCCTCCATCTCCCCTGCAACCCAAAAGGCTGGTCTCACTCCCGTTGTGCTGTCCCCAACAGCACTGAGTTTGTTTCCAGGCAGTGGGTGACAAGGGCTGAGAACTTGTCCCAGGCTAACAGCCTTCCATCTAAGAAAGCAAGCAAGGTTTTCATGCCTCCCTGCCTGTTGAGTCTGCACACAAAGATTTCATTACCAAGAACCCAAAGACAAATGCAACAAAAACAAAAATATATAGATGAGGCTTAATTAAAGAAAAGCATTTTGCATAGCAAATGGAACACTCAGCGGAATAAACAGACAACCAACAGAGTAGGAGAAAATTTTCACAATCTATATGTTCAACAAAGGACTAATATCCAGAATTTACAACAAACCCAAACAAATTAGCAAGAAAAAAACAAACAATCCTATCAAAACGTGGTCTAAGAAAATGAACAGATAATTCTCATAAGAAGATATACAAATGGCCAACAGACATATGAAAGCCTGCTTAACATCACTAATGATCAGGGAAATGCAAATCAAAACCACAATGCGATACCACCTTACTCCAGTAAGAAAGGCCACAATAAAATAACCAAAAAATAAAAGATGTTGGTGTGGATGCAGTGAAAACGGACCTTCTACATTGCTGGTGGAAATGTAAAGTAGTACAACCACTATGGAAATCAATGTGAAGACTCCTTCAGGAATTAAAAGTAGAACTATAATTTGATCCAACAATCCCTCTACTGGGTATCTTCTGAGAGGAAAAGAAGTCATTATACAAAAAAGATAGTTGCACACGCATGTTTATAGCAGCACAATTCACAATTGCAAAAATGTGGAACCAGCTGAAATACTCATCAATGAATGGATAAAGAAACTGTGATATATATAATGGAATACTACTCAGCCAGAAAAAGGAATGAGTTAATTGCATATGCAGCAATCTGGACGAGATAGGAGACTATTATTCTAAGTGAAGTAAGTCAGGAATGAAAAACCACACATTGTTTGTTCTCACGCATAAGTGGGAGCTAAATTATGAGGAAACAAAGGCATATGAATGGTACAATGAAAGTTGGAAACTCAAGGAGAAAGTGTGGGAAGAAGGTGAGGGATAAAACACTACAAATTGGGTTCAGTGTATACTGCTTGGGTGGTGGGTGTGCCAAAGTCTCACAAATCACCACTAAAGAACTGACTCATGTAACCAAATATCACCTGTTCCCCAAAAATGTATGAAAATAAAAAATTAAACAATTAATAAATAAAATTACACACACACAAAATAATCGATGAGATACTACTTCACACCCACTAGGATGGTTATAATTTTAAAAAGGAAAAACAAGAGTTGGTGAGGATGCAGAAAATTTTTAGAACTCTAGTGCATTGGTGACAGAAATGTAAAATGGCATCACTTTTGTGGAAAATAGTTTTGTGGTTCCTTAATGAGTTAAACATAAAAGTATAATATGACCTAACAATTCAACTTCTTGGCTTGGATACAGGTGTTCAAACAAAAACTTGTACATAAATGTTCATAGGATCACTATTCACAATAGTCAAAGAGTAGAAACAACCCAATTGTCCATCAACTGCTGAAAGGATAAACAAATTGTGATATCTTCACAAAATGGAATATTATTCAGCTACAAAAAGAAGGAATACTGATACATGCTACAACATAAATGAACCTTGAAAACATTATGTGTTTAATGTTTTAAGTGGAAAAAAGCCAGACACAAAAATCCAATTGTATGATTTCATTTACATGAAATGTCCAGGATATGCAAATCATAGAGATAGAAGAACAGATTAGGGATTGTCAGTGGTTAGAGAGTGGCTGCTTAGTTGGAACAGAATTGGAACAGCTAGATGTAGCTTAGTCTTATTTCAGGAAGAAGCACTGGAGTGTGAACTGCACAGCAGAGTTGCTCTTTGAGGTAAAAGGGTGGCCTTTTGTACCCCCATGTCAGCAGGTCATTGACTGCATTCTACCGACTGGGTTTGTAACCAAGATTGTATGATGAAAATTATAAGAGATTTGTCTTCCTAATTTTCCTTTCTTCCTCCATGCATAAGTCACTATTAATTGGTTAACGCCATATCCTAACTCCTGGAGGCTACCCTTAGGGTTAATGAACTTGTTTTTCTTTTAAAAAACAATGGTCCATGGGTTTAGGTGTGGTGGCTCATGACTGTAATCCCAGGGCTTTTGGAGGCCAAGGCAGAAGAGTCACTTGAGCCCAGGAGTTTGAGGTTGCAGACAGCCATGATCACACCACTTTATTCCAACCTGGACCACAGAGCCAGAGCTCGTCTCTAAAATCATAGATGACACAGACAAATGAAAACACACCCAATGCTCATGATTGGGTAAAATAAATATTGTGAAAATGACCATATTGCCCAATGCAATCTAAAGTTTCAATGCAATTCCCATCAAAATACCATCATCATCCTTCAAAGAACTTCAAAAAAAAATCCTAAAATTTATACAAAATCAAAAGAGAGCCCACATAGAGAAAGCAATAACAAAGCAAAAAGAACAAATCTGGAGGTGTGACATTACCCAACTTCAAATTAAACTACAAGGCAATAGTTAACAGAACAGCAGGTACTGGTAAAAAAAAATTAGGCATGTAGTCCAATAACAGAATAGAGAGCCCAGAAATAAAGCCAAATACTTACAGCCAATGGATCTTCAACAAAGCATACAAAAGCTTGAAGTGGATGTATCAGTCCATTCTTGCACTGCTATAAAGAAATACCTGACAATGAATAATTTATAAATAAAATAGGTTTAATTGGCTAGCAACTCCACAGTCTGTATAAGAAGCATTGTTGGGGAGGCCTCAAGAAGCTTACAATTATGCAGAAGGCAAAGAGGAGGCTGGCATGTCTTACATGGTAGGAGAAAGAGAGAACAAAGAAAGAGGTGTTACACACTTTTAAATGACCAGATCTTTGAGAATTCACTCACTGTCATGAGAACAGCAAAAGGGAAATCCACCCTCATGATCCAATCACCTCCCCCTACTACCTTCCTCCAACCTTGAGGATTACAATTTGTTGTGAGATTTGAACAGGGAAACAGACCCAAATCATTCATTTCTACCCTTGGCCTTTCCCAAATCTCATGTCTTTCTCACATTGCAAAATATAATCATGCCTTCCCAACAGTTCCCCAAAGTCTTAACTCATTTCAGCATTAATTCAAAAGCCTAAAGTCCAAAGTCTCATCTGAGACAATGCAAATCCCTTCAACCTATGAGCCTGTAAAATAAAAAACAAGGTAATTACTTCCAAGATACAATGGAGGTATAAGCAATGGGTAAATACTTCCTTTCCAAAAGGGAAATATCTGCCAAAACAAAAGGGCTCCAAGCCCCTGCAAGTCTGAAACCCAGCATGGCAGTCATTAAATCTTACAGCTCAAAAATAATCTTTTTTGAGTCCATATCTCACATCCAGCCAACACTGATGCCAAGGGTGGTCTTCCAGGCCTTGGGCAGCTCTGCCTATGTGGCTTTGCAGGGTAGAGCTCTCATGGGTGTTTTCACAGGCTAGCATTGAGTGCCTGCAGCTTTTCCCAGCACATGGTGTGAGCTGTCAGTGGATCTACCATTCTGGGGTCTGGAGGATGGTAGCCCTCTTATCACAGCTCCACTAGGCAGTACCCCAGTGTGGTCTTGTGTGGGGGCTCAACCCCTATGCACTTCCCTAGTAGAGGTTCTTTGTAAGGTCTCTGCCCCTGCAGCAGATTTGTGCCTGGACATCCAGGCTTTCCCATACATCCTCTGAAATTTAGGCAGAAGCTCCCATGCCTCAGATCTTGCCTTCAGTGCACCACAAGCTTAAAATCACATGGAAGTTTTCAAGGCTTATGACTTGCACCCTTTGAAGTAGCAGCCTGAGACATGTTTGGCACACTTTTAGCCACGGCTGAAGCTGGAGCAGTTGGGACTCAGGGAGCAGTGTCCCAAGATTGTGCAGGGCAGTAGGGCCCTGGGCCCAGCCCACAGAACCATTCTTTCCTCCTGGGCCTCTGGGCCTATGATGGGAGGGGCTGCCGTGAAGATCAACAAATGCCTTTGAGGCATTTGTTGTTTTGGCTCCTCTTTACTTATGCAAATGTTTGCAGCAAACTTGAAAATTCCTCCCCAGAAAATGAATTTTTCTTTTCTACCACATGATCTTGCTACAAATTTTCCAAACTTTTATGCTCTGCTCCCCTTTTAAATATAAGTTCCAGTTTCAGATCATCTCTTTTTTCATGCATATGACCATACAATGTTAGAAGCTGTCAAGCTACTTTTGAATGCTTTGCTGCTTAGAAATGTCTTCTGCCAGATGCCCTTAATCACCTTTCTCAAGTTTGAAGTTCCACAGATCTATAGAGCAGGGACAAAATGCTACCAGTCTCTTTGCTAAAGCATGGTAAGAGTGACCCTTATTCCAACTTCCAATAAGTTCTTTATCCCCACCTGAGACCTCATCAGCCTGGACCTCACTGTCCCTCCTCCAACGTTGGAGATTACAATTTGATGTAAGATTAGGGAGAGGACACAGATCCAAACCATATCAGTGGGGGAAGAACACCGCACTCAATGAATGGTGCTGGGAACACTGACAAGCCACATGTAGAAGAATGAAACTGGATTCTCATCTCATCTTATAAAAAAATCAACTCAAGGTGGATCAAAGACTTGAATCTAAGATGTGGAGCCATTCAAATTCAAGAAGATAACATTTGAAAAACTCTTCTAGACGCTTAGGCAAAGAATTCATGATTAAGAACCCAAAAGCAAATGCAACAAAAATAAATAAATGAGACCTAACTAAAATCTTCTGTACAGTAAAAGAAATAATCAGCAGAGTAAACAGACCACTCACAGAGTGGGGAAAAAATATTCACAACTATGCATCGACAAAAGACTAATATCCAGAATTTACAAAGAACTCAAACAAATCAGCAAGAAAAATACAAACAATTCCATTGAAAAATGGGCTAAAGACATGAATAGAGAATTCTCAAGAGAAGATATACAATTGGACAAACAACACATGAAAAAATGCTCAACATCACTAATCATGATAGAAATGCAAATCAAAACCACAATGTGATAACACCTCACTCCTGCAAGAATGGCCATAATAAACAACCAACCAACCAACTTTTCAACCAACCAACCAGCCAAACAAACAAAAAACAGTAGATTTGACATGGATGCGGTGATGAGGGAACACTTCTATACTGATGGTGGGAATGTAAATAAGTATAGTTGCTATGGAGGACAGTGTGGAGATTCTTTAAAGAACAAAAAGTAGAACTACAATTTGATCCAGCAATCCCACTACTGGGTATCTACCCAGAGGAAAAGAAGTCAATATTCAAAAAGGATCCTTGCACACCCATGTTTACTGTGACACAATTTATAGTAGCAAAATCATGGAACCAACACAAATGCCCATCATTCAACGAGTGGATAAAGAAACTGTGGTATATATATATACACACACACATAACAGAATACTATGCAGCCATAAAAAGGAATAAATTCACAGCATTTGCAGTGATCTGGATGAATTTGAAGGCTATCATTCTAAGTGAAGTAACTCAAGAATGAAAAACCAAACATCATATGTTCTCATTGATATGTGGGAGCTAAGCTATGAGGACACCAAGGCATAAAAATGATATAATGAACTATGGGGAGTTGAAGGGAAGTGTTGGGGAAGGGTGAGGGATAAGAGACTGCAAATATAATGCAGTGTATACTGCTTGGTTGATGGGTGCACCAAAATCTCACAAATCACCAATAAATAACTTATTCATGTAACCAAATACCGCCTGTACCCCAATAATTTATGGAAAAAAATAAACTGAATTAATAGGTTCAAAAACAACATAAAAATAAAATAATGTTTTAGTACGGAGACAAAAAAGGATATACAAGCAGCCAATAAACATATTAAAAAATGTTCAACATCTCTAATCATCAGTGAAATGCAAATTAAACCCACAACGAGATACCAAATTAGTCCTGCAAGAATGATCATAAATACAACATTAAAAAAGAATATATGTTGGTGTGGATGTGGTGAAAATGGAATGCTTTTACACTGCTTGTGGGACTGTAAACTAGTACAACCACTGTGGAAAAGAATATGGAGATTCTTTCAAGAACTGAAAGCAGAACAACCATTTGATCCAGTAATTCCACTGCTGGGTACCTATCCAGAAGAAAAGAAGTCATTATATAGAAAAGAGACATACACACACATGTTTAGAGTGGCATGGAATCTACCTAAGTGCCCATGGATCAATAAATGGAGAAAGAACATGTGGTAAATATGCACCATGGAATACTACTCAGCCATAAAAGCAGAAAGAAATAATGGCCATTGCAGCAACTTGGATGCAACTGGAGGTCATTGTTCTAAGTGAAGCAACTCAGGAATAAAAAACCAGATGCTGTATGTTCTCACTCATAAGTGGGAGCTAAACCATGAGGATGCAAAGGCATTAAGATGATATAATGAACTTTGGAGACTCGAAGGAAGGGTGGGAGGGGTGACAGATAAAATGCTACATATTGGGTACAGTGTACACTGCTTAGGTTATGGGTACAGCAAAGTCTCAAAAATCACCACCAAAGAATGTAACCATGCAACCAAAAACCTCCTGGGTCCCAAAAATTATTGAAATAAAAATACATATAAATATTAGAATATAAATCATTCTACCATAAAGACACATGCACACAAGTGTTCATTGCAGCACTGTTCACAATAGCAAAGACATGGAATCAACCTAAATGTTCATTAATGGCTGACTGAATACAGAAAATGTGGTACATATACACCATGGAATACTATGCAGCCATAAAAAGAACAAGGTCATGTCTTTTGCGGGAACATAGGTAGAGCTAGAGGCCATTATCCTTAGCAAAGTAATGCAGGACCAGAAAAAAATACTGCATGTTCTCACTTATAGGTGGGAGCTAAATGATGAGAACTCATAAACACAAAGAAGGGAACAACACAAACTGGGGCCTACCTGAGAGTGGAGGGGTAGGAAAAGAGAGAAGAGCAGAAAAAATAACCATTGGGTACTTTGTTTAGTTACCTGGGTGATGAAATAATCTGTACAACTAACACGCATGACAAAGGATTAACCTATATAACAAACCTGCACATGTACACTTGAACTTCAAATAAAAATGGTAAACATAAATAAATTGGGGAAAATTTTTTAAATTTCTCTTTTATTCCATCTTCTTGACCCCTCACTTGCAAATAGAGGCCAACATACACCAGTGTTTAGTAGCATCACAGATGGCATCCCAAAGGAATAGCAATGCTGAGGGAACTGGGCTTCAAGGGCAATATTATCACAGAGTATACTTATTCTTTGGGGGCTTCAGCAATAACTGGGAAGACCAAAAGACCTAAGATGAGGAGGCCTTAGAGTTCAGAAATGGCTTTCTGCTTCTTGAGCAATGCCCTATTTGCTGGGAGAAGATCATGAATTTGGATTGAGCAGGATGAAGAAAGATGTTGAATAGGTTTCCAGAGGCAATTCAAAAATTTTTAGTTGAACATTGGCCCTGGACTCTATGTCATCTCTTTGTATCTGAGATGTCATTCCTGGCCACTATGAGCTCAGAGTAGTAGCTGAATAAAGATGAATGTAACGAATGGCCCATAGGAAGTGCACTGAGCTGGTGAATATCATTCAAGAAAGGGCAGTCACTGTGTGTTTGCCTAGCAGGGCTGAAATTTAGGACTTTGTTGGTTATTCACATAAAATGGGCGCCAGGCAAGCAGCAAGTAGATATAAACTCCAAGTTGTCTTCTGTTCAGGAAGCCAGGGGTTCCAGGATAGGTTTCATCCACTCAGAGCACAAACTGCATAGTTCCCAAAGAAATGAATTCCATGCTGGTGATAGGGTCTATGATCCATTATCAAAATGAGAAGTGATCAAGACTGTATAAGTGTATGGAGAAGAGTGTACCTAATCAGAACGCAAGAGTTTCCAGTGAGAGGGCAGGGAATTTTATTCCATCCTGGAATGAAACAAGGAAGAGAGGCATGAAGAGTTTCATTCACTGTGCGTTGGCACCTCAAAGTGTCTGGAAGTTAGGTTAAAGGAAGTGTAAGGAGAGAGGCATACCCATGAGTGAGGTTGGAGTTGCAGAAACTGTTGCAATGAACATGGGGAGAGAAAATAATGATCAAAATGACACCTAAGATGGTCCTTGCAAACAAAGACGCTATTTTCTGGAACTCTCTTCATTCTAGCTTCATGGATTTTTAGGTAATATGTTGTTTCTGTTCTCCTAAGTGGTTTTCCATACATGCTATGAAGTAGATAATCACAGCTCTTATAGTGGGAAAAGGGCTGTCATTCTGCCGTCTTGGTAGGAACTCCAAGAAACTGAGAATGGAGGGTGGGGACAAGTGCTACAGAAAAACATTCCCAGAGAAAATGTAAATAGTTTTCTGGTTGGTTTCAGCAAAAATATGGATTAGTGACTGCTGTCTATTTTTTTTTTTTTTTTTTTTTGCCCATCTAAAATATATGTGTTCATTGCACTTTTCCTGTCTCGTTCAGTCTTCTTTGATTAGTATAAAGCAGATAATGTGCCCCCTTGGTGCACATGTTGCAGGGGATTGCAAGTGATAATTTGTAGTCACATCATAGACACGGTGTCCTGATCAGATAAGATATTGCACTTTACTCTGAGCCTGTTTTTGCAATTGTAATGCCTTCAGAGATTCCTTTTTTTTTTTTTTTTTTTGAGATGGAGTCTCGCTCTGTCGCCCAGGCTGGAGTGCAGTGGCGGGATCTCGGCTCACTGCAAGCTCCGCCTCCCGGGTTCACGCCATTCTCCTGCCTCAGCCTCCCAAGTAGCTAGGACTACAGGCGCCCGCCACTACGCCCGGCTATTTTTTGTAGTTTTAGTAGAGACGGGGTTTCACCGTTTTAGCCGGGATGGTCTCGATCTCCTGACCTCGTGATCCGCCCGCCTCGGCCTCCCAAAGTGCTGGGATTACAGGCGTGAGCCACCGCGCCCAGCCTGAGATTCCTTACATGGTTAGTGTTTTCGGTATGTGGGAACTAGTTCTGAGTGGAACTAGTTGCCAAGGATGGCCCCTCATGACTACAGTCACAATAACCACAGCTTGTGGAGTCCTCTCCTTTTGATTAGGGCCGTCTGTATGACTCACCTTGATCAATGTAAAACCTTAGAAGTAACACTGTCTGCCATTCAAAGGTAAGTCCTGTGATGCTGTGCACCTTCTCCATGAGCCTTTTGAAAGGCTTTCTTTGGTGAAAGCCAATCACCATTTATTAAGTCCCAGAACCATGAGACTCTCCTGATTTTAGGAAATTAATGTCATGCATGGGAAGGTGAGGTATTGAAGGAGACAGCTTCCCAGTTTCTATGTGTTCACCCAGTCCTGCTGTTGAGTTGGACATGAGTAAAGCATCCTCTGAAATCCCAGCCTAAAAGATCTCTCAGAAAACGCGACTCCCGTCACATAATCTACCACTCACTTAAGTTCAGTAAACCTGTGAAGCGGGGAGAGATCAAAATAAATGATTGCTTTTAGCCGATGTGTGTTGTGAGGTTTGCTGTGCTGCAATTCATCACTGGAAAAGCAACAAATAAGGGTCTGCTCACTGTGTCAATGTACGTGACTTGTATCTATTCCAATAATAATCTATATGTTCTCTGATCTCAAATCATGACCATTCATTTCCAAAGAGAAACCCCTGGATTCTCCCCACATAAAATGAAGCAATTTTCAAATATTTGAAAATAAGAATAATTGGGATTCTTTAAGGGAAATCACTGGGCTCCAGTGATTCTCTAAACTATTACTTGGATTGAAAACTTCACATGCAAACTTGTCATCTTTTTCTTCAGTTCCTTCACAGCAGCCCGCACAAAGCCGGGCACAGTGTTCATACACAGTAAGCATCCTGAGAACAATGGAAAAAAATTAAGAAATTCCACATAATTTTCCTCGAGTTACAGATTTTCCCCAAAGCCACCATGTACACTTGCGTGGCTGTAAACAGCTACCTAACATTTAAGTGCCTTGAGTCATTTGAGATTGGGTAAGTATTTTAGCTCAGACTGTCTGAGGTCAACTACGTGCTATAGAAGGATGCTGTTTCTAATGTCTTCTCAGACATTCCACGGACCTTGTCACTCACTCCCTTTGTCACAGGAAGGTTTATCCCCTTTGATTTCCTGATGCCTCCCATAGAATGCCCTGGCCCCCCTTGGGGATGACAACTTCCTCTTTTCCCCTCTGAAAGCAAGAACCAAATCATGTGAGTTTTCGTGCTGTTTTAATGACAAAGTGTAGGGGAAAATGTGAGCAGGGATTATTCTGTTAGCAGGTTCTGGGAATCCCATGGTCAGGTAGAAAGAGGGATTCCTCAACAATGAGGAGTGTGATCATCTCCCTCAATTGCAGACACACACTGAGGTCAGGGAGATATCTCTCGACACTTGCACCATCTTCACAAATGATGGCGGGATTCGATGGACAAAGCCGTAAATGCGTATGCCATTGACCTTTATCTACAAGAGGAAAAATGCATCAGAAAGAAAGCATGCCACCAAACAAGTTTTCGGCCTCCTCTCCACTCTGTCCTGGTACAAATAACATTCCCCAAGAAAATTCCTAGTTATACAAGTTAACGTATTAGATACACTTATGTTTACAGATGACGTTTTGTGCCTATTTGAGACAGTACCCGACTTTATTTCTAATGTTTCCACTCATTCCTCTAGCGAAGTTCTATACTCTGTGTCACAAAGTCTTTGCTTACTCAGCCTCCCTTCTAACCTGGAAGATCCCCATCGCCAGGGACTGTGTCTCAGGAACTTGAGACCCTGCATCTCGCACAGGACCTGCCACAGGGTTAGTGCTAGACCATGTTCGTTGAATGCATACTTTTCAGTTCCATGAACTGTGATTGTTTTTCACTACTGATGGCACAGTTTCTCTTTGGAGTAACCTACATCTGAGGTGTTAGTGGCAAAGAAGGAAACCCAGGGTTCTTATAGAATGAAAGGAGAACTGTTCTTGTGAAACAGGATATTACCTTCAAAAACTTCTAAGCATAGGAAAAGATCCCTCGCTTGAATCTGAATAAGATGTGAATGTTTTGGCCTACTCGTTAGAGAAAGCCAGAAAGTATGGATGTATTCTTTATATTGAGGCTATAGAGAAAGTAACCTTATTAGTATTAATTTTTCGAATTTAAAATGCACACATTTTTGAGCCAGTTTTTCCATTTTTTTGTAATTATCTTCTAGTACAAGTATTGGGAGGTTGGTAATGACAAAAGGATTGATTAGAAAACTTAATACGACATCATTTGTGAGAGCAAAATACTGGAAGGAAATTTAGTGCCCCCAAAAGGGCCAAGTTCCACAACTTTGGGTAAACTTCTTAACACAATATTATGCAATCTTTAAAAACTGAAGCAGCACGACAGATTGATAATGTCTTCAATATATATTCTTTGGCAACAAATCAACTTAGTTCTTGAAGCGTAATGTGTAGAGCAACTTATACCAGGATTTGCTTAAAAACAAATGAAATCATAGACATATCTATATGCTTCCATAAGCAAAAATTTCCTCTGAAGGGCTGGGCATGGTGGCTTAAGCCTGTAATCCCATTATATTGAGAGGCCAAATTGGGCAGATAACTTGAGGTGGGGAGTTCAAGACCAGCCTGGCCAAAGTGGTGAACCCCCGTCTCCCCTAAAAATACAAAAATTAGCCAGGTGTGCTGGCACACACCTGTAGTCCCAGCTACTTGGGAGGCTGAGGCGAGAGAATTGTTTGAATCCAGGAGGTGGAGGTTGCAGTGAGCTGATATCATGCCACTGCACTCCAACCTGGATGAAAAATGAGACTCTATCTCAAGAAAACAAACAAACAAAAACAAACAAACAAACAAAACCTCTTTGAATGAAAGCAGAGCTCTGGTAATGTTTTTCCTATGGTAGAATTCGGGCCCCAAAATGAGACAAAGACTTAATTTGTGACTGATTAAAACAACCTTTTTTTTTTAAACTTTTTTTTCCTGAAGTATATTGTATTCACTCAGCTAAATGAAAATTTAAATAATGGCATAAGTAGAAATGAGCAGTATGTGAAAAGACAGAGGAGATTATCTACTTTGGGGGAAATGTCAGGTGAGCTGACCTTGACATTGGTCAGATTTGGGAAAGAGCTGAGGATGGCAGTGCAAGCAGGGGGTGCTCTGTGATGAAAACCAGGGGCAGGAGTAGTTATGGGAGATGGACCCTGACGGACTACTGAGGCCAGATCAATGAGAGCTGCCTCCTGTTTTGGGAGCCCACAGAGCCTGGGTGCTGGGAGCTCCTGGGATGCTCACCTCATACTCATTGTAATGTACGTAGATGCACAGCTCAAATTGTTTGCCATCCTCAAAGGGCACGTAGTCTGTTGTCTCCTCCAACATCCATATCCCAAACTCACGCCTGTTCATGACCACATGATTGCCAAAGTGCACTCGGAAACGGAAGGCAATATCTGAATCCTCATCCATGTCAGTGTAGAAATCCACCTGCAGCTGTGGGTCATTGCTGAGGGTGAAGCACGCAGAATGTTGGGCAGGTCCCTCCCTTGCGCAGACACACACTCGACACACACACAAATCCCTTCCCCCATTTACCTAGGGAAAAAGTCTCCCAGATAATACTGATGGCCAGGTCCCTGTGGGGATGCTTCAGCTCCTCATGCCCCCAGGCAGGGAGATTCTGTGCTCCTCATCCCCAGATGAAAACTGAGCCACAGTCACTGACCTGGGCCTATGACTTGTTCATTCCCGAAAATTCTATGCCCCCTGATAAAGAGCCACAGCCCCAACCCACTGAGTGTTCTCCTCCTGTAGGCCCCATGGCTGGCCCACATGCAGTTGCTGTGGGTCTCATGCCTGGTGCTGGAGGGTCTCCAAGACCTGCACCTGCATGGGGCCTCCATTCTGCCAACTAGACATTTCCACATCACCCACATGTAAGGTCAAATCTTCGCAAATATTCTCCCTTCTTCTCCAACCCCTCCATTGGACCATGGAGTACTCACATAAAAGAGTGGATTGGTGTCCCTTTGATTATCACGCAGGAACCAACAGACAAAGACACAGGCAGTTTGTATGGCACCTGCCAGAGTATTGAGAGTAAGTGAGAGGTGCAGGGTCAGGTGCAGTCTCCCCTCCTGTAACATATTCTCATGGTGCAGGAGGTTGGAGATGAAAGGGCAGACTCTGTGGACTCTCCTCTTTAACCCTACCGCATTCAGGGCCCCATATTCCTGAAGATATGGCGGACCCATAAGTTAGAGCAAGGGTTCAGGAGCCAGGATGCCTGGATTCCAGTCCTCATTCTGCCTTTTACTAGCAGTGCAGTCTTAGATTTGCTACTTGAACTCTCCCTCATTTTCCCTAGGACAACGAGGATTATCAGGAATTTCTACTTTGTAGGATGTTCTCCGTAATAGGGAGTTAATACATGTAAAAGTGTTACCCTAATCCCTGTCATGCGTAGGGCCTCTTAGGGTGACCTAACAGGACAGGAGAGTCCTCTTGAAAGACTGACCTGCCTTCATTTTCAACTCTGAAAATTAAAACAAGACTTGTAAATGTAAGAATTTAAACATTCACTCCAGTGAGAAACAACACTTGTTGAAAGGGAGAGGGAAATGATGAAAGAACAGGAAACCCCTGTGTGTGGGATGCACATGCATCACTATCATCAAGGGCCATGGACATCCTTCCAAGAAGGGGCACACACTACTGAGAGCACAGCCCCAGTACTTGCACAAATGAAGCTTGTGGGTCAGGGACATAACTGGAGGGAATGATTGATTTCTATGATGACTACAAGTAGATGAGATGATTTTTCTGTACTTTTGAGATAGGTTCTTGCTCTGTCACCCAGGCTGACATGCAGGGATGCAATCATGGTTCACTGAAACCTCAGACTCCTGGGCTGCAGTGAATCTCACACATCTGCTCCCTCTTGAATAGCTGGGAAGAAAGGTACCTGCCTCTCTGCCAGTCAAATATTTAAAGTTTTTTAAAGAAAGGGTCTCACTCTGATACCCAGACTGGTCTCAAACTTCTGGCCTCGTTATCCTCTCATCTTTGCCTCCAAAATTGGTGGGATTATAGCCATAAGCCAGTGAACCCAGCTGCTTGGTTGATTAATATCCACTGTAAGCTCCTTCTGAACTGAGACTTAACTTGTTCTTTCATGGGTGTAGAACAAGTTTAGTCTCAGTTCAGACAGAGCTTACAGTGGATATTTTGTGTGATTCAGTCTCTGAAATCACGGCCTCTAATGTCCTTCCCTAACAAACCAGTATCTGCACACCCTCCTGTCACACAGTGGGAAGAACTGGATGGGCTAGGGACAGGCAAGCTGAGCCTGGGAGGCAAGAGACAGTGGTCACTCTGTGCAGACCCCACCTGAGGAACCATCACCCCCATAGTCTGCATTCCTCTTCCCCACTCTTACTGGGAAGAGACATCTACTGATCATACATTCTGCTCTCACAAGTGATCTGAAATAAGTCCTTGGTAACTCACAATCCCCAAGATCCCCACCAGTTAAGCCACATGGGATTCACATCAGAGGTGCTGCTGTGTGGGGAGAAACATTCACATGTGAAGAAAGCCACATGCATGATCCCACTTCAACATACAGTCACATCCCAGCACACACACTCACAGTCACACAGAGCCACACCACTCACTGCGTCACACACACCTGCTCACTGTGCACATAACGATGCTCATGCACTGGTCTGGCTGTGCTCACACACATACTCACATCATAGACAGGAAACAAAGCCGACTCACCCCTTTACTCTCCATTCACACACCTGCTCGTCCTGGTGGGTAATCCACCTCCCACTTAAAGTCACATTATCTCCGCAGAGTTTATGCTCATCAGACACCACCTCACACTCACCGAAGGTTACACTGGTCCAGGGTCCACACCGCAATCCCCACAAGCATCTCAGATACCATAGCCTCAGGGTTTCTATTCCACACCTCAATAGCTCTAAGTAAAGCATTCACAGCAAAAATGCTCATATTTTCATCTCATAAAATCTCCCATTTCTTTCTTGGTTTGTGTGACACGAAATTTTTGAAGGCTGTGCCTTTTCAACTCACGGGTAAAGAAGACATTGTTCTCTCCTTCTTGGCGACCTTCAGAATTGAGTCCAGTCTTCTGAGTGAATCTCTGAGTTGCAGCATTTAAATGACCCACTTCAGCCTTGCCCTCGGGCTTCATTCCAGATTCCAAGCTCCTCCCAGCAAGATTTCCTTGCAGCTTTAGACAGGTTTAGTTGTTAGGAAGAAACTCAGTCACAACCATAGCTATTTGCAGGTCTGTATCTGTAATGCAGCAGAAGTGACAGTGGGGGAGTTACCAGGCTGTGGATTGGGTTACCAGGGAAATGCATAGATAAAGATGATGGAGTGAGCGGTAGTGGTTGTAAAGCCCAGCCTTTATGCCTCTCAAGCCTTTTCTCATCTATGCAGAATATACCCAGAAAGTGTACATTTTCCCAATTTGTACAACGGCTGAAAAGAAAAAAGTTGGAGATTTTGGGGAAATACATTAGCCCTAGAAGGTAATGATTCTCTCTGCTTTTGAACGTTCTGGGAGAGCACTGACCTTGATCCTCAGGAGGATCTGTGGAGAGAAGCAGAGAAATTTCTTGCATGAACCTATTCCACACTAGGCTGCTTGGCTCTGCCAGGTAAGGGCCACTCTCACCTGACTGTCACACACCTGGGCTCTAGCTACACCCTCTCCTTTCTCTTGGTGTCCATGTAAATAAAAGTTTCAGAGACACTGTTTCTCCTGCAGATTCTGGGAGGAAGGTGAGATTGTTGTTTTTATTTGATTTTTCTTTCATTTTATTTTAGGTTCGGGGTACATATGCAGATAAAGTCGTGTCATGGGATTTGTGGTGTATATGATTTCTTCACCTGGTTACTAAGTGTAGTACTCAAAAGTTATTTTTTTTCTCCTCTTCCACCTTTCATCCTCCACCCTCAAGGAGGCCCCAGTGTGTGTTGTTTCCCTCTTGATGTCCATGAGCCTCCTCATTTAGTTCACGCTGATAAGTGAGAACATGCAGTATTTGGTTTTCTGTTCCTGCATTAGTTTGCTAAGAATAATGGCCTCCAGTTCCATCCATGTTCCTGCAAAAGACATAATATCATTCTTTTTTAGGACTGCATAGTATTTCATTGTGTACATGTACCACATTTTCTGTAACCGATCTGTCATTGATTGGCATTTGGGTTCATTCTGTGTCTTCGCTATTGTGCATAGTGTTGCAATGAACATTCATGTGCATATGTCTTTATGGCAGAATGATTTCTTTTCTTCTGGGTATACACCCAGTGATGGGATTGCTGGGTTGAATGGTAGATCTATTGTTAGCTCTTTGAGGAATCACCACACTGCTTTCCACAATGGGTGAACTAATTTACACTGTCACCAACAATGTGTGAGTTCTCCCTTTTCTCCACAACCTTGAAGCATCTGTCCTTTTTTGACTTTTTAATAACAGCCATTCTGACTGGTGTGAGATGGTATCTCACTGTGGTTTTGATTTGCATTTCTCTAATGTTCAGTGATATTGAGCTTTTTTATATGTTTTTTGGCCACCTGTATCCTTACTTTTGAAAAGTGTCTGTTCGTGTCCTTTGCTCAACTTTTTTGTTGTTGTTTTAAAACAGGTCTCACTCTGACATTCAGGCTGGAGTGATGTGGCACCATCTTGGCTCACTGTAACCTCTGGCTCCGGGGCTCAGGTGATTTTTCTAAGCTCAGTCTCCTGAGTAGCTGGGACTACAGGTGCATGTCTCCATGCTAGGCTATTTTTTTTTTCTATTTTTAGTAGAGATGGGTTTTTGCCATGTTACCCAGCCTGTTCTCAAATTCCTGGGCTCAAGTGATCCACCAGCCTTGGTTGCCCAAAGCGCTGGGATTACAGGCATGAGCCACTGTGTCAAGCTCTTTACCCACTTTTTTATGGGTTTGTTTGTTTCTTTCTCGTGAAGTTGTTGAAATTTCTTATAAATGCTCGGATATTAGACCTTCTTCAGATACATAGTTTGAGAACATTTTCTCCCATTCCTTAGGCTGTCTGTTTACTCTCTTGATAGTTTCCTTCACTGTACAGAAGCTCTTTAGTTTAATTAGATTCTGTTTGTCAATTTTTGCTTTTCTCCTAATTGCCTTTGACATCTTCATCATGAAATTTTTCTCATGCCTATGTCCCACATGGTATTGTCTAGGTTGTCTTCCAGGATGTTTATAGTTTTGGGTTTAATCTTTTAAGTCTTTAATCTATCTTTTGTATATGGTGTAAAGAAGGGGTCCAGTTTCAATCTTCTGCATATGGCTAGCCAGTTCTCCCAGCACCATTTCTTGAATAGGGAGTCCTTTTTCCATTGCTTGTTTGGTCAGCTTTGTTGAAGACCAGATGGTTGTAGGTTTGTGGCCTTATTTAGGGCTTTCCATTCTGTTCCATTGGTCTGTGTGTCTCTTTTCATACCGATACCATGCTGTTTTGGTTACTGTAGCCTTGTAGTATATTTTGAAGTTGGGTAATTTGATGCCTCCAGTTTTGTTCTTTTCACTTAGAATTGCCCCGGTTATTTGGCATTTTTTTGGTTCCATTTAAATTTTAAAATAATATTTCTTCTAATTCTGTGAAGAATGTCATTCATAGTTTGAGACAAATAGCCTTGCATCTAAATTTCTTTGGGCAGTATGGCTGTCTTAATGATAATTGGTTTTTCTTATCTATGAGCATGGAATGTTTTTCTATTTCTTTGTGTCATCTCTGGTTTCCTTGAGTAGTGTTTTGTAATTCTCATTGTAACGATCTTTTACCTCCCTGATTAGCTGTATTTTTAGGTGTTTTATTCTTTTTATGGCAAATTTGAATGGAATTGCATTCTTGATTTGTCCCTGTCGCTGTTGTTGGCATATAGGAGTTCTAGTGATTTTTGCATATTGATTTTGTATCCTGAAACTTTGCTAAAGTGGTTTACCAGCTTAAGGATCTTTCGGGTGAAGACTATGGAGTTTTCTAGATATAGAATCATGACATCTGCAAACAGGGATGGTTTGACCTCTCTTTGTATTTAGATACCCTTTCTTCTTTTCTCTTGCGTGATTGCTCTGGTCAGGCCTTCCAATATTATGTTAAATAGAAGTGAGGAGAGAGGGCACTGAAGAAATTGTGGTTTGAAAATCCAAGTTGAATTTCTGTTTTAGTCATCATGGAGGTTTTGTCTATGGTCTAGCAAATACAAAAGAAAACAAAACAAAATTCCTCTCTTACTCTGTCGTATTGGCTCCTCACTTTCAAATACAGGGCCTAATGCACCAATGCTCAGCACCACGGACAGCACCACAAGTGAAACAGCTTTGAGGGACAAGGACAATATTATCACCAAATAGATTTATTCCTTGGGAGGCTTCAACAAAAACTAAAAAGCCTAAATACCTTTGAGAATGAAAGCTTTAGAGTCCAAGTACGACTTTCTGTGTTTTGAGCATGCCGTATTTGCTGGGAGAAGATAGGGAATTTTGGTTGAGGAGTATGAAAATGATGTTGAGTAGGTCCCCAGAGGCAATTCAAAAATTCTTTGTTAAACATTGGCTCCTGAATTCTATGTCATCTCTTTGTGTCTGAGATGTCATCCTGGCCACCATGAGCAAAACGTATTACCTGAGATAAAAATGAGTGTAACAAATGGCCCATGTGAACAGAAATGAGCTGGTGAATGTCAGCCAAGAAATGGGAGTCACTGTGTGTGTTGCAAGGCCAGCATGTAGGACTCTGTAGGCCACTCAAATAAAATGGGTGTCATCCAGAGGCAAGCAGATATGAAATCAAACTCATGTTCTGCTCAGGAAGTCATAGATTCCAGGATAGTCTTCATCCTCTCAGAGAAAGAATTGCCTAAATCCCCAACAAATGAATTCCATGCTGGTGATGGAGCCTATAATCCACTATCAAAATACAGAATTGACCAGGACTGTGACAGGGATGGTGTAAGGAGGAGAGTGTACCTAATCAGAACCTGAGAGTTTCCAATGAGAGGGGAGGAAATTTCATTTTATACTGGAAAGAAACAAGGAAGAAAGGCATGAAGAGCATAATTCACTGTGCATTGATACCTCAAGGTATCCAGATGTTAGGTTAAAGAAGCAGTACAGAGAAAGGCATACCCATGAGTAAGGTTGGAGTTGAACAAGCTGTGGCAATGAACCTGGGGAGAGAGGATGACGATGATCAAAATGATGCCTGAGATTGGCCCAGCAGAAAAAAGGCTATTTGATGAGACTCTCTTCAATCATCCTTCGTTGACTTTTAGGAAATATGTTGTTTATCTTCTCCTAAATGGTTCTCTATATGCACTATGAAGTAGATAATCAAAACTCTTGTAGTGGAAAAAGGACTGTCATTCTGCCATCTTGGTAGGAGTTCCAAGAAGCTAAGAATGGAGGATGAAGCCAATTGCTGCAGGGAAACGTTCCCAGAGAAAATGAAAAAAGAGATCTTGTTGGTTTCCTCAGTGATATGGACCGTGACTGTGGTCTATTTTCTTTTCTGTACTTGTTTGTTTGTTTGTTTGAATTTTAAATTTATGTACAAAGAGCTAACACGGTTTCTTTCGTTGTGTGGATGCCTTGGTTATCCATTCAAAGAAGACCTCTTAGTCCAACTTAATGAAATGTATGTTTTTAAAGTACTTATGGAAACACTGGGGGCACACATTGAGGTAGTATTTCCGGAACAGACTATGCTGGTTTGAGCAGATGCGACAAGAGTGAGAACCCAGGCTGAATTTTCATAAGTGGCTCTAGTAGAGCTGCTGGTGACCCCTCTTGCTTCTCAGAGTGCTATGAGGCAAAAGGTGCCATTTGTTATCTTTTGCCCCTCTAAAATAGTTGTGTTAACTGCATTTTCCTTTGTCTGTTTCAGTCTTGTGTGATTGATTTGTATAGGGCAAATATGTATCCCTTTGGTGCATATTTTGAGAGAAAGTGCACCTGACAGTTTGTAGTCTCCTCATGGACATCTGAGAGTAATTGGATGATAAGATGCTGGACTTCAATCTGAGCTGCCTCCTGTAATTGTATTGCTTTCAGTAGTTCCTTACAGGGTTAGAGTTTTTAGTATGTGGGAAGTGTGTAAGCCTATATACACACTTACACATATAAGTGTGGAACTGCGTGGAAATAGTTGCCAAGGATGACCTCTCAGGATCTACAAGTCAAAATAACCAAAGCTTGTGGATTCCTCTTTGATTTGGGCTGCCTGCATGACTCAACTTGATCAATATAATGTCATAGAAGTGACAATGTCTGCCTTTCAAAGCTATGTACTCTAATGCCCTACACCTTCTCCTTGAGCCTTTCAGAAGGCTTTAGTTGGTGGAAGCCAATCACCATCCATTAAGTCCAAGAACTATGAGACTCTCATGATTTGAGGAAATTCAAGGCACTAATGGAGAGTTTAGACAAAGAAGGAGATAACCAGCCAGCCCCCAGGTGTTTACTCAGCCCTAGTGTTGAGTCAGACATGAGTGAAGCATCCCCTGGAATCCCAGACCACAGATTCTTTGGAAAATGTGACTCCCAGCACATGATCTACCAACCTCATAAGTCCAGTAAACCTGCAAAGCTGGGAGAGATCAGAATAAATGGTTGCTTTCAGCTAATATGTGTTGGAAGGCTTGCTGTGCTGCAATGTCTAAATGTAACAGCAGCAAAGCAGAGTCTCCTCACTGTGCCTGTGTGTAGTATGAATTGTGTCTATTACAACAATAAACTACATATTTTCTGATCTGAAAACCATGACCACTTGTTTCCAAAGAGAAATCCCAGAATTCTGTCCACATAAATTGAAAAAATATTTCAAGTATTTAGAAACAAGAATAATCAGGATCATTGAAAGAAATCATTAAACTTTTGTGATTCTCTAACTACTGCTTGGAGCAAAATTTTTATGTGGGTAATTTGCCTTTTTTTTTTTTTTTTTTTTTGAGACAGAGTCTTACTCTGTCACCCAGATTGGAGTGTAGTGGCGTGTACTCGGCTCACTGCCACCTCTGCCTGCTGGGTTCAAGTGATTCTCATGCCTCACCCTTCCAACTAGCTGGAATTACAGGCGCTTGCTGCCACGCCCAGCCAATTTTTGTATTATTAGTAGAGACGGCATCGCCATGTTGGGCAGTCTGGTCTCACACTCCTCACTTCAAGTGATCTGCCCACCGTGGTCTCCGAAAGTGATGGAATTACAGGCGTAAGCCACCACGCCTGGCCAGGAATTTGTCATCTGTTTCTAAAGTTCCCTCATGGCAGTCTGCACAGAGTGAGGCACAGTGTTCATATACAGTAAGCATCCTTGGAACAACGGGTAGAATTATGATATTCCACCTGATTGTCCTAATGTTACAGTTTCTTCTTAAAACTACCAGTTATACCTGTGTGGCTGTAAACAGCTACCCAACATTTGCAATGAGTCATCTGAGATTGAGTAAGGGTTTTAGTTGAGTGCTTGATGTCAACTATGTGCTATAGAAGGATGCCGTTTTTAATTTCTCAGACATTCCAGGGACCGTGTTACTCACTCCTTGAGTCATAGGAAGGTTTTTACTCTTTGATGTCTTAATGCTTCCCATGTAATCTTTCAGCGCCTGTCGGGATGACTATCAAATCCTGGAAAATTTGCCGAACTTTTAATGACCAAGTGTATAGAAAGGATTGAGGAGGGATTATTCTGTTAACAGGCTCTGGGAATCCCATGGTCTTGTAGAAAGAGGGATTCCTCAACAACAAGGATTGTGGTCATCTCTTTCAACTGCACATAGATGTTGAGCTCATGGAGACATCTCCACATCCAGAGCATATTCACAGATGCTTGCAGGAGTTGATGGGCAAATATGTAACAGTGTTGGCCATTTACCATTACCTACAAAAGGAAAAAATGCATCAGAAAGACAGTACACCACCAAACCAAACAAACTTTCAGCCTCCTCTCCACTCTGTCCTAGTACTACAACTTCCCCTGAGAAAACTCCTAGTCAGACAACTGAACCCAGTAGACAAGCTTCTGTTGAGGCTCTACCACTCCATGTCATAAGGTCCCTGTTTGCTCAGCCTCCCCTCTAGCCTAGAAGATTTCCATGGCAAGGGACTGTGCCCATGAACTTGAATTCCTGCATCTTGCACATGGCCACTCACAGGGTTAGTCCTCGACAATGTTCATTGAATGCATTCATTTCAGCTCCATGAACCATGACTGCCATTCACTGTTGAGCAGTAGCCCAAATTTGGGCTAATGGTGGCAGAAAATGAAACCCAAGCATTCTTACAAAGGTAAAGCAGGACAGGTATTATAAAACACAGGATATTATCTTTAACAACTTCTAAGCATATGAAAAGATCCATTACTCCATTACCCGGAGCTGGTTTTTTGAAAAGATCAACAAAGTTGATAGACCGCTAGCAAGACTAATAAAGAAGAAAAACAGAAGAATCAAACAGACCCAATAAAAAATGATAAAGGGGATATCACCACCAATCCCGCGGAAATACAAACTACCATCAGAGAATACTATAAACACCTCTATGCAAATACACTAGAAATCTGAAGAAATGGATAAATTCCTCAACACATACACCCTCCCAAGACTAAACCAGGAAGAAGTTGAATCTCTGTATAGACCAATAACAGGCTCTGAAATTGAGGCAATAATTAATAGCCTACCAACCAAAAAAGTCCAGGACCACAGGGATTCACAGCCAAATTCTACCAGAGGTACAAGGAGGAGCTAGTACCATTCTTTCTGAAACTATTCCAATCAATAGAAAAAGAGGGAATCCTCCCTAACTCATTTTATGAGGCCAGCATCATCCTGATACCAAAGCCTGGCAGAGACACAACCAAAAAAGAGAATTTAAGACAAATATCCCTGATGAACATCCATGCAAAAATCCTCAATAAAATACTGGCAAACTGAATCCAGCAGCACATCAAGAAGCTTATTCACCAAGATCAAGTGGGCTTCATCCCTGGGATGCAAGGCTGGTTCAACGTACGCAAATCAATAAACGTAATCCAGCGTATAAACAGAACCAAAGACGAAAACCACATGATTATCTCAATAGATGCAGAAAAGACCTTTGACAAAATTCAACAACCTTCATGCTAAAAACTCTCAATAAATTAGGTATTGGTGGGACGTATCTCAAAATAATGAGAGTTATTTATGACAAATCCACAGCGAATATCATACTGAATGGGCAAAAACTGGAAGCATTCCATTTGAAAACTGGCACAAGACAGGGATGCCTCTCTCACCACTCCTATTCAACATAGTGTTGGAAGTTCTGGTCAGGGCAATCAGGCAGGAGAAAGAAATAAAGGGTATTCAACTTACCTGTAGCTCTGACATTTTTGCTTCCTCTGGGCAACTTCGGAATTGTGTCCGGGCTTCTGTGTGAATCTTTGAGTTGCAGCATTTAAATGGTCCCTGTAAACCATGCCCTCTGCTTTCATTCCTGATTCCAATTTCCTCTCAGCAAGCTTCCCTTGCAGGGTGAGAAAGGCTCAGCTGTCAGGAAGAAACTCAGTTAAAACCATAGCTGTTTGCAGGCCTGTGTCTGTAATGCAGCGAAATTATACTGGGAGAGGTACTAGGCTGTGGATTGGGTTACCAGGGAAATGCAAGCATAATGATGAGGGAGCAAGGAAGAATGATTTTAAAGCACAGCCTTTGTGCCCCTCAAACCTTTTCTACACCGGAGAGAATCTACCCGGAAGATATACATTTTCTCAATTTGTACAAAAATAAATTTTTTTAAGGTGAGGATTCTTGGTAAAGTCGTTGGCTCTAGAAGGTAATCATTCTTTCTGCCTTTAAACATTCTGGGACAGCACTGATCTTGATCCTCAGGATGATCTGGGAGAGAGGTAGAGAAAGTCCTGGCATGAACCTGCCCCACCCTAGGCCCATTGGCTCTACCAGGTGAGGGCTGCTCTCATCTGTCTGTCACACATCTGGGCTCTAGCTATACCCTCTCCTTTCTCTTGGTGTCCATGTAAATCAAAGTTTCAGGGATACTGGTTGTGCTGCAGATTCCAGAAGAAAGATGAGATTATTTTTTTCTTTGTTTTTTAAACTTTTATTTTACATTCAGGGGTACATGTGCAGGAAAACTCGTGTCATGGGCGTTTGTGGTACAGATCATTTAATCATCCAGTTGCTAAGCCTAGAACCCAATAGTCATTTTTTCAGCTCCTGTCCCATCTTTCACCCTCCACTCTCAAGTAGGCCCCGGTGCGTGTTGTTCCCCTCTTGGTGTCCATGAGCCTCATCATTTAGCTCACACTTCTAAGTGAGAACATGCAGCATTTCATTTTTTGTTTCCACATTTGTTTGCTAAGGAAAATGGTCTACAGCTCCATCCATGTTTCTGCAAAAGACATAATCTCATTCTTTTTTGAGGCTGCATAGAATACTATGGTGTATATGTACCACATTTTCTCTATCCAGTCTGTCCTCCATGGGCATTGAGGTTGATTCCATGTTTTTGCCATTGTGAATACTGTGGTAATAAACATTCACATGCACATGTTTTTATGGTAGAATGATTTATATTCTTCTCGGTATATACCCAGTGATGGGATACATGGGTTAAATGGTAGTTCTATTTTAGCTGTTTGAAGAATCATCACATTGCTTTCCACCATGGTTAAACTAATACCACCAACAATGTGTAAGTGTTCCCTTTTCTTTACAAGCTTGCTAGCATCTGTTATTTTTTGACTTTTGAAGAGTAGCCATTCTGATTGGTGAGAGATGGTATTTCATTGTGGTTTTGATTTGCATTTTTCTAACATTCAGGGATGTTGAGCTTCTTTTCATATGCTTTTTGGCCACATGTATGTCTTCTTTTGAGAAGTGTCTGTTCCTGTCCTTTGTCTACTTTTCTTTGAGACAGGGTCTCACTCTGACACCCAGGCTGAAGTGCAGCGGAGCAATCTCGGCTCACTGCAATTTGTGCCTGGGCTCAGGTGATCCTCCCAGTTCAGCCTTCTGAGTAGCTGGGATTACTGGTGCATGGGGTAACATTTGCCTAATTTTTCTAATTTTGTAGAGATAGGGTTTCACCATGTTGTCCAGGCTGGTCTCTCCTGGGCTCAAGCGATGCACCTGCCTCAGCCACTTAAAGTGCTGAAATTACAAGCATGAGCCACCGCATTCAGCCCTTTGCCTACTTTTATTTTGAGATCGAGTCTCGCTCTGTCGCCCAGGCTGGAGTGTAGTGGCGCGATCTCGGCTCACTGCAACAACTGCCTTCGGGTTCAAGAGATTCTCCTTCCTCAGCCTGTCGAGTAGCTGGGACTACAGGTGCGTGCCACCACACCCGGCTAATTTTTTGTATTTTCAGTAGAGAAGGGTTTCACCATGTTAGCCGGAATGGTCTCAATCTCCTGACCTCGTGATCCGCTCTCCTCCACCTCATAAAGCGCTGGGATTACAGGCGTGAGCCACCACGCCCGGCCCCTTTGCCCACTTTTTTATGCAGTTGTTTGTTCTTTTCTTGTAAAGTAATTACAATTCCTTATAGATGCTAGATATAAGACCTTTTTCAGATACATAATTTGCAAATATTTTCTCCAATTCTGTAGGTTGTCTGTTGACTCTGTTGATAGTTTCCGTTGCTGTGCAGAAGCTCTTTAGTTTAAATAGATCCATTTGTCAATTTTTGCTTTTCTTGTGATTGCTTTTGGCATCTTTGTTATGAAACTTTTCCCCATTCCTACATTTAGAATGATATTGCCTAGGTAGACTTCCAGGGTTTTTATAGTTTTGGGTTTTACATTTAAGTCTTAAAACCCCTCTTGAATTGATTTTTTCTACATAATGCAAGGAAGGGATTCAGTTTCAATCATCTGCATATGGCTACCAGTTATCCCAAAACCATTTCTTGAAGAGAAAGTTCATTTTCCAGTGCTTGTTTGGTCAGCTTTGTTAAAGATCAGATGGTTGTAGGTGTGTGACCTTATTTCTGGGCTCTCTATTCTGTCCCACTTGTCTATGTGTCTGTTTTTGTACCAGTACCATACTGTTCAGTTACTGTGGCCCTGTAGTATACTTTTAAGTTGGGTAAAGTGATGCTTCTAGCTTTGTTCTTTTTGTTTAGAATTGTCTTTTTTAATCAACTCATTCTTGGTTCCATGTGCATTTTAAAATAGTTTTTTTTTTTCTAATTCTGTGAGAAATGTCATTGGTAGTTCAATAGGAATAGCATTGAATATGTATATTTCTTTGGGCAGCATGGCTGTTTTAATGATAATGATTCTTGCTATTCATGAGCATGGAGTGTTTTTCCATTGGTTTGGGTCATCTATGTTTTTTTAGGCAGTGTTTTGAAATTATCCTTGTAACGATCTTTCACCCACTGGTTAGCTTTCTCTCATTGAGTGGATTTCTTTCATTGACTGTTTCTTTCATTGAGTGGATGTCTTGCTTATAAATTGAAGGCAGATCACTTAGCCTAACCTAATGAAACCTATATCCTTTAAGTACTTATGGAAACAGAAGTGGCACACATCGAGTCAATATTTTTGGATAAGGTCATGCTGGTTTAAGCAGATGTAACAAGAGTGAGAACCCTGGCTAAATTTTTGTGGGTGGCTCCAGTAGAGCTATTGGTGACCCATTTTACTTTCAGGTTGTAGTTTATTATTCCTAGGTATTTTATTTTTTATGGCAATTGTGAATGGAATTGAACTTCTGATTTGGCCATATGCTTACGTGTTGTTGGCATATAGGAGTTCTAGTGATTTTTGCACATTGGTTTTGTATCCTGAAAGTTTGCTAAAGTTGTTTACCAGCTTGAGGATCATTTGGGTGGAGACTATGAGGTTTTCTAGATAGGAAATCATGTCTACAAACAAGGATGGTTTGACCTCTCTTCCTGTTTGGATGCCCTTTCTTTCTTTCTCTTGCCTGATTGCTCTGGCCAGGACTTCCAAAACTATGTTGAATAGGAGGGGTGAGAGAGGGCACTGCAGAAATTGGGGTCTGAAGATCCAAATTCAATTCCTGCTCCATTCATTATACATATTTTGAGCTGTGATTTATCAAATACAAAACAAAACAAAAAATTTATGTTAATTCTGTCTTATTGGCCCCTCACTTGCAAATACAGGCCCAGAAGCACCAGTGCCCAGTACCACGGACAGCACCTTAGAGGAAACAGCTTTAGGGGACTTGGGCATCAAGGACAACATTAGCAGAGTAGATTTATTCTTTGGGGGCTTTCATCAAAAACTGAAAAGCCCTACAGACCTTTCAGAAGGCAAGGCTTTAGAGTCCAGAAATGCTGTGTTCTGAGCAATGCTGTGTTTGCTGGGAGAAGACCATGAATTCCGGTTTATCTGTATGAAAAATATGTTGAGTAGGTCCCCAGAGGCAAATCAAAAATCGTTTGTTGAACATTGATTCCTGGACTCTATGCCTTCTCTTTTCATCTCAGACATCTCTCTTGGCCACCAAGAGCACAGGGCAGCAGCTGGTATAAAGATAAGTGTAACAAAAGGCTTATATGAACTGAACTGAGCTGGTGAATATCAGTCAAGAAAAGGCAGTCACTGTGTGTTTGCCTGGCAGGGACAGCATGTAGGACCCTGTAAGCTATTCAAATACAATGGGCATCAACCAGGGGCATGTAGATATGAAATCAAACTCGTGTTCTGATCAGAAAGTCATGGGTTCCAAGATTGTCTTTATCCACTGAGAGCAAGAATTGTCTAATTCCCCAAAAAATGATTTCCATGCTGATGAGGGGGCCTGTGATCCATCATCAAAACAGAGAAGTGAACAAAACTGTGAGAGGGAAGATATAAGGAGGAGAATGTGTCTAACAAGAACCTGAGACTCCCCAGTGAGAATGAAGGGAATTTCAGTTCATACAGGAAAGAAACAAGAAAGAGAGGCATGAGAGTGTTATTTA
The DNA here is from genome assembly GCF_000001405.40 of Homo sapiens. Classification (NCBI taxonomy): domain Eukaryota; kingdom Metazoa; phylum Chordata; class Mammalia; order Primates; family Hominidae; genus Homo; species Homo sapiens. The sequence continues at coordinate 39,589,685 of NC_000019.10, read as the reverse complement.
CTGTGCATTGACACCTAAAGGTATCTGGATGTTAGGTTAAAGGAGGGCAAAACGGGAGGCATACCCATGAGTAAGGTTGGAGTTGAACAAACTGTGGCAAGGAACATGAGAACGGAGAATGAGGATGATCAAAATGATGCCTTAGATGGGCCCTGCAGACAAAGAGGCTATTTGTTGAGACCCTCTTCAATCTGCATTGTTTGGCTTTTAGGTAATATGTTGTTTATCTTCTCCTAAATGGTTCTCTATTTGTGTCATGAAATAGGTGACAACAGCTCTTGTAGCAGGAAAAGGGTTTTCATTGTGCCATCTTTGTGGGAGCTCTAAGACACTGACAGTAGAAGGTGGAGACAACTGTGGCAGAGAAACATTTTCAGAGAAGATGCAAATGGGGGTCTTGTTGGTTTCAGCAATGATATGGACCAGTGATGGCTGCCTTTTTTGTCTTTTTTTTTTTTTGAATTGGTTTCTTTGTTTTAATTTTTTTTTTCATGTACAAAGAGCTAGCATGGTTTCTTTCACTGAGTGGATGTCTTGCTTATAAATTGAAGGAAGATCACTTAGTCTAACCTAATGAAATCTATATCCTTTAAGCACTTATGGAAACAGAAGCGGCACATATCAAGACAACATTTTCGGAATAGGTCATGCTGGTTTGAGCAGATGCAATAAGAGTGAGAACCCTGGCTGAATTTTTGTGGGTGGCTCCAGTAGAGCTATTGGTGACCCACCTTGCTTTCAGTTTTGTTGTTTATTATCTTTTGCCCCTCTAAAATAAGTGTGTTCACTGCATTTTCCTATATCTGTTTTAGTCTTGTATGTTTAATTTTATAGGGCAGATAATATATTTCTTTAGTGCATATGTTGAAAGTGCACCTGATAATTTGTAGTCACCTCATGGACACCAGATCCTGATTGGATGATAAAATACTAGACTTCAATCTGAGCCTGTTCCTGTAAACATGTTGCCTTCAGTGGTTCCTTACAGGATTGGTATCCTTGATATATGAGAAGCTTGTAAGCCAGTGAGGACCGAGTGGAAATAATTGCCAAGGATGCTCCTTCATGACCACATGTCACAATAACCACAGCTTATGAAGTTCCCTTCCTTTGATTTGGGCTGTGTGTATGGCTCACTTTGATCAATATAATGTCATAGAAGTGACACTGTCTGCCTTTCAAAGCTAGGTCCTATGATACCTTGCACCTTCTTCCTGAGCCTTTTGGGAGGCTTGCTTTGGTGGAAGCCTATCATCATTCAGTCCAAGAAACAGGAGACTCTCATGATTTGAGGGAATTCAAGGCATGAATTTGGAGGTGAGGTAGGAAAGGAAATAACCAGCCAGCCCCAGGTGTTCGCCCAGCCCTAGTGTTGAGTCAGACATGAGTGAAGCATCCTCTGGAATCACAGCCTGAAATATCCTTCAGAAAACGTCACTTTCACTACATGATCTACCACCCACATGAGTCCAGTTAACTGAGCAAGATCAGAAGAAAAGATTGCTCTAAGCCAACATGTGTTGGGAGGTTTGCTGTGCTGCAATGCCTAGTGAAACAGCAACAAAGCAAGGTCTGCTCACTGTGTCCATATGTATGAATTGTGTTCATCCCAACAATAAACTACATATTTTCTGATCTAAAACCATAACCATTTATTTTTAAATAGAAATTCAAGGATTCTGCCACTTACATCAGAAAAATCTCGCTATTATTTTTAAACATCAACAATTGGGGTTCTTTAAGGGAAATCTTGGGACTCTTGTGATTCTCTAACTATTGCTTGGATTGAAGTTTTCATGTGGGAAGTGTGTCTGTTTCTAAAGTTTCTGCATGGTAGCCTGTACAAAGCCAGGCACCGTGATTACACAATAAATATCCTGAGAACAATGGAAATAATTAGAAAATTCCACCAGATTGTCCTCAAGTTACAAAATTTCTCCCCAAAGCCTCGAGGTACACCTGTGAGGCTTTAAACAGCTACCTAACATTTCAGTGCAGTGAGTCATCTAAGATTGGGTAAGGTATTTGTCTCAGAGTCTCTGATGTCAACAATGTGCTGTAGAAAGATGCCGTACATAATGACTTCTAAGACATTCTAAGGACCTTGTCACTCCCGGAGTCACAAGAAGGTTTATCCACTTTGGTTTCTGGATGCCTCCCATAAAGTTCCTTGGGCCTTCTTGAGGATGATGACTTCCTCTTTCCCCATTAAAGCAAGAACCAAATCCTGGGAAGTGTGGTGATGTTTTAATGACCAAGTGCAGGGGAAAGGGTGAGGAGAGACCATGCTGTCAGTAGGCTCTGGGGATTCTGTGGTCACATAGAAAGAGGGATTCCATGGCGAAGGATATGAACAGACGCTTCTCAAAAGAAGATATTTATGCAGCCAAAAGACACGTGAAAAAATTATCATCATCACTGGCCACCAGAGAAATGCAAATCAAAACCACAATGAGATACCATCTTATACCAGTTAGAATGGCAATCATTAAAAAGCCAGGAGACAACAGGTCTCCTGGAGAGGATGTGGAGAAATAGGAACACTTTTACACTGTTGGTGGGACTGTAAACTAGTTCAACCATTGTGGAAGTCAGTGTGGCGATTCCTCAGGGATCTAGAACTAGAAATACCATTTGACCCAACCATCCCATTACTGGGTATATACCCAAAGGATTATAAATCATGCTGCTATAAAGACACATGCACACGTATGTTTATTGAGGCACTATTCACAATAGCAAAGACTTGGAACCAAGCCAAATGTCCAACAATGATAGACTGGATTAAGAAAATGTGGCACATATACAGCATGGAATACTATGCAGCCATAAAAACTGATGAATTCATGTCCTTTGTAGGGACATGGATGAAGCTGGAAACCATCATTCTCAGCAAACTATCACAAGGACAAAAAACCAAACACTGCATGTTCTCACTCATAGGTGGGAATTGAACAATGAGAACACATGGACACAGGAAGGGGAACATCACACACCAGGGCATGTTGTGGGGTGGGGGGAGTGGGGAGGGATAGCATTAGGAGATATATCTAATGTTAAATGATGAGTTAATGGGTGCAGCACACCAACATGGCACATGTGTACACATATAACAAACCTGCATGTTGTGCACATGTTCCCTAAAACTTAAAATATAATTTAAAAAAGCAGCATTCCTCAACAGTGAGGGATGTGGTCATCTCCCTCAATTGCAGACAGACATTGAGGTCAGGGAGACATCTCTCCACACTTGCATTATCTTCACAGAATATGGTTGAAGTAGATGGGCAAAGATGTAACAGTGTTGGCCATTTATTATTACCTAAAAGAGGGAAAATGCATCAGAAAGACAGTATGCCACCAAACAAGCTTTCAGCCTCCTCTCCACTCTGTCCTACTACCTACAACATCCCCTGAGAAAACTACTAGCTATATAACTGAACCCAAGACACACACTTCTATTTACATGTTAACATTTGTGCTTATTTTAGAGAGTTGCTTACTTTCTTTCTAATGTTTCATATCATTCTTCCAGCAAGGCTCTACCACTCTGTGTCACATGGTCCGTGCTTGCTCAGCCTCCCCTCTAGCTTGGAAAATCCCCATGGCTAGTGACTGTTTCATGAACTTGAATCCTGCATCTTGCAGAGGGGTTCACACAGGGTTAACGCTAGACCATGTTCATTGAATGTATATCTTTCATTTCCGTGAACTATGACTGCCATTCACTGCTGATGGCCTACTTTCCCTTTGGAGTTGCCTAGATTCGGGCTGATGGTGGCCAAGAATAAAACTCAAGTGTTGTTGGAGAGGCCCAATTGGACAAGTGTTGCAAAACATAGACTATCATTTTGAACAGCTTCTAAGCATAGAAAGAGATCCCTCACTTGAATCTGAATAAAATGTGAATCTTTTGGCCTATCCATTAGAAAGGGCCAGAACATTGGGACATATTCTTTATTACTGAGGCTATAAAGTAACCTTCTAGGTGTCAATTTGTTAAATTTAAAATACACACATTTTTGAACCAGTTATTTTTTTCTTTGTAATTATCTTTCAGTATAAGTAAGGGAGGTGGATAATGACAAAATAAATTACTAGAAGTCTTAATACAGCACCATTTGTGAGAGCAAAATATTGGAAATAACCTCAAGTCCCATCAAAACAGTCAAGTTCAGTAATTTTGGGTAATCCTTCTAATGCAATATTATGCAATCTTTAAAAACTGAGGAAGCACCATTAGTAGACGGGATCCTCAAGGTATATTCTTTGACAACAAATCAAATCAGTTTTTAAGGTGTAATGTGTAGAGCAATGTATACTGGGATTTTCTTAAAAACAAGTGAAATTATAGATCTATATGTTTCCATAAGCAAAGATTTGCTGTGGAAGGAGAGCAGAGCACTGGTAATGCTCCCAGGAATAAGATTGGGTCCAGGAGTGAAAGAAGGACTTAATTTTTCGTTGACTAAAACAATTTTATTCTTATGGATATTGTATTCATTCAGCTAAGTGAAAATTTAAATAACTGCATAAGTAGAAGTGAGCACAATGGGAAAAGACTGAGGAGATTCTACACTTTGGGGGAAATCCTAGGTGTGATGACCTTGATCCTAGTCAGATTTTGGAAAAGAGCTGAGAAAGGCAGTGCAAGCAGAGGGTGCTGTGCCCGGGGCAGGAGTAGTTATGAGAGATGGGTCCTGAACAACTACTGGGGCCAGGCCAGGGAGAGCTGCCTTCTGCTCTCAGAGCCCAAGAAGGCCAGGTATTGGGAGCTCCTTGGGCATTCACCTTGTATTCATTGTCCAGCACCAAGATGCTCAGATCAAATGGTTTGCCATTCTCAAAGAACCCATTGTTGCAGCTCCTCTCATACGTCCAGGCCACACACGGCTGTCAATGACCAAACAATGGCCAAAGTGCACTCAGAAATGGAAGGGAATGTCTGAGACCTCATTTGTCCCAGTGTAGAATTCCATCTGCAGCGCTGAATGATTGCTGAGGGCAAAGCATACGAAGTGTTGGGCAGGCCCCTCCCTTGTGGGGCACACAATCAACACACACACACAAATCCCTTCCTTTCTTTCCCCAGTACAGAACGAAGGCTCCCTTGTCATACTACAGGCCTCGTCCCTGTGGGGCTGTTTTAGCTCCTCATATTTCCCCCACGTGGGGACGTGCTCTGCCCCTCATCAAAAGATGGAAAGTGAGCCACAGTCACTTACCTGGGCCTATGTTCATTCTCTGAAAATTCCATGCCCCTTGATAAAGAGCCACAGCCCCAACCTTTGAGTGTCCTCTTCCCCTAGGCCCCATGACTAGCCCAGAGTTTAGCCACTGCAGGTTTCATGCCTGGTGCTGGAGGGTCCCCAGGATCTACAGTGGCATGCTACCTCCATCCTGCCAACTACACATTTCCACATTACCCACATGAGACCACGTCCTGAGTAAATATTCTCCTTTCTTTTCCACCCCTGTGCCATGGACCATGGAGTACTCACTTGAAAGGGATGATCGATGTCCCTCTGATTGTCATGCAAGAACCAATGGACAAGGACACAGGCCTTGTGTGTGGCACTTGCTAGGAGATTGAGAGTGGGTGAGAGGGGCCAGGCCAGGTGCGGCCTCCAGCTTTGTGACACATTCCCATGATGCAGAAGGTTAGAGATCAACAGGCAAACTGTGAGGACTTACCTCTTTCACCCTATCGCAGTCAGAACTCCATATTCCTAAAGACATGAGGAGCAAGGATTCAGAAGCCAGGCTTCCTGGACTCCAGTCCTGATTGTGCCTCTTACTGGCAGTGCAATCATAGATCCATTACTTGATCGCTGCCTAATTTAATTTCCCATGTACAAGGAAGATTATTTAAACTCTTTCTTTCCTCTACTTTCTACACTTTTTACTTTTTTGTCTTTATTAGAAATTCTTACTTTGTAGGGTGATCTTAGAGAAATTAATATCTGTGAAAACAAGACCTGAGGATGTAACAGTAGAGAAATCCATTCCAGTAAGAAGCAACACTTGTTGAACGAGAGAGGGAAATAACAAAAGAACAGGAAACCCCTGTGTGTGGGATGAACATGCATCACAGTCATCAAGGGCCACGGACTTCGTTCCCAGAAGTTGTAAAAGTTGTTGAAAGCACAGCCCCAGCACTTAGACAAATGAAGAGTGTGGGTTAAGGAAGTAGATAGAGAGAACCCACAAGTGGATATTTTGTCTTTCTTTTTGAGACATGATCTTCCTCTGTCACCCACGCTGATGTGCAGTGGTGCATCCATAGCTCACTAAAGTCTCGAACTTCTGTGCTGCTGGGATTCTCACACCTTGGCCTCTGAGTAGCCGTAATGAAAGATGCTCGCCACTATGCTTGTCTGTTACTTAAAGTTTTTGTAAAGGCAATGTCTCACTATTTTGCCCAGGCTGCTCTCAAACTCCTGGCCTCAAGTTATTTTCCTATCTTTGCCTACCAAAGTGATGGGATTATAGGCATGAGCCAGCAAACCCTGCTACTTTGATGATTAATATCCACAGTAAGCTCTATCTGAACTGAGGCTACACTTGTTCCTTCCCGGTTTGGGGTGATTCAGTCTCTGAAACCACAGTCTCTAATGTTATTCCTCAGAGAGTCAGGATTTGCATACCCTCCTGAACTAGAATGGGAAGGGCAGGCTTGGGTGGGGGACAGGAAGAGACCTGAGGATGACAGGGAGGAGATGATGGTCACTGTGTGCAGACCCCACCTAAGGAACCATCGTTCCCATAGTCTGGATTCCTCTTTTCCACTCTGCCTGGGAAGAGACCTCTACAGATCATACATTCTGCTCTCATTAATGCTCACAAACGAGTCATTGGTAACTCCCAGTCCCCAAGATCCCCACCAGTTCTGCCACCCGGCATCCACATTGACACACATGGGAAGATGCACAGCTGCTTCATCAGAGGCCCTGCTGTGTGAGGAGGAACCTTCACATGGACAGAAAGCCACATGTATGTTCCCAGTTCAACACCAAGTCATATCCCAGCACACACACCCACAGTCACACAGAGCCACGCCACTCACTGAGTCACACATGCCTACTCACTGTGCATGTAAAGGTGCTCATGCATTGGTCTGGCTGTGCTCATACACACATCACAGACAGGAAGACAAAACACAGTCACCCTCTTACACTCAGGCACGTTTCACCCATGCTGGTGGCCTCTCCACCTCCCACCTAAAGTCACATCATCTCAGCAGAGTTCACTCTCATCAGATGCCATTGCACCCTCACAAAAGGTTACACTGGTCCAGGGTCCACACTCAACACCCCACAAACATCTCAGACACCATAGCCCCAGGGTCTCTGTCTTCCGCACACACACAACTCTAGTAAAGCACTCACAATACAAACTCTCACATTTTCATCTCATAAAGTCTCTATTCCACCTTCCTTTATGTGACTTGAGGTTATTGAAGGGTGTGCCTTTTCAACTCACAGGTAGGGGTGACATATTTGCTCCCTTAGGTTGGCTCTTCTGAATTGTGTCTAGGCTTCAGTGTGAATGTCTTGGACTTGCAGCATTTAAATGGTCCCTGTCAGCCCTGCCATGCGGCTTCATTCCTGATTCCAAGACACTCTCAGCAAGGATTCCCACAGGGTGAGAAGGGGTAAGGTGTCAGAAACAGACTCAGTCACAATCACACTTGTTTGCAAGCCTGTGTCTGTGATGCAGCAGAAATGACAGTGATAGAGGTACCGGGGGAGGAAGGGGTCACCAGGGAAATGCACAGATAAGGATGATGGAGTGAAGATGAGGGATTGTGAAGTCCAGCATCCATGCCTCTCATTAAGCCTTCTCTTCACTGTGCATAATTTCCCAAGAAGGTGTACATTTTCTTAATTTGTACAATGGTAAAAATAGTGAAGATTCTTGTAGAAATCATTGGTAGTGAAAGATAACCTTTCCCTTTCCCTATAGAGGTTCTGGGGGAACACTGGTCTTGATCCTAAGCAGGACCTATGGAGGAAGGTAGAGAAAGCCCTTGTGTTCCCCGATCCCACACTGGTCCCCTTGGCTCTGCCAGGTGAGGGCTGTTCCCATCTGCATCTCACACACCTGGGCTCTAGCTGCACCCTTTTCTTTTCATTGAGTGTCCATAGGAATAAAAATTTTCAGAGACACTCTTTCTCCTGCAGATTCAGGGAGAAAGTTGAGATTCTTAAGTCTAGTTCTTGATTTGTGTGCTCCTTAGTTCCAGACTGTGTGAGGACATGTGCAGGTACAGGTGATTGGACTTCAGTCATAATGAAGTCTTCTTCACCTGGGGTGGGAGACTCAGGACCCCTCCTCAAGTTCTCTTTTCGTGATGAAGGGAAGCATCCTTAATACCTGTATTAGAATTTAAAGATGGAGTGAATTAGAATTCCCTTCCTCCTTTGCTTTCTTCTCCCTCTTACTTCACTTTTCTCTTCAGTTTTATTGTCAGTGAATTGACATTATTGAATTTATAGAAAAAATTGATCCCAGTTGCCAAAGAGATGTATATTATGATGAGTAACGTTTTTGAGGAACTGCATAATATATTCCACAGCAGCCACACCATCCTACATTCCAAACAGCAATGTTCAAGGGTTCCAGTTTATTCACATCCTCACACTTGTTAGTTTTCATTTTTTTAATGTAATAGCCATCCTAATGAGTGTGAAGTGGTATCTCATGGTGGTTTTGACTTCCATTTCCCTAATGACCCGTGACGTGGCATATGTTTTCATGTGTATATTAGTCTTTTGTCTGTCATTTGTTTTTAATTTTTGTGGGTCCATAGTAGGTGTATACATTAATCTGGTACATAAAATATCATATAGGGATGCAAATAATCACATCACAGAGAGTAGGACATCCGTCTACTCAAGCATTTATCTTTTCTGTTGCACACAATCCAATGACAGTTGTCTGGGTATTTTAAAATGTAAAGGTATATGACTACTGGGTAAATGATGAAACTAAGGCAGAGATAAGTAAGTTCTTTGAAATCAAAGAGAACAAAGACACAATGTACCAGAATCTCTGAGACACAGCTAAAGCAGTGTTTAGAGGCAAATTTATAGCACTAACTGCCCACAAAAAGGTGGAAAATATCTAAAATTGACACCCTAACATCACAATTAAAATAACTAAAAAAGCAAGAGCAAATTCACATGCTAGAACAAGGCAAGAAATAACTAAGATCAGAGCAAAACTCAAAAAGATAGAGACATAAAAAACCCTTCAAAAAATCAATGAATCCAGAAGCTGGTTTTTTGAAAAGATTAACAAAATAGACTGCTAGCCAGAGTAATAAAGAAGAAGAGAGAGAAGAATCAAATAGACACAATAAAAAATGATAAAGAGGATATCACCACTCATCCCACAGTAATACAAATTACTATCAGAGAATACTATAAACACCTCTACACAAGTATACTAGAAAATCTGGAAGAAATGGATACATTCATAAACACATACACTCTCCCAAGACTAAACCAGGAAGAAGTCGAATCCGTGAATAGACAAATAACAAGCACAGAAATTGAGGCAATAATTAATAGCCTACCAACCAAAAAAAGCCCAGGACCAGGCAGATTCACAGCTGAGTTGTACCAGAGGTACAAAGAGGAGCTGGTACCATTGTTCTGAAACTATTCCAAACGATAGAAAAAGAGGGACTCCTCCCTAACTCATTTTATGAGGCCAGCATCATCCTGATACCAAAACCTGGCCAGAGACACAACAAAAAAAGGAAATTTCAGGCCAATATCCCTTATGAACATCGATATGAAAATCCTCAATAAAATACTGGCAAACTGAATCCAGAAACACATCAAAAAGCTTATCCACCACGATCAGTCGGCTTCATCCCTGGGATGCATGGCTGCTTCAACACACACAAATCAATAAATGTAATCCATCACATAAACAGAACCAATGACAAAAACTACGTGATTATCTCAATAGATGCAGAAAAGGCCTCTGATAAAATTCAACACCCCTTCATGCTAAAAATTCTCAATAAACTAGGTATCGATGGAACGTACCTCAAAATAATAAGAGCTATTTATGACAAACCCACAGGCAATATCACACTGAATGGGCAAAAGCTGGAAGTGTTCCCTTGGAAACTGGCACAAGACAAGGATGCCCTCTCTCACCCCTCCTATTCAACATAGTATTGGAAATTCTGGACAGGGCAATCAGGCAAGAGAAAGAAATAAAGTATATTCAAATAGGAAAAGAGGAAGTCAAATTTTCCCTGTTTGCAGATGTCATGATGGTATATTTAGAAAACCCCATTGTCTCAGCCCAAAATCTGCTTAAGCTGATAAGCATCTCTAGCAAAGTCTCAGGATACAAAATCAATGTGCAAAAATCACAAGCATTTCTATACTCCAATGATAGACAGAGAGCCAAATCATGACTGAACTCCCATTCAGAATTGCTACAAAGTGAATAAAGTACTTAGGAATAGAACTTACAAGGGATATGAAAGATCTCTTCAAGGAGAACTACAAACCACTTCTCAAGGAAATAAGAGAGGATAAAAACAAATGGAAAAACTTTCCATGTTCATGGATAGGAATAACAAGTATCATGAAAATGGCCATACTGCCCAAACTAATTTATAGATTCAATGCTATCCCCATCAAGCTACAATTGACTTTCTTCACTATAGCCAAGACAATCCTAAGCAAAAACAAGAAAGCTGGAGTCATCATGCTACCTGACTTCAAACTATACTATAAGGCTACAGAAACCAAATGTCATGGTACTGGTACCAAAACAGATGTATAGACCAATGGAACAAAAGAGAGACCTCAGAAATAACACCACACATCTACAACCATCAGATTTTTGAGAAATCTGACAAAAACAAGCAATGGGGAAAGGATTACATATTTTTTATGATTATTATTTTTATTATTATTATACTTTAAGTTTTAGGGTACATGTGCACATTGTGCAGGTTAGTTACATATGTATACATGTGCCATGCGCACATTTAATAAATGGCGATGGGAAAACTGGCTAGCCATATGCAGAAAAATGAAACTAGACCCCTTTCTTACTCCTTATATGGAAATTAACTCAAGATGGATTAAAGACTTAAATGTAAGACCTAAATCCCAAAAAAAAAAACCCTGGAAGAAAACCTAGGTAATACCCTCAGGACACAGGCATCGGCAAAGACTTCATGACTAAAACACCAAAAGCAATGGCAACAAAACCCAAAATTACAAATGGGATCTAATAAAACTAAAGAGCTTCTGCACAGCAAAAGAAACAATCATCAGAGTGAACAGGCAACCTATACAATGGGGGCAAATTTTTGCAATGTATCCATCTGACAAAGGGCTAATATCAAGAATCTACAAGAAACTTAAACAAATTTACACAAAAAAACCCAAACAATCCCATTAAAAAGTGGGTGAAGGATATAAACAGACACCTCTCAAAAGAAGATATTTATGTGCCCAACAAACATATGAAGAAAAGCTCATCATCACTGGTCATTAGAGAAATGCAAATCAAAATCACGATGAGATACCATCTCACTCCAGTTGGAATGGTGGTCACTAAAAAGTCAGGAAACAATAGATGCTGGATAGGATGTGGAGATTGGAATGCTTTTACACTCTTGGTGGGAGTGTAAGTTTGTTCAATCATTGTGGGAGACAGTGTGGCAGTTCCTCAAGGATCTAGAACCAGAAATAACATTTGACCCAGCAATCTCATTACTGTATGTACCCAAAGAATTATAAATCATTCTACTATAAAGAAACATACACACGTATGTTTATTGCAGCACTGTTCACAATATCAAAGACTTGGAGCCAACCCAAATGATAGACTGGATAAAGAAAATGTGGCACATATACACCAAAGAATACTATGCAGCCATAGAAAAGGATGAGTTAATGTCCTCTGCAGGGACATGGATGAAGCTGGAAACAATCATTCTCAGCAAACTAACACAGGAACAGAAAACCTAACACCGCATGTTCTCTCTCATAAGTGGGAGTTGAACAATGGGAACACATGCACATAGGGAGGGGAACATCACAAACTGGGGCCTTTTGGGGGTTGAAGAACAAGGGGAGAGATAGCTTTCGGAGAAATATCTGATGTAGATGATGGGTTGACGAGTGCAGCAAACCACCATGGCACATGTGTACCTGTGTAACAAACCTGCACGTTCTGCACGTGTATTCCAGAATTTAAAGGATAATAATAATTAAAAATAAATAAATAAATACACAGAGATAAATATACCATAAAGCTGTTTTCAGATACTGGAAAAAAAAACAAAGAAGGCTCTGTGTGTGTGTGTGTGTGTGTGTGTGTGTGTGTGTGTGTGTGTGTGTGTTTTGAGTCAGAGTCCCACTCTTTCACCCAGGCAGGAGTGTAGTGGTGCAATCTTGACTCATTGCAACCCCTGCCTGCTGGGTTCAAGCAATTCTCATGCCTCAGTCTCCTGAGTAGCGGGGATTACAGGCATGTGCTACTATGGCTGGCTAATTTTTGTATTTTTAGTAGACTGGGTTTCACCACGTTTCCTAGGCTGGTCTCAAACTTCTGGACTCACATGATCTGCTCTTCTCGGTTTCCCAAAGTGCTGAGATTACAGGTGTGAGCCACCTTGTCTGGCCCTTGATGGGGCTCTTAAGCAGCTGCTTGCTCAAGTGGAGTCTGCTTCCACTGTGTAAATTGTCTTCAATAAATCTGTGCCCACTCTGTGGCATTTTGTTCAATTTATTTTTCCAATATGCCAAGAACTTGGACAACTCACATTTAGGACACTCTATCTTGTAACATCCGTATAGAAAAAGCACCTCCATGAGAACCAAGAATCAGGTAGGCCCTCGTAGTACCTGTTTTTAACTCTGTATTGCTGAAAGAGGCATTGAAGTGATAAGAAAAAGTGTTGCAACTCCAGTCTTGCATGCCAACTGAGGGAGCACTTAAACCAGCCTTAGCCAAGGGGAATCTTTTATCCCATTGGCTGGAACTTGAATTCCAGCAAATCCTACAGTGCTCTGGGGCTCCAAGTCACTTTGAAAGGTTGTCTAAGGGCTTTCCAAATGGTAAAGAGTTTTATTCAAATGAACATCTGACTATCCTAAATATATATGCACTCAGCACAAAAGCACCCAGATTCATAAAGCAAGTTCTTAGAGACCTTCCAAGAGACTTTGAATAATAGAATTCACAGTAATAGTGAGGGACTCCAACACCCCACTTACAGTATTAGAAAGACCATTGAGGTAGAGAATTAACGAAGACATTCAGAACTTAGACTCAGCACTTGATCCATGGACCCGATAGACTTCTCCAGGACTTTTCACCCAAAAAACAACAGAATATATATTTTTCTCAAAACCACATGGAATATACTCTAAAACTCACCACATAATCAGACATAAAATACTCCTCAACAAATAGAAAAGAATAGAAATGATAGCAATCCTTCTTTCAGATTACAGCTCAATAAAATTAGAAATCAAGACTAAGGAAATCACTCAAAACCATACAATGACATGGAAATGGAATAGCCCTGCTACTAGATGACTTTTGGGTAAATAATGAAATTAAGTCAGAAACTGAGAAGTTTTTTGAAACTGATGAGAACAATGAAACTAGTGAGAAAAATAATACAACATACAAAATCTCTGGGACACAGCTAAGGCAGTATTAAAAGGATTATTTATAGCACTAGATGCTGACATGAAAAAGTTACACGGATCTCAACTTAGCAACATAACATCACACCTAAAAGAACTAGAGAATGCCTACCATGTGACGATTTTGAAAAAATTAATTTTGAAATTAAAAAAGAAGTAGAGAACCAAGAGCATGTCAACCTCAAATTTAGAAGACAAGAAATATAAAAAATCAGAACTAAACCAAAGGAGATCAAGACACAAAAAACCAGTCAAAAATTCAATGATTCCAGGAGTTCATTTTTTTGAAAAAAGTGACAAAATAAACTGCATGCCAGACTAATAAACAAGAAAAGAGAGAAGATTCAAATAAACACAATTGGAAACGACAAAGGGGATATTACCACAGACACTACAAAAATATAAACAACCATCAGGTAGATTATAAACAGTTCTATGCACACAAACTAAAAAATCTACAGAAAATGGATACATTCCCAGATACATACACCTGACCAATACTGAACCAGGAAGAAATTGAATCCCTGAAGAGACCAACAATGAGCTCCAAAACTGAATCAGTAATAAGAAGCCTACCACCCAAAAAAGGCCCAGGGCCAGATGGATTCACAGCTGAATTCTACCAGGTATACAAGGAAGAGCTGGTATCATTCCTACTGGAAGTATTCCAACAAATTGAGGAGGAGAGATACCTGCCTAACTCATTTTGTGAGGCCAGCATTATCTTGATATCAAAACCTGGCAGAGACACAACAACAACAACAAATTTCAGGCAAATATCCTTGATGAAGATCAATAAAAATATCCTCAACAAAATACTGGCAAACTGAATCCAGCAGCACATGAAAAAAGCTTACCCACCATGATCAAGTAGGCTATACCCCTGGCATGCAAGGTTGGTTCAACATATGCCAATCAATAAATTTGATTCATCACATAAACACAGCAAAAGACAGAAATCACATGATTATCTCAATAGATGCAAAAAAGGCTTTCAGTAGAATTCGACACCTTTTCATGTTAAAAACCTCAATCAACTGAGTATTGAAGGAACATACCTCAAAATAATAAGAGTCATCTATGACAAACCTACAGCTAGCATCAGAGTGAATGGGCAAAAGCTCAAAGCATTCCCCTCTAAACTGGCACAAGACAAAGATGCTCTCTCTCACCACTTTTATTTAACATATTAGCGAAGGTCCTGGCCAGAGCAATAGACAAGAGTAAGAAAAAAGGGCATCCAAAGAGGAAGAAAAGAAGTCAAATGATTCTTGTTTGCAGACAACATGATTCTGTATCTAGAAAACCCCATAGTCTCAGCTGAAAAGGCCCTTAAGCTGATAAACAACTTTAGAGAAATCCAGGATACAAAATCAACATACAAAAATCTCTATCATTCTTTCTTACAACAGCTAAGATGAGAGCCAAATAAGTAACACAATCACATTCATGATTGCCACAAAAAGAATAGAATACCTAGAAATACAGCCATCTAGGGAGGTGAAATATCTGTACGATGATAATTACAAAACAGTGCTCAAAGAAATCAGAGATGACACAAAAAAAGGAAAAACATTTCATGTTCATGGATGAGTAGAATCAATATTGTGAAAATGACCATACTGCCAAAAGCAATCTATAAATTCAATGCAATTCCCATCAAAATACCCACCATCATTATTCACAGAACTAGAAAAAAGAATTCTAAAATTTATTTGGAACCAAAAAAGAATCTGCATAGCCAAAGCAAGACTAAGCAAAAAGAATAAATCTGGAGGCATCACATTACCTGATTATAAACTATACTATAAGGCCATAGTCATCAAAACAGCATGGTACTGGTATAAAAATAGGCATATAGACCAATGGAACAGAATAGAAAACCCAAAAATAAACCCAAGTATTTGCAACCAACTGATCTTTGACAAAGGAAATGAAAGCATAAAGTGGAGAATAAGCATAAGTGGATATTTAACAAATGGTGCTGGGATAATTGGCAAGCCACACGTAAGAGAATGAAACTGGATCCTCATCTCTCACCTTATACAAAAATCAACTGAAGATGGATTAAGAACTTAAATCTAAGACCTGAAACTATAAAAATTCTGGAAGATAACATCAGAAAAACCCTTCTAGACATTGGCTTAAGGAAAGATTTTATGACCAAGAACCCAAAAACCAATGCAATAAAAACACAGATAACTAGGTTGTACTTAATTAAACTAAGGAGTTTTTGTATGGTAAAAGAAACAGTCAGCAGAGTAAACAGACAACCCACAGAGTGGGAGAAAATATTCACAATCTGTACATCTAACAGAGGACGAATATCAAGAATCTACAACTAATTTAGACAAACTAGCAAGTAAAAAAACAAACAATCCCATCAAAAAGGGGGCTAAGGACATGAAAAAACAATTCTCAAAAGAAGATATACAAATAAGCAACAAACATATGAAAAAATGCTCAACATCACTAATGATCAGAGAAATGTAAATCAAAAGCACAATGTGCTACTGCTTTACTCCTGCAAGAATGGCCGTAATCAAAAATCAAAAAATAATAGACATTAGACGGGATGAGGTGAAAGGGAACACTTTTACTCTGCTGGTGGGAATGTAAACTAGTACAACCACTATAGAAAACAGTGTGGGATGCCTTAAAGAGCTAAAAGTAGAACTACCATTTGATCCAGCAATCTCACTACTTGGTGTCTACTTGGAGGAAAAGAAGTCATTAACAAAAATGATACTTGCACCCACATGTTTATAGTAGCATAATTCACAATTGCAAATATGTGAAACCAGTGCAAATAACCATCATATAATGAAATACTACTCAGCCATAAAAAGGAATGAGTTAATGGTGTTAACAGCAACCCGGATGGGATTGGAGACCATTATTCTAAGTGAAGTAACTCATTAATTCAAAATGAAACATCATATGTTCTCACTCATAAGTGGGAGCTAAGCGATGAGGATGCAAAGGCATAAAAATGATACAATAGGCTCTGGGGACTTGGGGGGAAAAGGGAGGGAAGGGGATAAGAGATAAAAGGCTACAAATTGGGTTCAGTGTGTACTCCTCGGGTGATGGGTGACCCCAAATCTCACAAATCTCCATTAAGAGAGTTACTCAGGGAACCACATACCACCTGTTCCCCAAAAACCCATGGAAATAAAAAATATATATAAAAAATCACACTGGAGAAAAGCGTATAGGATAAGAGATATCATCATGACCACCTTTGTAAAATACAATTTGCCAGATTCTTCAAGGCAAAAATTCAGAAAAAGAAAACACTGCTCAAAGAAATCTGAGATGAAACAAACAAAAAAACACTCCATGCTCATGGTTAGGAAGAACAAATATCATTTAAAGGACCATAATTCCCAAAGCAATTTGTAGATCCAAAGTGATTCCTGTAAAATTACCAATGACATTATTCAAACAGCTAGGTAAAACTATTTAAAAATTCATCTGGAACAAACAAAAAGCCCAAATGATCAAGGCAATCCCTAAGCAAAAAGAAAAAAACTGGAGACATCGTGCTATTCAACTTCAAACTATACTATGAGGCTACGGTAACCAAAACAGCATAGTATTTGTAGAAAAACAAACACATATGGAACAGAGAGACCACAAAGAAGGCCACAAACCTGGAACCATCTGATCTTCCACAAAGCTGACAAAAACAGGTAATGGGGAAACGACTCCCTATTCAATGAATGGTTCTGCAATAACTGTCTAGCATATGCAGAAGATTGAAACTGGACCCCTTCCTTACACCATTCACAAAAATCAACTTAAGATGGATCAGAGACTGAAACTGAAACGTATTACCCAAAACTATAAAACCCTAGAAGACAACCTAGGCAATGCCATTCTGGATATAGGAATGGGGAAAGAACTCATGATGCAGATGGTGCAAGCTATTGCACCAAAAGCAAAAACTGACGAATGGGATCTAATTAAACTAAAGAGCTTCTGCACAGCAAAGGAAAACTATCAACAGGGTAAACAGGCAACCTACAGAATGGGAGAACATTTTTGCAAACTACACATCAGACAAAAGGCTAACATTCAGCATCTATAAGGAACTTAAGGAATATACAAGAAAAAAACAAACAATTTCATTAAAAAGTGGGCAAGAGATATGAACAGACACTTCCCAAAAGAAGATACACATGTGGCCAACAAGCGTATGTGGAAAAGCTCAACATTTCTGATTATTAGGGAATGCAAATCAAAACAGCAGTGAGATACCATCACATATCAGTCAGAATGGCTATTATTAAAATATCAAAAAGTAATAGATGCTGGCAATGTTGCAGAGAAAAAGGAATGCGTATTCACTATGGTGGGAGTGTAAATTAGTTCAATCATTGTGGAACACAGTGTGACAATTCCTCAAAGACCTAAAAACAGAACTACCAATTGACCTAGCAATCCCGTTACTAGGTATATACACCCAAAGGAATATAAATTGTTCCACCATAAAGACACATGCACGTGTATGTTTGTTGCACATGTATGATTCACAATAGCAAAGACATGGTATCAATATAAATGACCATCAGCGGTAGACTGGAGAAAGAAAAATGTGGTACATATACACCATGGAATACTATGCAGCTATAAAAATAATGAGATCGTGTCTTTTGCTGGAACAAATATGGTGGGTCATACCTGATTCTTGACAGAAGCCAGGATTCACAGAAAATTGGAGGCCATGGTTAAGTATTCACTCTCTATTAAGGCCCAGTAGCAAGGCAAATGCTTTTTCTCAAATGGAGAGAGGTTATCCACAAAGGATGGCATGTCTTTGCTCCACATTTTCCGGATCTGTGCTATGACTCACCTATAGGGACCTGCCAAAGTTTCCAAGAGGATCTCTATCTGCCACTGACACTTCTATCAAGGAGTATAGAGTTCTCAGAGAATAGACAACTCATAGCCTCAGGTCAGTGACTGTGGCTCAGTTTCCATCTGGGGATGAGGGGCAGAGCATATCCCTGCATGAGGGAACAAGAAGCTGAAGCAGTCCTGCAGGGATGAGGCCTGCAGTGTCACCGGGAAGGCTTCTGTCTGTCCTGGGAAAGGTGGGAAGAGATTTGTGTGTGTGTCCTGTGTGTGCCCTATACAGAAGGGACCTGTCCAACATGCTGTGTGCTTTGACCTCAGCAAGGACCCACAGCTGCAGGTTGATTTCCACACCGGGATAGATAAGAAGTCAGACATTGCCTTCCACTTTGGAGTGTACTTTGGCAATTGGGTGGTCATGAACAGCATGTGTGTGGAGCCTGGAAGCATTAAGGAAAATCTGAAGGTATGCCCTTTAAGGATGGCAAACAATTTGACCTGCACATCTCAGAGCTGGACAATGAGTACCAGGTGAGTATCCCAGGGGCTTTCAGTGTTTGACCTCTCTCGGCTCCCAGAGCAGGAGGCAGCTCTCTGTAAGCTGGCCCCAAGAGTCCCTTGGGGCCCATCTCCCATAACTGCTCCTGCTCCAGACTTTTCATCACAGAGCACCCTCTGCTTGCACTGCCATCTTCAGCTATTTTCCCAAATTTGACCAGGATCAAGGTCATCTCACCTGTCATTTCCCCCAACGTGAAGAATCTCCTCTGTTTTTTCCCATAGTGCTCATTTCTAGTGATGATGTTACTTATATATTTTCATTTATCCAAAATGGAGAAAATCTGCATGTAAATAAAATAGTTTCAGTGAGCCCAAAATTTAGTCTTTCCCTCAGTATTGAGCCCCAATTTTATTCCCCAGTACAATAATATTACTGGCTTCTCTACTCAAATTATGGAGATAATCTGTTTACAGAAATATACAGATCTATGTTTTCTTTTCTTTCTGAACAAATGTACTTTAGGAATTGGACTGGACTGGTTGTCAAACACTGTATTTTGCAAAGTCATCTATTCATGGTGCTGCCTCAGTTTTTAAACACTGCATAATATTCCTGTAGAATGGTTATCAAAAATTATTGAATTTGACTCTTTTGATGGACATTTAGGCTGTTTCCAGTATTTTGCTCTCACAAATGATGCTGTATTAAGCTTTCTAATCAACTTTTTTAAATCAAATTCCCAGTAGTTGTATTAAAGAATAATTACAAAGAAATGAAATAACTGGCTCAAAATTGTATGCATTTTAAATATTATAAATTAACATCTGAAAATTGACTGTTTTATAGCTTTAGTAATAAATAATATTTCCAACCTTCCTGATCTTTTCAAATGGGTAAAGCCAAAGGTTAACATTTTGTTCAGATTTCATATGCCTATCAGTTGTTCAAAATAATATATTATGTTTTGCAATACCTATTCTGTTCTTTTTCTCTAAAAACACTTGGATTTCATTCCTTGCTACCTGCTTGGCAGCCCTGGGCAACTCCAAAGAGAAAGTAGGCCATCAGTGGTGAATGGCAGTCACAGTCTGTATAACTGAAAACTATACATTCAATGAACATTGTTGATCACTAACCCTGTGTGAACCCCTGTAGAAGATGCAAGGATTCAAGTTCATGACACAGAGTATGGCATATTCCAGGCTAGAGAAGAGGCTGAGGAAACAGGAACTGTGTGACACAGAGTGGCGGAACTTCCGGACTAATGAGAGGAAACATTGGAAATAAAATGAATGAATGTCTGAAATAGGCACAAAGGTAGTCTGTAGATAGAAGTATGTCTACTGGTTTCTGATGTATAATTGGGAGTTTTCTGGTTGGTTACTATAGGCACTATGGCTGATAGCTTGTTTTGTGGCATGCTGTATTTCTGATGCATTTTTCCTCTTGCAGGTAATGGTAAATGGCAAACAGTGTTACAGCTTTGCCTATCAACTCCCACTATGTTACGTGAAGATGGTGCAAGTGTGGTGGGATGTCTTCCTGACCTCACTGTGTGTCTGTGATTTAGGGTGATGTCCACACTCCCTGCTGTTAAGGAGCAACAGAAACTCCCCATTTCTCCATGACTGTGGTATCCCAGAGCCTGCTAACAGAACGATCTCTCCTCACACCTTCCTCTACACTTGGTCATTAAAACTTCACTAAATTATCCAGGATCTGGTTCTTACTTTAATGGGGAAAAAGACAAAGTGGCACAAGGACACAAGTGAAACAGGCAGTGAGTCACAAGACCACTGGAATGTCTGAGATGACAAAACAAACAACATCCTCTACAGCCCGTACTTTACGTCACACACTCTGAACCAAAATTCTTTCATTTTAGATGACTGATTGCAGTGAAATGTTAGGTACCTGTTTACAAACATACAGGCATAATTGGCTTTGGGGAGAGACTTTGTAATTTGAGGAAAGCTAGGTGAAATATCTTAATTCTTCACTCATCCTAAGAGTGTTTCTTGTGTCTTGAAACTGCCTAGATTTGTGTGAGATGCACTGAAGACACTGAAAGAAAAAGTTGAAATGTTTACATCTGAAGTTTTCAATCCAAGCGATAGAATCACCGTTCAATGATTCCCTTTAAAGAATCCTTTTTTTCCCGAAAGAATTTTCAGATTTTTCCATTTTATGTGGGCAGAATCCTGAGATTTCTCTTTGTAAACAAATGGTCATTGTTTTATATCACAAAATAAGTGGTTTATTGGTGGAATGGACACAATTCATGCACATGAACACAGTAAACAGATTCTGCTTTGCTGCTGTTACTGTTGGTATTGCGGCACAGGCAACCTCCCAACACCTGTTGGCTTAGATCATTTATTCTGATTTCTCCCAGCTTTGTAGGTTTAGTGGACTCAGGTAGGTGACAGATTATGTGGTGGGTGTCTCGATTTCAGAAAGATCTACAGTCAGAGATTTCAGAAGATGCTTCACTCATGTCCAACTCAACACTAGTGTGGCTGAACACCTGGGGGCTGGTTGTTTATTTCCTTTCCTAACTCATCTCCACATTAGTGCCTTGAATTTCCTCAACTCATGATCAATGATTGGCTTCCACCAAAAAAAAGCCTTCCAAAAGTCTCATGAAGAAGGTGCGAGGCATCATAGGCCTTAGCTTTGAAAGGCAGACAGTGTGACTTCTATGGCATTATATTGATCAAACTGTCACACAGAAAGCCCAAACTAAGGGGAGGGAACTACACAAGCTGTGGTTATTTTGACTTGTCATTATCATGGGACATTTTTGAAAATGAGTTCCACTTAGCCCCCACTGGCTCATACACTTCCCACATCCCCAAAACACTTACCTTCTAAATAATCCCAGAAACCAATGCAATAGAGGAACAGACTCAGAGTGAAGTTTATTGTTTTATTATCTAACTCAGGACCTGGTGTTCCTGAGGTGAGTACAAATTATCAGGTGCACTTTCTCACAACATGTTCACTAAAGGAATAAATTATCTGCCCTATACAAATCAAACACACAATACTGAAACGAACATAGGAAAAATGCAATGAACATATTTATTTTATAGTGTCAACAGAAAATAGACAGTAGTCACTGGTTTATGTCATTGCTGAAACCAGCCAGATGCCTAAATTCTTTTCTTCTGGGAATGTTTGTCTGCAGCAATTGGCTCCACCCTCCATTCTCAACTTCTCAGAATTCCCACCAAGATGGCAGAATCACAGTCCTATTCCCTCTACAAGAGCTATGATTATCTGCTTCACTGAACATCTGGAGAACCACTTAGGAGAAACAACGTATTGCCTAAAAACTAGTGAATTCAAATTGGTGAGGGTTCCACCAAATGGCCTCTCTTCCACCGGGCTCATCTCAGGCATCATTTTGATCCTCCACATCCTCTCTCCCCATGTTCATTGCAATAGCTCTTTCAACTTCAACCCTACTCATGGGTATGATTCTCTCCTTACTCATCTTTAACCTAACATCCAGATACCTTGAGGTGCCAATGCACAGCTAATCATGCTCTGCACACCTTTCTCCCTCATTCCATTCCTGTATGGAATAAAATTCCCTCCTCTCTCACTGGAATCTCTTGGGTTTTCAATAGGTACACTCTTCTTTGTACACCTTCCCTTTCTCAGTCTAGGTAACTTTTATATTTTGATAATGGATCATAGGCCCCTTCACTAGCATGGAATTAATTTCTTCTGGAATTAAGCAATTCTTGCTCTGAGTAGATTAAAATTATCCTGGGACCCATGGCTTGCTGAGCAGAAAATGCCTTTGATTTCATATCGACTTGCCCCTTGGCTGGTGGCTATTGCATTTGAATAACCTACACAGTCCTACGTGTTGGCTTTTCTATACAAGCACACGGTGACTGCCCTTTCTTGAATGATATTCATCAGCTCAGTTGAGTGCTTTGTCCATTGGTTACGCTCATCTTTATCTCAGATACTACTCTGTGCTCATAGTGGGCAGGAATCATGCCTCAGATACAAAGAGACAACATAGAGTTCAGGAACCAGTGTTCAACAAACGGTATTTGAATTGGCTCTGGTGACCCACTCCAAAACTTTCTCTCCCCTCCTCAATCAAAATTCCTGATGTTCTCCCAGCAAATAGGGCTTTGCTCAAAAAACAAAAAGTCATTTCTGAACTCTAAAGCCTTCCTTTCTAAAAGGTCTTTAAATCTTTCCAGTTATTGCTGAAGACCCCCCAAAAATAAATCTACTCTGTGACACTTTTAACCTTGATGCCCAAGTCCCCTAAAGTGGTTTTTAAAAATAAACCTCGGTGGCACTGTTCATGGTGCTGAACATCGGTGCATCTATTTGCAAGTGAGGGGCCAAGAAGACAGAGTAAGAAAGAGGTGTTGTTTCGTTTTTGATGAATTATAGCTCCAAATCTCTATAACAGATGCAGCCAGAATTCACTTTGGATTTTCAGACCAAAATTTATTATTCATTTTGCTAGCATGAGTTTTAATGCTACAGAGTTTAAGATAGGAGAAAAACTCAATTTTTGTTAGTAGTCCATATATGGGTCACAAAATAATTATTAAAATCTTATTATTTCCCCCTAAATAGACACAACATAACCTTGGGTGTAATTCAATAAGAGGTGGAAATTATTCTGAATATTAAAATACTTGTATGTTCTATCTATATGGAGAGGAGGTAAGAATTAAACAAAAGTGGCAAACAGTATCAAAAACAAAAGAGATATGCCACAACATGCTTTTGCTGCCACATTAATAGGTTATTTTTAGGGAGCACAGAATGAGTTAAGAAGTTCTTGGAAGTATCCTAGAGGCTAGGTTTCTATTAGAAAAACCTGGATGCCAATGTAAAAGATTTACACTTTGTTCTGAAGACATCTTTGAGTCTTGGGAAGCTCAAAAAAGAGGAAAGTGCGTTAATCATCTTTTGACAACATAAGCTAACTGTTAAATGGAATAAAGAGTGAATACTAAGTGTCTATCACTCATGAAAATTCAATGTGAATTTCTATTCAGTGTGGAGAGAAACATTGATGAGGGAGTTGGGGGGTGTCAACTTCATGGGACCAGGCACAGAGAGGATGTTCAACATATGTGTGTGTGAAGAGAATACAGAAATGATTGTGTGAGCAAATGTGCCCAGTTATAGCTGGAGGAAGTGAGAAGACATCGTTTCTTCTGGATTTTTGTGATATTTCCTTCATCTCCCTTTGTGGCTGCTATAGTCTGAATCTGTGCCGCAAAGTTCATGTGTTAAAAATGTAATATCCAATCCACGTGTTTTGAGGTGGGGTGTAATAAGAGGTGATTATGTCATAAGGGCTCTGCATTATTAGATCAATGTCATTTTTACTGAATTGGGTTAGTTATTGTGAGAGTAAGTTTATTATAAAAGCAAGTTTGGCCCTATCTTGCTCTCTTGATCTCACTCCTTGTCATTCCTCCTTCTACTATGAGATGATGCAAAACAAAGGCCCTGGACAGATGCCAACAGTATGTTCCTGGATATTCCAGCCTCCAGAATTGTGCCAAATAAATTACTATTTGTTATAAATTAGTCAGTCGGTTCCAGCAGCAAAACAGGCTGCACATAGATGGAAGTGAAGGACTGACTCGGGCCAGGAAGACAGAAATTATTTTTATAAGCAGCATTTTTGCAAGGTGGTCCAGCCTACAACAGGCACTCACCTTCTGCTCAGCATTGAATGTTTTGAGGCTAGTGAACTAGAGGGAACTGAAAACAGAATCTAAGCTTCACTCAATGACTCTGTGTTGGTGACAACAAAAAGTGTAGTATGGGGGGTGTGAGTTGAGATGGGAGTCATGCCATGGGAAGAAAGAGACCAAGAAGTGTTTCCTGGACACTGAGAAGTGTCTTCTATCTCATGGTGACCTATTCCCCAGCACAGCTGATTAGGGCATGTGTCTTTACTTCTCAAGATATAGGCATAATGATGAGGAATAGTATTTATATGACTCCTGAAAAAATAACAAAGACAAATCCAAGATGTGTAAAGCCTAAAAGTGACTTTGCCAGTGCCTGTTTTATTGTGTCCCAAATATAACCACTTTAAAACTACAGTAATCAAAACAATGTGGTGCTGGCTTAAGGACAGACTTAGAAATCAATCAAATATAAAGGATAGCCAAAAAGTAAACATGCACATAGGTGGTCAGTTGAGATTCAATAAATGTGCCAGGACACCCTTTTGGGAAAGGACCCTCATTTCAACCAGTGATTTTGGGGAAACTGGATATACACATGCATGAGGATGTAGTTGGGACCTTACCATAAGCCACATACAAGAATTAACTCAAAATGTATCAAACAATAAATGTAAGACCTAGAATTTTAATATTTTTAGAAAAAACATCGAAGAATATTTCATGACATAGGATCTTAAAACGATTTCTTGGATATGATTCCAAAAGCACAAGAAACAAAAGAAAAAACAGATAAACTGGATTTCATCAAAATTTAAATTGGGGAGACCTTGCAACATGGCACAATAGAGTGCTCCACCAATCTTACCCCCACGCCTCAAGGACATAAATTTAACAAGTATCTACACAAGAAAAACACCTTCATAAAAACCAAAAGCAGGTGAATCCTCATAGATACCTGGTTTTAACTCTATATCACTGAAGAGATAGAAAAAAACGTCTTGAATTGCCAATGCCAGTCCTTCATCCAGGCAGCAGGAATGTGGTACAGAGTCTCTGGGTACTGGGGTACTGGAGGGAGGAGAGCACAGCAATTGTGAGGTATTGAAGTCATTGCTGTCCTGTTACAGAAGAAAGGCAAATTGGATCAAACTCAGCTGACACACACCAATGGAGGGAGCATTTAAGCCAGGCTTAGCCAGAGGAAAATCCCTGATCCCAGCGGTTGAAACTTGAGTTCCTGCAAACCTTGCCAGTGAGAGCTACGGTACTCTGGTTTTTCAAGTAAGCTTAAAAGGCAGTCTAGGCCATAAGGCCAGAAATTCTTAGGTGAGTCATGGGGTTGAACTGGGCCCAGAGACAATGGACTGGTGAAGAGGGGGTCAGGTGACTTACTGAGACAGCAGCTTTGGTGACTAATGGAGTGCTGGCTTTACCCCTCACTTAACTCCAGGATGCACAGTCTGTGGCTCTAAAAGAGACCCCTTCCTTTCACTTGAGGAGAGGAGAGTTATCACCTGCTAATGGTATCAGCAATACCCAGGTACTATGCTGAGGGTCTTGGATGAGCTTCTAAGATCTGCTGGCTTCAGATGGGACACAGCACATTACCAGTTGTGGTGGCTATGAGGAAAAACTCTTTCTGCTTGGTAAAAGCAGAGAAAAAAGCAAAAGGGACTTCATCTTGCACCTTAGGTACCTGCATGGCCACAAGGGAGTAGAGCACCAAGCAGGCTCTTGGGACCCCTAATTCAGGGACTTGGTTCTTGGATGACATCTATTTACCTGCTTTGGGCCAGACGGAGTTCATTGCCCTGTGGAATGAGTCCTGGGCCTGGCAGCATTCACTATGAGTTGACTTAAGAGACTGTGGGCCTTAAGGAAACATCTGTGGTAGTCTGGCCATACTCTTCATTGTGGCAATGGTTATGGGGTGACCACTGCCTTTGGAAAGAGGAGTGTGGGAAGAACTGCATCTTGTGGTTTGAGTGCCAGCTCTGCTGCAGTAAAATAAAAGCACCATACAGACTTCTAAGGTTTTTGACTTTAGTCCCCAACTTTCAGGTGGCACCTCTGGACCCACCCAAGGCCTAGGGGAACTCACCGCCCTGAAGGAATGCACACAGACCTGGCTTGCTCTGCCATCTGCTGCTTCCAGAGTCCCAGGGCCTTGAGTGAACTTAGGTTGCAACCAGGGAGTGGATACAGAAGGCCTTCAGTGAGATCCAGTGCTATACTGGATTCAGGTCTGACCCAGTCATAGTGGTGGTGACCACAACGGTGCTTTTATTAGTCTATCCCCAGCTTTAGGTGTCTCAAAACACACACACACACACACACACACACACACACACACACACTGTTTTTTTGGGGGGAGAAAGAAAGGGAAAAGGGCAAAAGTCTCCGCATTGTAATCCAGAGAATTATCCTGGAACTTGTCCAAGATCATCAAGGTGGTAACTGTATGAGTCTGCAAGAATCACAACATTACTGGTTTTTAGTTCACCCCAAAGGAGATACAGCTTAAATCAAAACATTCAAGTGTTTGGAATATCTGGTATGCCTTCAAAAAAAGGACAGGTACAAATAAGCCTAGACAGTGAAGACCACTCTAAATACCTAATTACTCAATGATCAGACACTGAAGAACATCTGCTAGTGTCAACACTATCCAGGAAAGCATGATCTCCCCAAATAAACTAAATAAGCACCAGGGAGAAGCAGAGACCTTTCAGACAGGAAATTTAATTTAGCAGTGTTAAGAAAACTCAAATAAATTCAAGATAACACAGAGAAGGAATTCAGAATTTTATTAGATAAGTTAACCGAAAAGTTTAAAATAATTAAAAGGACTCAAACAATAGTTCTGGAGCTGAGAAATGGAGCCATAAAAAGGAATGATATCGTGCCCTTTGCAGGGACATGGATGAAGCTCAAAGCCATCATCCTCAGCAAACTAACATAGGAACAGAAAACCAAACACTGCACGTTCTCACTCATAAATGGGAGCTGAACAGTTAGAACACACAGACACGGAGAGGGAAACAATACACACTGGGGCCTGTTGGTGGGGGCAAAGAGAGGGAGAGCATCAAGACAAACAGCTAATACATGTGGAGCTTAATACATAGGTGACAGGTTCATAGGTGCAACAAACCACAATGGCACATGTTTACCTATGAAACAAACCTGCATGTTCTGCACATGTATCCCAGAACATAAAGCAAAATAAAATACAAAAATGCAATTGGCATACTGAATAATGCATCAGTCTTTTAACAGCAGAATTGATCAAGCAGAAGAAAATATTAGTGAGCTTGAAGACAGGCTATTTGAAACACACAGCCAGAGGAGACAAAAGAAGAAGGAGTAAAAAACAATGAAGCCATGAAACATGGCTATAGGATCTAGAAAAATAGCTTCAAAAAGGCAAACCTAAGAGTTACTGGCCTTAAAGAAAAAGTAGAGAAAGAAATAGTGGTAGAAAGTTTATTTAAAAGAATAATAACAGAGAACTTCCCAAACCTGGAAAAGGAGATCAATATCCAAGTACAAGCAGGTTATAGAACACCAAGACAATTTAACCCAAAGAAGACTAATTCAAGCTACTTAATAATCAAACTTTCAAAGGTCAAGAGCAAAGAAAAAATCCTGCAAGCCCCAAAGAAAAAAAATAGCATACAATGCAGCTGCAATACACCTGGCAGCAGATTTTTTAGTGGAAACACACACAATATTATAACACTGTAACCGTGATGTGTAAACTACTCATTTCCTAAATAGAAAGACTAAACAATGAACCAATAATAATAATAATAACTGCAACTTTTGAAGATATACACAGTAAAATAAGATATAGGCAGAAATAACTAAAAGTTAAAAGGCGGGGGGATGAAGTTAAAGTATAGAGTTTCTATAAGTTTTCTTGTTGCTTGTTTTTTTTAAGTAAAGGGTGTTAAGTAGCTATCATGTTAAAATAATGGGTTATAAAATAGTATTTGCAAGCCTCATGGTCACCTTGAACCAGAAAACATACAATGGATTCACAAAAAAAAACACAAACCATAAAAAGCAAGAAACTAAATTGTATCGCCAGACAAAATTATCTTCAGTAAGGAAAGATAGTAAGAAACAAAGGAAGAGAAGACCAAAATACAGCTAGAAATCAAACACCAAAATGGCAGGACTAAGTCTTTACTTAATTATCAATGAAAACATTGAATGAAAATGGACTAGACTCTCCAATCAAAACACATAGAGTGGCTGAATGGATGAAAAAACAAAAACAATTGATCTGTTGCCTACATGAAACACACTTCACCTATAAAGGCACACATATACCGAAGATAAAGAAATAGAAAAAGATGTTCCATGCTAATAGAAATGAAACAAAACAGGTGTAGCTATATTTATATTGGACAAAATATATTTTGAGACAAAAACTCTAAGCAGAGACAATAAAGTCAATATATAATGAATAAGACATCAACTCAGCAAGAAGATATAACAGTTTTAAATATATGTGCACCAAAGAGTGGAGCACCCAGGTATATAAAGGAAATATTATTAGAACTAAAGAGAGAGATAGGCCCCAATACAATAATAGCTGGAGATTTCTATGTTTCATTTTCAGCATTGGACAGGTCTTCCAGACAATACAAACAAAGAACGTTAATCCCTACTATAGAAGAAATGGATTTAATAGATACTTACAGAATATTTCATCCAATGTGATCATGTTTTCATCTCATAAAATCGTCTATGCTTCTTTCTCGGTTTATGTGACTTGAGGTTATTGAAGGCCGTGCCTTTCAACTTACACATAGCGGTGACATTGTTTTCTCCCACTGGACAGCTCTTCGGAATAGTGTCCGGTCTTCTATGTGAATGTCTGAGTTGCAGCACTTACATGGTCCCTGTTGGTCCTGACCTCTGGCTTTATTCCTGTTTTTTTTTTCTTTGTTTGTTTGTTTGTTTTTGAGATGGAGTCTCTCTCTGTCACCAGGCTGGAGTGCAGTGGCCCGATCTCGGCTCACTGTAGCCTCCGCTCCTCCCAGGTTCATCTCCTGCCTCAGCATCCCGAGTAGCTGGCACTACAGGCACATGCCAGCAGGCCCAGCTAATTTTTGTATTTTTAGTAGAGACGGGGTTTCACCATGTTGGCTAGGATTGTCTCGATCTCTTGACCTCGTGATCCACCTGCCTTGGCCTACCAAAGTGCTGGGATTACAGGTGTGAGCCACCACACCCAGCCTTATTCCTGTTTCCAAGCCCTTCCTAGCAAGATTTCCCAGCAGTGTGAGCAGGGGGTGACAGGAAGAGACTCAGTTTCTGTTTGCAGGCCTGTGACTGTGATGCAGCAGAAATGACAGTGAGGAATGTGCCAGGGGCAGGGAATCACCAGGAAAATGCACAGATGGAAATGATGGAATGAGGATGAGGAGCTGTGCAGCCCAGCTTCCTGGACTTCACTTCCACCTCAGTCTACGTTGTGCTGCTATAACAGACTCCATGATTTATCACAAACAGAAATGTATTTGGCATGCCTGTCATGAAGCCATGTCATTGTGTATCCTGATCAAAGGGTTTGCCTTCTATTTATCTCTGACCAAGACTTACGCTCTGAAAAGTACTGACTGCCCTGTCCATTATTTGAGGCTTCAGCCCCTCCTCTGTGACACGACTTCTCCCATTAAGTCAGGAAGGAGGATAGGAGGAGGGCATGGTCATGTGGGTGCACCCTTTAAATGAGGAAATTGGTCTTTGCTAAATCTGGGTCTCAGCATTTCCAGAAATGAAATGGTTCACCCCCCATTCCTGAACTGAGGGCGAAGAGCATATGAGCTTCCCTCTTCTTTTTCCTGGTTGAGTGGAGGGACCTGTGAGTTTTGGGGTCCAGGTAGAAGGAAGAGAGTCCCCATGAGATCCCTACTCTGCTTTCAGTATAGACCATGACTCCCACTCAGCCCTGCTCAGCTCCGACACAGCCCCTCCCACCCTGCTACTCTCTCAGTTATTCATGCCCCAAATCCCCTCTCTCAGTCCAGAAACCTCCATGCCGTCCATTATCCTCCTCTTTCCCTCACACGCTTTCTCACACCTGTGGAAAGTCCTATGGTTCTACTTTCGTAAGCCAACCACGGATAGAGTGACTCTGATTTCCTGCCAGTTCACCTAGGGCAGGCCATTGTGTGTCTACTCTGAGTGTCTTGCTAACTGCTTCCTCAGTAAGTGTCCTTCCTATCACTTCTGTCTGAAATACTAATGAGATAGTATGCATCAGAATCCAGCAATAAATTACAAAATTATTTTCCTCTGTACCATGGATTTCTTGAAAATCTATTTCTATCTTTAGTGAGATCACAAGTTCAGCCAGAACTATCTAAAAGTGAAAGTGCTGCAGAGCACCTGTCACGTCACCTTTCACGGTTGTGTGTTCTATGCAACCTGACACTGAGTGAATAACCTCAAGATGGATGTGGGGACTGAAGTCCCCAAGTCCCCTCTCTCAGGTCAGAAACCTCCACACCATCCCTGATCCTCCTCTTTCCATCACACACTTTCTCACACCTACGGAAAGTCCTAGGCTCTACTTTCATAAAAAATCAACGATCAAGCAACTCTTATTTCCCACCAGTTCACTTAGGGCAGGCCATTGTGTATCTACTCTGAGTGGCTTGCTAACTGCTCCCTCAATAAACAAGTGTCTTTTCTATCACTTTCATCTGAAATACTGACAAGATAGCATGCATCAGAATTCAGCACAAATTACAAAATCATTTTCCTCTAAACCATGGATTTCTTGAAAATCATAACTAGCAGTGAAAAGGAAACAAAATCCTATTTGTATTTAGGTTGCAAGTTCAGCCAGAGCTATCTGAAAGTGAAAGTACTGCAGAGTATCTGTCAAGTCACATTTCATGGTTGTGTGTCTTTTGCAACCTGACACTGACCAAATAGCCTCAGGATGGAAGTGGGGACTCACTGGGCAGAGAGATCAGGCTTACACAGGTCCTGAAGGCACAAGAAAGCTGCAGGAGGAAGGGTCCAAATGTCCATAGCCCCTACTCCTGCCCCGTTACCTTCTCCCCACAGCCTGCACCTACAGCCTCAGGGGGAGTCTGGCTTATTTCACTTAGCATGTTTTAAAGACTCATTCACGTGATAGCAAGCGTCAAAATGTCATCCACTTTTAAGGCTAATAATCTTCCATCGTACGTATATCTGTAGATGGAAATTGGGGTTGTTTCCATCTCTTGCCTGTTGTGAATCATGCTGCTATGAACATTGCTGTGCAAATATCAGCGTGAGTCTCTTTCTTCAATTCTTTAGGGTGTATACTCAGAAGTGCTGTTGCTGGATCACATGGTGACCTTTTTGAGGAACTGCCATATAGTTTTCCACAGCAGCTGCACCATTTTACACTCCCAACAGCAACATTCAAGGGTTACAGTATCTCTACATCCTCACAACACTTGTGATTTTGCATCTTAAAATAACAGCCATCCTAGGGAGAGTGAAGTGCTATCTCACTATGGCTTTGATTCTGCATTTCCCTAATGACTCTGAAGTTGAGTATATTTTCATGTGCTTATTGGCCACTTTTATATCTGTTCTGGAGACATGTCTGTTGAAGTTATTTGGTCACTGTTAAATCGGGAGAGTATTTGTGCCATTGTTGTTGGATTGTAGAAGGTCTCTATTCTAGATAATAATCTCTTATCAGATATCTGATCTGCAAATTATCTTCCATTCTGTGAGTTGACTGTTTACTTTTTCCAGAATGGCCTTTGATGAAGTTTTCAGTTTTGAGGGAGTCCAGTTTATCTGTTTTTTCCTTTGTTACTTGTGCTTTTGGAGTCATCCCCAAGAAATCATTGCCAAATTTCATGTCATGAAGATATGCGTCTATGTTTTTTTCAAAGAATTTTATCGTTGTAGGTCTTACATGTATTCTGTGATACATTCTGAGTTAATTTTTGTATATGTTATAAGATAAAGGCCCCAACCATATTATTTTGCATGTGTAAGTCCAGTTTTCCCAGCATCATGTGTTGAAAAGACTGTCCTTTCCCAGTGAGATGGTCTTGGCCTACTGTGGACTCTCACATGAATGTGTATGTGAGTGTTTATTTCTGGGCTCCCTATTATATTCCATTGGTATATGTGCCTCTCCTTAAGCAAGCACCACACTGTTATAATAGCTTTGTAAAGGGGTCAAGTGTTGGACACAATAAAATAGGCACTTCTAGGCCAGGCGTGGTGGCTCACGTCTATAATCCCAGCACTTTGGGAGGCCGAGGTGGGCGGATCACCTGAGGTCGGGAGTTCAAGACCAGCCTGGCCAACATGGAGAAACCCTGTCTCTACTAAAAATACAAAATTAGCCAGGTGTGGTGGTGCATGCCTGTAATCCCAGCTACTTAGGAGGCTGAGGCAGGAGAGTTGCTTGAATCCGGGAGGTGGAGGTTGCGGTTAGGTGAGATCGCACCATTGCACTCCAGCCTGGGCAACAAGACCAAAACTCCATCTGAAAATAAATAAATAAATAAAGGCACTTCCAAAGTCATTTCTGGAGGTTACATATCTTGGGTTTGACTTTTTTTTTCTCCAGGACCTACATGGGCACTATTTCTTATCACTGTGCCTGTATCTTGAGAGGTAGAGGGACCCATGCACTGGTCAGCTGTGCTGGTAAAGAGGCCACCATGAGATAGAAGACACTCCTCAGTGCCCAGGAAACACTTCTTGGTCTACTTCTTCCCATGGCACAATGCCATCTCACAGCCACCACCCTATACTCGTCTTTCTGCTGTCACCAACACAGAGGCAGCCAGTGAAGCCTGGATTCTGTTCTCAGTTCCTCCTGGTTCACTTGCCTCAGCATATTCAGGCACTGGGCTGGAGGTAAGCCCCTGGTAGGGTCTGGGTCAACTTGTAGAATTTCTCCCTATACCAGTGATTTCTGTCCTCCAGGCCTGCAACAGTGCTTCACCACCATCTAAGTCCATATTGTGCTGCTATAACAAACTGGATGATTTATAACAAACAAACATTTATTTGGCTTACAATTCTGGAGGCTGGAAAATCCATGAGCACAGAGCTGGGATCTGGCCAGGGCCTTTGTGCCACATCATCCCATGGCAGAAGGAGAAAGGGCAAGAAGGAAGGAGGATTAATGGGTCAGATAAATCTCTGATTTGGGTTTGACCCAAATCAGAGGATTTTGGGTCAGAGTCTCTGAAGTCAACTACATGCTATAGATGGACGTTGTTCCTAATGTCATGTCAGACATTCCAGGGACCTTGTCACTCACTCCTTGTGCCACAGGAAGCTTTATTCTCTTTGATTTCTTGATGCCTCCCATGAAACCCCTCAGGCCCTCTTGGTGATGACCACTTTTGCTTTTTCCCCTTCAAGCAAAAGCCAAAATCCTGTGAAGTTTGGTGAAGTTTTAATGAGCAAGTGTAGGGGAAGGAGTAAGGAGGGATCATGCTGTCAGCAGGCTCTGGGAACCGCATGGTCACGTAGAAAGAGAGATTCCTCGACAGTGGGGAGTGTGGTCATCACCTCAATCTCAGACACACATTGAGGTCAGGGGGATACCTCTCCACACTTGCACCATCTTCACAGACCCTGGCAGGAGTCGATGGGCAAAGCTGTAGCAGTGTTGGCCACTTACCATTACCTGCAAGAGGAAAAGTGCATCAGAAAGACAGTATTTCACCAAACAAGCTTTCAGCCTCCTCTCTACTCTGCCCTAGTACCTACAACACCCACCCAGAAAACTCCTAATTATACATCAAAACCCGGCAGACTCACTTCTGTTTACAGACTACATTTTGTGGCTATCTGAGACAGTTGCTCACTGCATTTTCAATGTTTCCTCTCATTCTTCCAGTGAGGCTCTACCCCTCTATGTCACGTGGTCCCTGTTTGCTGGATCTCCCCTCTAGCCTGGAAGATCCCCATGGCCAGGGATTGTGTCTCTTGACCTTGAATTCCTGCATCTTGCACAGGGCCTGCCACGAGGTTAGTGCTTGACAATGTTTATTGAATGGGTACTTTTAAGTTCCACCAACTGTGACTCCCATTCACTGCTGATGGCCCAGTTTCTCTTTGGAGTAGCCCAGATCTGGGCTGGAGGTGGCCAAGAATGAAACCCAAGTGTTCTTAGAGAGGAGGAACAGGACAGATGTTGCAAAACATAGGATATTATTTTAGCAGCCTATAGTAGGCATATGAACAGATGCCTCACTTAGAGCTGAATAAAATGTTCACCTTTTGGCCTACCCGTTAGAGAAGGTGAGAAAATTTCAATATAATCTGTATTGCTGTAGCTATGAAGAAAGTCATCTTAAAGGTATTAATTTATGAAATTTTAAGATTTTTCACACAATTTTCAACCAATTATTTTATGTCTTTGCAAGTATCCTCCAATGTAAGTATTGGTAGGTTGATAATTACAAAAGAGTTGATTAGAAAGCTTAATACAGCAC
Source organism: Homo sapiens (assembly GCF_000001405.40). Classification (NCBI taxonomy): domain Eukaryota; kingdom Metazoa; phylum Chordata; class Mammalia; order Primates; family Hominidae; genus Homo; species Homo sapiens. The sequence continues at coordinate 39,554,428 of NC_000019.10, read as the reverse complement.
CCTTTGTGAGAGCAAAATACTAAAAACCACGCAGTAACCATCAAAACGGTCAAGTTCAATCATTTTGGATCATCCTTCTACTGGCATATTATGCAATCTTTAAAAAATGAAGCAGCAGGCCAAGCGCAGTGGCTCATGCCTGTAATGCCAGCACTTTGGGAGGCCAAGGCGGGCAGATTACCTAAGGTCAGGAGTTCGAGACCAGCCAGACCAACATGGAGAAACCCCATCTATACTAAAAATACAAAAAATTAACCAGGCGTGGTGGTGCATCTCTTTAATCCCAGCTACTTGGGAGGCTGAGGCAGGAGAATCGCTTGGACCTGTGAGGTGGAGGTTGCAGTGAGCTGAGATTGCGCCATTGCACTCCAGCCTGAGCAACAAGAGCGAAACTCCATCTCAAAAAAAAAAAAAAGAAAAATGAAGCAGCACCATAGATAGATGAATTCTCCAAGATATGTTCTTTGACTATAAATCGACTCTAGTTTCCAAAGTGTAATGTACAAAGACATTTATAACAGCATTTGTTTAAAAAGAAATGAAAGCATATATGCATATATGTATATATGAATATGTGTATAGGCATATATACAAAAAGGAATGAAAGCATATTATACAAATGAGGAAGAGGAAATATACGGTTCTCTAATGGTAGATTATCTCTGGAAGGAGAGCAGAGAAGCTGGTAGTGTTGTTCTGGGGAGTAGGAGTGAGGTTCGGGAGTGAAAGGAAGAGTTAATTTTTGACTGACTAAAATAATTTGATTCATACATGTATTTTGTCTATTTGGCCACATGAAAATGTAAATAACAGCATGAGCAGAAATGACAGCTATGGAAATGATTCTCCACCTTGGGGGAAATGGCAAGTGAACCAACCTTGACCTTGGTCAGATTTGGGAAAGAGCTGAGGGTGGCAGTGCAAGCAGAGGGTGCTCTGTGATGAAAAGCCTGGGGCAGGAGTCGTTATGGGAGATGGGTCCCGAGGGACTGGTGGGGCCAGGGCAGGGAGAGCTACCTCCTGCTCTGGGAGTCCACAGAGGCTGCATGCTGGGAGCTCCTGGGGTGCTCACCTGGTCCTCCTTGTCCAGCACTCAGATGCGCAGGTCAAATGATTGGCCACCCTCAAAGGGCATATTGTCAGATTTCACCTCACACTTCCAGACCCCCCACTCATGGCTGTTCATGGCCACACAATGACCAAAGTGCACTCGGAAATGGAAAGCGATGTCTGAGTCCTCATCCATCCCGGTGTGGAAATCCACCTGCAGCTGTGGCTCCTTGCTGAGGGCAAAGCACACGGTGTGTTGGGCAGGTCCTTCCCTTGTGGGGCACACACTTACACCAACACAAATTCCCTCCCCACTCAGAATCTCTGAGAGAGAGACAGGGGCATCAGTAGATGTCATTCCCCTGTGATTTCAATGTGCAGACAGGATGGAGAACCAGCGGGTTAGAATAATTTGTCACAGAATTGATGGTATTATGTGGCAGATACCCTTTTTCACAAGAGGTATTAGGAGGATTTGGGGAAATGCTTATATGAGTGTAGCCTAATTTTACTGGCCCAGCCCCATGAAGAAGCCCACCTTCATTTTCTTCAGTGAAGTATAAAGGGGAAAAGAAAGATACAGAGACCAAATTTCTTATTTATTAAAAGTCAGAACCTGGGCAACATGGCAAAACCCCATCTCTACAAAATATACCAAAAACAAAAAAAATTAGCCAGGCATGGTGGCATATGCCTATTGTCCCAACTACTCAGGAGGCGGAGGTAGGAGGATCAGTGGAGCCCAGGAGGTCGAAGCTGCAGTGAGACATGATTGCACCAGCCTGGGTGACAGAACAAGACCTTGTCTCAAAGGGAAAAAAAAGAGAAGTCAGTATTCGTAGACTTACAGGAAACCACAGTTTCAGTTCTGGAGAGACCTCTAGAAATAGTCCATCTCCTCAAAATATACACAAAATTTCAGAGGAGACATCAACTCAACAAGTTAACAATAGAGGAAGTACTTAGTAAGTTGCTCTGACAGGGTCCCAAAAGAACACTCAAAAGGGCCAGGCACGGTGGCTCACACCTGTAATCCCAGCACTTTGGGAGGCCAAAGGTGGGCGGATCACCTGAGGTCAGGAGTTCGAGACCAGCTTGACCAAGATAGTGAAACCCACCTCTACTGAAAATACAAAAATTAGCCAGCATGGTGGCGAGAGCCTGTAATCCCAGCTACTTGTGAGGCTGAGGCAGGAAAATCGCTTGAACCTGGGAGGTGGAGGTTGTAGTGAGCCGAGATCGCACCATTGCACTCCAGCCTGGGCGACAGAGCAAGACTCCATCTCAAAAAAAAGAACACTCATAAGAGACAAATGGTGGATGACAACTTTGATAGACAACTTCGATAGAATTTTTCACATTAACAATCTCAGAAGGCCGCCCCTGATGGCTCACGCCTGTAATCCCAACACTTTCGGGGGCCAAGGCAGGTGGATCTCTTGAGCCCAGGAGTTCAAGACCAGCCTGGACAACATGGTGAAACCCCGTCTCTACAAAAATTAGCCGGGCATGGTGGCATGCATTTGTAATCCTAGCTATTCGTGAGGCTGAGGCAGGGGGATAGCTTGAGCCCAGGAGGCAAAGGTTGCCGTGAGCCGAGATCGTGCCACTGCACTCCAGCCTGAGCGACAGAGCCAGGCCTTATTTCAAAAAAAAAAGAGGAAAAAAAAAGAAAAAAAAAACACTATCTCAGAAGAGATAGCAAATCTGGGTAAGTCTTTAGAACTTGTTTCTATCAAGATTTTGACTTGGCTGCCCTCTAGTGGGCAGAAGCCTGACCCGACAGTAAGGAGAGAGAAAACGGTGGGCTCCACTTTCCCCAGTGTTCCCAGCTGGAGTGTGGATTCTGCACAACCGTTACCAGGATGCTCTGAGTCCTGGCCTCTTTTTTTTTTTTTTTTTTTTTTTTGACAGGTGGAATCTCACTCTGCCACCCAGGCTGGAGTGCAGTGGCCCGGTCTTGGCTCACTGCAACCTCCGCCTCCCGGGTTCAAGCAATTCTCCTGCCTCAGCCTCCGGAGTAGTTGGGATTACAGGCATGTGCCACCACGCCCAGCTAATTTTTTTTTCTACTTTTAATAGAGATAGGGTTTCACCATGTTGGCCAGACTGATCTCAAACTCCTGACTTCAAGTGATCCACCTGCCTTGGCCTCCCAAACTGCTGGGATTACAGGCGTGAGCCACTGCGCCTGGCTGAGTCCTGGCCTCTACTTAGAGGTTTATGTGCAAATGTTTATTTCCAGAAATTGTTTGCAGCAGTGACTTAGGGGAAAGGACAGTTTAATCATAAGGAAGCAATCAGACGCCAGGCGCCGTGGCTTACGCCTGTAATCCCAACACTTTGGAAGGCTGAAGCGGGCGGATCACCTGAGGTCGCCAGTTTGAGACCAGCCTGACCAACATGGAGAAACCCCGTCTCTACTAAAAATACAAAAAATTAGCTAGGCATGGTGGTGCATGCCTGTAATCCCAGCTACTCGGGAGGCTGAGGCAGGAGAATCGCTTGAAGCTGGGAGGTGGAGGTTGCAGTGAGCGAGATCATGCCATTGCACTCCAGCTTGGGCAACAAGAGCAAAACTCCGTCTCAAAAAAAAAAAAAGAAAAAACAATCAGACAATCCCAGAAGTATGGGATGTTATACAAAACAACTGGCCTGGACTACGCAAAAACTCAGTGTCAAGATAGCCACAAAAAAGGAGAGGAGGCCGAGCACAGTGGCTCACACTTGTAATTCTAGCACCTTAAAGGCCAAAGCAGGCAGACTGCAGACTGGGGGAGGATTGCCAAAGGCCAAGAGTTCAAAAACAGCCTGGGAAACATATCAAGATTATCTCTACTAAAAAAAAAAAATTAATTAGCCGGGCATGGTGGCACCCACTTGTAGTCCTGGCTACTTGGTAGGCTCAGGTGGGAGTGTCGCCAGATTGAGGCTGCAGTGAGCCATGATTGTGCCTTTGCACTCCAGACCAGGAGACAGCAAGACATCATCTCGAAAACAAAACCAAAAGAAAAACAATCGCAAGATGGGCATTGGTTAGATCAGATCTCTTCCACTGTTATAATTTTCTCACTGTTATCATTCATGCAAAAGTGGTTTCAAACCTAAGCGTAAAAATGAACCATTTTTCCTGTATCTTTGAGTCTTCAATCTGAAAGTGCTTGTGTATACATGTTAAATAAATTTGTATGCCTTTTCTCCAATTAATCTGCCCTTTGCAAATTGATTTGTCAGCAACCTTGAGAGGACCAAAGCCCTTGGCCCCTACAAGGGATTTAATTGGCTTTTATTTTATTTTATTTTATTTTATTATTTTTCTTCTGGAAGTTGGCTGCCTTTCTAATTAAAAAAAAATACCATAGGTAATTCTTTTCTTTTTTATTTATTTTTTTAAATAATAAGGACAAGGTCTTGCTATCTTGCCCAAGCCAGTCTCAGACTCCTGGGTTCAAGCAATCTGCCACCTCAGCCTCTCAAAGTGCTGGAATTACAGGTGTGAGCCACCGTACCCAGCCAACTTATTCCTTTTATTTGTCATCCTTATGTAGTAGCTGAGACCACACAGGTGTGCACCACCATGCCTGGCTAATTTTTGTGTGTTTTTGTAGAAACAGAGTCTGGCTGTGTAGCCCAGGTGGGTCTCAAATTCCTGGCTTCAAAGAGTCTCCTGCCTCAGCCTCCCAAAGTGCCAGAATTACAGGCATGAGCCCCTGCGCCCTGCCTGTTTAACACCTTTTCAAATCACCTTATTTGAGGTGGTATTTATTCCTCTTCAAACTGCAGGGAAAGGTCTTCCAGGCCAATGGACCCATCGCTTCTAAAAGAGTTCCAGTGTTGGGTTCTGATCATGGCCTCTACTTAGAGGTTTATGTGCAAATATTTATTTCCAGGATCTGTTTGCAGCAGTGACTTAGGGGAAAGGACTTCTCCTATACCTTATGCTTCTATCATTTTCAGGCTCCTTTTGTGAACTAGGATGATTTAACTTTAGGATAAGTTCTGTTCTTGCATTTTATTTCTTTCACTAAAAGAAAAGATGAGCCAGACGCAGTGGCACATGCCTGTAATCCCAGCACTTTTGAGAGACCAAGGCAGGCGGATCACCTGAGGTCAGGAGTTTAAGACCGGCCTGGCCAACATGGCGAAACCCCGTCTCTACTGAAAATACAAAAATTAGCCGGGCAAGGTGGCTGGGGCCTGTAATCCTAGCTACTCAGGAGGCTGAGGCAAGAGAATCACTTGAACCTGAGAGGCAGAGGCTGTAGTGAGCCGAGATAGTGCCACTGCACTACAGCCTGGGTGACAGAGCGAGACTCAGGGTCAAAAAAGAAAAAAAAATGATGAATTGGCCTAAGTTGATTTTATCTTCAAATAAAGAAATAATAAGCAGGTAATGTTCTTTAGCATGTATAAGGCTGGCCAGGCACAGTGGCTCACACCTATACTCCCAGTGCTTTGGGAGGCTGAGGCAGGTGGATCACTTGAGGTCAGGAGTTCGAGACCAGCCTGGCCAACATGGTGAAACCCCCATCTCTACTAAAAATACACAAATTAGCCAGGGGTGTTGGCACATCCCTGTAATCCCAGCTATTTAGGAGGTTGAGCTATGAGCTACTGGGGAAGCTGAGGCAGGAGAATCACTTGAACCCAGGAGGCAGAGGTTGCAGTGAGCTGAGATCATGCCACTGTACTCCAGCCTGGGTGACAGAGTGAGACTCTGTCTCAAAAAAAAAATTAAAAATTAAAAAAAATTCTCATGTAAATACAATGTGACCCATGGTTCAGAGACTTATTTAACTCATTTATCAGGGAGCTGGCAAGATGGTAAAACTGGCTCAAAGAAAATTTGAGAAATTGAGGATATATAAACTGAATAAAGGATGCTGTAGCTGTGGGACCAGCCCAAACTGGGCCTATTCTGTTGATAACAAAATGTTGGCCGAGCACAGTGGCTCACGCCTGTAATCCCAGCACTTTGGGAGGCTGCGGCGGGCAGATCACCTGCGTTTGGGAGTTCGAGACCAGCCTGACCAATGTGGAGAAACCCCTGACTCTACTAAAAATACAAAATTAGTTGGGCGTGGTGGCGCATGCCTGTAATCCCAGCTACTCGGAAGGCTAGGCAGGAGAATCGCTGGAACCCAGGAGGTGGAGGTTGCAGTGAGCCGAGATCGCACCACTGCACTCCAGCCTGGGCAACAAGAGTGAAACTCCATCTCAAAAAATAATAATAATAAAGTTACCTTGTAGGTTTAACAGAACCAAAATTGCAAGTCATGTAGCCTGAGCATGCAAAATAGAAAACGTTTTGACCTCTAACTACACCTGGAACCAACAATTTCCTCCCCCAGGAACCAATAAGACTGGGACATAAACTGAGTACAGTGGCTCATACCAGTAATCCCAGCACTTTGAGAGGCTGAGGCGGGAGATCGCTTGAGCCAGGAGTTTGAGACCAGCCTGAACAACATAGCAAGACCCTGTCTCTATTAAAAAAAAAAAAACAAAAAACTGGGACATGATCAGAACCCAACGCTGGAACTCTTTTAGAAGCGAGGGGTCCATTGGCCTGGAAGACCTGAGGCTAAAATCTGCCTCAACATGCCTTAGCATAAACGGTCAAATTCCAGAGAGGCGCAGTGGTTCACGCCTGTAATCCTAGCACTTTAGGAGGCCAAGGCAGGCGAATCACCTGAAGTCAGGAGTTCCAGACCAGCCTTATTTCCACGCTTTCAATAATTCTTAACAGTGTTTCCAGGAGTTAGAGAGTTTATACTAAGGGTTCTCAGACTCCAGTATGACCTTCTGTTTTCCCCTGAGCTGAGATCCTGGGTGTCCTTCAACTGCTACCAAGCAAGGGGAAGAGAAGAAGGATGGAGACAATTTCATGTCCTTTAGAGCTTGAAGTCCATTAGAGATATGCTTCCATGTTCTGCAAAATCAATACAAAGTATATAAGAAGGGATTATAGGTGGAACAGAGATCATTAGATGAAGATTAGATGACCTTATGTGTGTAAAGCTTTTTGACATAGAGTAGTGCTGGAATAAATGCAGCAATGATGGTGAGAGTGGCCAATAAGGTGGAAGAAAAGTAAGAGCGCATGATGTGGCCTTCCCTGTGGCTTGGGCTTTTCACAGGGCCGGGTTCCTAGAAGAAGCAACCCAAGAGAGAAGGTCTGAAGAGCAGGCAAGGCAGAAGAGAGCAAGGCAGAAGCTGATGCAGGGCCAGGAGCCCCAAAGTGGTGCTTAGCCCGCTGGGTTCTTGGCTTTGCCCAGGAAAGAATTCAAGGGCAAGCCAGAGATAGAAGAAAACAGCTTTATTGAAGAGGCGATGTTACAGCTCGGTGACTGCTCCTGCAAGGTAGGGCTAGAGAGTAGCTGCTCAGGCCGTTTGCAGTCCTATTTATACGCACTTTTAATTGCATGCAGAGTAAGGGACGGTTTATGCAGAAATTTCTAGGGAAGGGGTAGTAATCATTGAGTCATTGCTATGGAAAGGGGTGGTAACGCCTGGGTGTTGTCATGGCAACAGTAAATTGACATGGTACACTGATGGGTGTGTCTGCTTAAAAGCTGCTTTTGCCCGGCCCTGTTTTACCTAGTCTTCAGTCTGGTCCAGTGTCCAAGCCCCGCCTATGGAGTCAGGTCCCACCTCCTATCTCAGAGCTACAAGAGTGCCTTTGGCCTCGTCTCTGAAGTCACACAGCGTTGCTTTCACTGCATTTTCTTCATCACAAGTGACTGCCTAAGGCCAGCCCAGATTCAAGAGGAGAGAGACTAAACTCCACCCATCAAGGGGAAGAGTGTCCAAGAATTTGCGACTATCTTCCATCAGTCATACCATCCTACTCAGAGTCAGAGTCTTCAGTATGATCTAGAATAATCAAAACAACATGGTACTGCCATAAAAACAGACCCAGAGACCCATGGAACAGAAGAGAGAAATAAATGCATACATCTAGAGTCCATTGATCTTTGACAAAGTTGCCAAGAACACACAATAGGGAAAGGACAATCTCTTTAGTAAATGGTGCTGGGAAAATGGAAAGTCCACACGTAGAAGAATGAAATTGGACCCTGATCTCATACCACATCCAAAAATCAATTCACAATGGATTAAACAATTAAATATAAGACCTAAGCCTGTAAAACTACTAGAAGAAAACTTAGGATAAAAGCTATTGACATTGATCTGAACTATTTTTTTTTTTTTTGATATAACCCCAAAAGCACAGGCAGCAAAAGCAAAAATAGACAAGTGAGATTACATCAAACTAAAAAGCTTTTGCCCATCAAATGAATCAATCAATAGTGTGAAAAGACAACCTATGGAATGGGAGAAAAGATTTGCAAACCATACATTTGATAATAGGTTAATATCCAAAGTTTATAAGGAACTCAAACAACTCAATAGCAAGGAAACAAACAATCTGATTATTCGTGTTCAGTCTGAACAACAATGCAAGACTCTGCCTCTAAAAGAATTTAATTTTTTTTCTTTTTGAGGCAAAATCTCACTCTGTCGCCCAGGCTGGAGTGCAATGGTACAAACTTGGCTCACCTCAACCTCCGCCTCCCAGGTTCAAGCGATTCTCCTGTCTCAGCCTCCTGAGTAGCTGGGATTACAGATATGTGCCACCACACCCGGCTAATTTTTGTACTTTTAGTAAAAACGGGGTTTCACCATGTTGGCCAGGCTGGTCTTGAACTCCTGACCTCCGGTGATCTGCCTGCCTCAACCTCCCAAAGTGCTGGGATTATAGGCATGAGCCACCACACCCAGCCAAGAATTAAAATTTAAAAATGGGCCAGGCACAGTGGCTTACACCTATAATCACAGCACTTTGGGAGGCCAAGGCAGGTGGATTGCTTGAGCTCAGGAGTTCAAGACCAGCCTGGGCAACATGGCAAAACTTCATCTCTATTAAAAATACAAAAAAATAGCCGAGCATGGTGGCACATGCCTGTAGTCCCAGTTACTCAGGAGGCTGAGGTGGGAGGATCACTTGAGCCTGAAGAGCGGAGGCTGCAGCGAGGCTGAGATTGTGCCACTACACTCCAGCCTGGGTGACAGAGGGAGAACCTGTCTCAAAAAAAAAAAAAAAAGTACATAATAAAAAATTTTAAAGTCTATGCTGGCAGTCCTGCCTATACAATTCCCTTTCAAACTTTGTAAGCTTGCTATTTATCTGCTTATACTTCACTCCATCCTCCAGAAACCACATCACTATTGTTTTCAAGAAATACCCTCTCTCTCTAGACCAACTTCTTCCTGTTTTAAGATCTGGTTTCTGAGGGAGCATGCCCTTAAAGCTTCCTAGAAACCCTTTTGTCTGACTGGTCGGCTTTTCACCAAGCACTACCTTTGTATTTTCAACAGTCATAACAAAGGGTCAGAAGGCCACACCTTTAATTTGATCCATATTCACAGGCTTTTTTTCACCTTGATAATCTTTTGTGGCTAGGCACGATGGCTCATGCCTATAATCCCAGCACTTTGGGAGGCCAAGGCGGGAGGATGGCTTGAGCCCAGGAGTTCAATATAAGCCTGGGCAATACGGCAAGACCCCATCTCTACAAAACATGTTTTAAAAATTAGCTGTGCATGGTGGCACATGCCTGTGGTCCCAGCTACTTGGGAGGCTGAGGCGGGAGGATCACTTAAGCCCAGGGAGTTCAAGGCTTCAGTGAGTCATGATTGCCCCACTGCATACCAGCCTGGGCAACAGAGCGAGTGAGACTCTGTCTAAAAAAAAAAAAAAAATTGTGGGTGGAGAGACTGGAAGTGAGAAAAAGTTTTCTTTTCCATCCTAGCAAGTCATAGTCCCCCTGTATTTCCCCTGAATTCTTCTAGAAAATCAGTCAACCCCTATAGTTCACCCCACTCTTGGTATGCATTATCATACTCAGCCACATGAGCAGCCAGCATTATGTCTGGAGGTTCCCTTATCCAAATACAACAGTTCATCAGAAATACTTTCCATCTTCTAAGTAACCTCGGGCGATAGTTTAGCAATCGTTTCACTACATCATAACATAGGTCACCAGTTTTTCTGCCTCCAATAACAATTTTCTCACTATTCTGCAGCTTTGCTAACAGTTTCCTTTGTGATTTTCTACCTTTCATCCACTATGCAGTGCCAAGGCCACTGGCACATACTTGAGGATTTTGTTAGGGCAGTGCCCAGCTCCTGGTACCAATTTCTGCAACCGTTAGCTAACAGTTATCTATTGCCACAATGATACTGCATAGCAAATCATATCAAACACTGTGGCATAAAACAAGAAGCACTTATTGAGCCTATGCATCTAAGAGTCAGTTGGTAGGTCAGCTGGGGACTGACTGATTTTTTTTTTTTTTTTGAGGCAGAGTCTTACTTTGTTGCCCAGGCCAGAGTGCAGTGGTGCAATCTTGGCTCACTGCCTTTGCCTCCTGGGTTCAAGCGATTCTCCTGCCTCAACCTCCTGGGACTACAGACACGCACCATCAAGCCCAACTTATTTTTGTATTTTTTAGGAGAGACAAGGTTTCACCATGTTGGCCGGGCTGGTCTCAAACTCCTGACCTCAGGTGATCTGCCCACCTCGGCCTCTCAAAGTGCTGGGTTTACAGGCGTGAGCCACTGAGCCCAGCCAGACTGACTGATTTTGAATGCCTTGTCTGAGACCACATTCCTCCACTCTGAATGGTCTTCCACCCTCCAGAAAGCTGGTCCAGACTTGTCCTCATGGTGGAGATGAGTTATAGAGTTAGAGAGAGAATGAGAAGTATGAAATTCCTCATGAGCACTAGTCTTGAAACTGATGAACCATCATTTCTACCACATCTTATGGGTCAAACAAGTCATAAACCAGTTCTCATTCAAAGGATGGAGAAAAAAAATCTACTTCTTTTTTCTAATTATTATTGAGACAGAGTCTTACTCTGTCATCCAAGCTGGAGTGCAGTGGCACAATCATGGCTCATTGTAGCCCTGAACTCCTGGGCTCAAATGATCCTCCTGCTTCAGCTTCCTGAGTAGCTAGCCACACACTACCATGTCTGGCTAATTTCTTCTTTTAGAGACAGGGTCTTGCTATGTTGCCCAGGCCTGGTCTGGAAATCCTGGCCTCGAGCAGTCCTCCTGTCTTGGCCTCCCATAGTGCTGAGATTACAGGCATGAGCCACCACGCCCAGCCAAGAATCTATGTCTTTTTTTTTTCTTTTTCTAGACAGAATCTCACTGTGTCACCCAGGCTGGAGTGCAGTGGCGGGATTCTCCAGGAGAATCACTTGAACCTGGAAGGTGGAGGTTGCAGTGAACCAAGATATCGCGCCACTGTACTCCAGCCTGGATGACAGAGCCAGACTCTCTCAAAATATATATATTAATTGGATTCAAATTCTCTCTCTCTCTCTCTCTCTCACACACACACACACACACACACACACACACACACACCTCTGCTGTAAAGATTTTAAGCAATATGGAGCCCCTGATCCCAGCTGCCTTAATGGTTTAGTCTACAACATGGTTACAATCATCCTCAAGTCATCCCGAAATAGTGGCAGTGAATTACAAAGATGCTGCAGCCACCGCAGGCACAGTCTTGGGAGCAACAGCAAACCTGGACTACCTCTCAAATTTTTGTTTGTATCCCCTCACATTATCACCAAGTTTTTCTGCCTTCCTCTATTTGTAGCTTCTTATTTTAGTTCACTTCATTTTCCTAGAACCATTTTTATATCACTTCCGGATCTAATAAACCATCATTTTACTTAGAGCAATTTCTATTCTTAGAAAATCAGAGGGCCTTTCAGCTTCTGCTGTAAGGTGACTCTTAGTCCAGAGAACAAGATTATATCCGCTTCTGTAGGATTACAGCAAATTACTATGATTTCTACTTCTTCCTGTGATAATATATGTTGTCACCTAAGTCTGGAACTTCCTTTGTTAAATATTTGTGACTCTCCAGGCAGCCTGAGGGTGAGAACAATAGATCTGTCTCCAGCCTAGCCTGGGAGCTGCCTTAAAGGAGCCGCACACTTAGTGATTGCAGAGATGCTGGTGGGAAGCAGCAAGTAGACTAGCTGTTGTGTTTTATTAATTTGGTGCTTGGACCAGGAAAATTAAAATGCAGTCTTGTGCTCTGTGGATGAGACCTTACTGCCTCAGAATAGCTACTTCTGATAGGGCAGAGAACGATAAGTCACTTAAGTCATTTGTTGATGGTCATGAATCATGGCATCATGACGGGGACCACCACCAGCAAAATCAAATCAAATTATTTTGTTTGTTCACATTAATCAGAACAAAGGGAAATTAATTGGAGAGTCAGTATATAAGATGCATGTTTTAATATTACAAGATCCATAAAAGAATGGTAATAAGCCGGGCACAGTGGTTCACGCCTGTAATATCAGCACTTTGGGAGGCCAAAGCCTGGCGGATCATGAGGTCAGGAGTTCGAGACCAGCCTGGCCAATATAATAAAACCCTGTCTCTACTAAAAATACAAAAATTAGCCGGGCATGGTGGCGCGCACCTGTAATCCCAGCTACTCAGGAGGCTGAGGCAGGAGAATCACTGGAACTGGGAGGCAGAGGTTGCAGTGACCCAAGATCACACCACTGTACTTCAGCTTGGGCAACAGAGCGAGACTTCATAAAAAAAATGGTAATGAATATAATAACTATCAAGAAAATAAAGTATTTATAAACCATAATGAAAATGTAGGCTGGAGGCCGAGTGCTCTGGCTCACCCTATAATCCCAGCACTTTGGGAGGCTGAGACAGGCGGGTCGTTTGAGCCCAGGACTTTGAGACCAGCCTGGGCAACATAAGGAGACCCTGTCTCTACAAAAAAATTAAAAATTAACTGGGTGTGGTGGTGTACACCTGTAGTCCCAGGTACTCAGGAGACTGAAGTGGGAGGATTATTTGAGCTCGGAAGGTTGAGGCCACGTTGAGCTGTGATTGTGCCACTGCACTCCAGTCTGGGTAACAGAATGAGATGAAAGAAAGAAGGAATGAAGGAAGGAAGGAAGGAAGGGAGTGAGGGAGGGAGGGAGGAAGAGAAAATGTGAATGGATGAATCTCATAAAAATAATGCACAAAAAAACAGATACAAGTGTGTATGTGAGAAAACATTTTAAATGGTCCATTTCTGAGGCATGATAAATCTAAGTACTGGCAGCCAGCCTGCAAATATAACAAACTGCAGGGCTCATCCACCTAGAAGGTCACAATAAGGGAACAGAATGTAGAGGCGGGGTCAGCCCATAAAAGGGAAGAAAGTGGCCGGCGCAGTGGCTCACGCCTGTAATCCCAGCACTTTGGGAGGCCGAGGCAGGCGGATCACGAGGTCAAGAGATCGAGACCATCCTGGCCAACATGGTGAAACCTCGTCTCTACTAAAAATACAAAAATTACGCAGGTGAGTGTGTTTCTCACATAGATAAAGTTCAGAATACAAACCAAACTAAACTACAGCATTAGGAATGCACCCTTAGGTGGTAAAATGAAAAGAAAAACAAGAAAGTGATTACCATAAGTATCAGCATAGTTGTTACTTCTGCGTAGAAAGGAAAGGATAGTGATAAGAAGAAGAGGAAGGGTTCTGGGATGCTGGAAATATTCCACTTCTTGGACTGTGTGGTAGTTAAACGGATGTTCACTTTGTGATAAATCATTCAGCTGTATATTTATGTTTTGTTTACTTTTCTGCATGTTATATTGCACAAATAAGATTCGAAAAACAAATGTCCAAGGTAGTCAATGCAATGTTAAAGATAACACGAAAAGACTGTAATTACAAAGCTTTGGTAGCTAGGACGATCCGTATGGATGAAGACAGGCAAAGGAATGAATGAAAAACAATTTAAAAATCCAGAAAAGACCATGAATCTAAAATATCTTGATATATAATAGAGGTGGCACATAATCACTGGAGAACAAAGAGAAACACCCTAGGACAGAACCTTGAGAACGCCTACAAGAAGCGATCTTGTAAGCGTTCCTCATAAACATCAAACTGGTTGAAATGTCCCCCGCCCTTCGTCGTTGGGATGTTTCAGATGCGTTGGCGCTTCCCGGCCTCGAGGGGGCATCTGGAGAACGGCGGGCGCCGGGAAAGTACGCATGCGCACTGCTCCCAGGGTTTGCGGTAAGAATCTATGCTCTCGCGCCCGGTTACGCACACTGCATTTACAGCGCGCATAGCGCCCACGCACGCGCACTGGGGTGTCCGCCGGGCATCGCTCTGTCCAGTTATTCCAGTTTCTCTGGGAGCAGCCGAGTTGACCCCACGGTCTGAGATGTCCAAGCTGCCCGCAGACAGCAGTGTCCCGCAGACAGGCGCGGCGAATGGTGACAGAGACGTCCCGCAGGCGGAGGTAGGCCGCGGGAGGCGGGAGCCGGCCCCGGCACAGCCTGAGGAGGCCGGGGAAGGCGCGATGGCGGCGGCCAGGGGAGGCCCGGTGCCGGCGGCCAGGGAAGGTCGGATGGCGGCGGCCAGGGCAGCCCCGGCGGCGGCAGCCAGGGGAGCCCCGGTGGCAGCGGCGGCGTTGGCCAGGGCAGCCGCGGCGGGCAGGGAAAGCCCGGCGGCGGCGGCGGCCAGGGAAGCCCGGATGGCGGAGGTCGCCCGCTTGCTGGGGGAGCCAGTGGACGAAGAGGGTCCCGAGGGCAGGCCCAGGTCCAGACACGGGAACGGAGGCCTGGCTGCGTTGCCCTATCTCCGTCTCCGCCACCCACTTAGCGTTTTAGGCATCAATTACCAGCAGTTTCTCCGCCACTATCTGGAAAATTACCCGATTGCTCCCGGCAGAATACAAGAGCTTGAAGAACGCCGCAGGCGATTCGTGGAAGCCTGCAGAGCAAGGGAAGCAGCGTTTGATGCCGAATATCAGCGAAATCCTCACAGGGTGGACCTCGATATTTTAACCTTTACGATAGCTCTGACTGCCTCTGAAGTTATCAACCCTCTGATAGAAGAACTTGGTTGCGATAAGTTTATCAATAGAGAATAGTTATGTGGTGACACTACTTCAAGAGAACCTCTGCATTCCAGTCATACCAATCCTGCAACTTGATTTTCAGAAGTCAAGAGTATATCGCGATAAGACAGTGCACAGGTGGAGGGGAAAAAAAGGGGGAGGGGGAAGCTTATCTTGAAAAAGCATCACAGAAGTAGAAAAAAATGTCGAAAGCATTATAACTGTAACGTTCTTTGAGTTTGTGATTGATCCACATTTTTCCCCCTGCATTATGGAAAATGTCTCTCAGCATTGCTTTATTACAAAGTAAAGGATGGTTTTATAAAATTGAGACTGATGAAACATCAATACTAGAGCCCATGAGGATGAAAGAAATTATCAAATAGTGCTGAACAGAATAAGATGTTAACGCTGAGTTAT
The DNA here is from genome assembly GCF_000001405.40 of Homo sapiens. Taxonomy (NCBI): domain Eukaryota; kingdom Metazoa; phylum Chordata; class Mammalia; order Primates; family Hominidae; genus Homo; species Homo sapiens. The sequence continues at coordinate 39,538,981 of NC_000019.10, read as the reverse complement.
TAGGACTGGAAGGCTATGAAAAGAACTTGAAATTGTCGGAATATGTGCTCTCTTCATGTCATATTCAATAGAAGTTTCTAGTTTAAGATTGATTTTGTGTTTTCTTAGGCATTTCAAGTGACAAGCAAAGTAAATGTATATATTATGTGATAAATCATGTTTTCAAGAACGTCAAATTTCTGGACTTTTTTCTTTCAATTTTTAATTTTTAAAGTTTTTTTGGTATTAAAAAATCTATTCACAAGCCAAAAAATATATAAAATATACAGCGAAAAGCCTTCCATTCTTGTTTTCCTCCATCCAGTACCAACGATGACCTCTAATAGCCACAGTTTCCTTTCCGTCCTTCTAGTTTCCTTACGTGTACACAGGCACATATAAATCTGGGTTTACTTGTTTTATTTCTTCACAGAAGTCGGCATATTATATTTACTGGTTTATACATTGCTTTCTCATTAAGAACATATGTTGACCCTTCCAAACCACTGTATTTCCTCATTATTTTTTAAAGTGGCATTTTATTCCATTCTGAGGTTATGTCCAAATTTACTTAACCAGGGATATATTGACGGACATTTAGGTTGTTTCCCATCTCTTTCTTTGGGCAGAATAAAAAATTGCTAGAGTAGTTCATCTTGTACAATTGCTAGAGTAGTTCATCTTGTATATCATGTGGCATGTGCACAAATATAGTATTGCTTCAATTCAAAATTCACTTCATATTTGAACATCTCTGAAATGTGGGTGCATCTTATATTTGATGCTGTAATAGATCATTTTTTCCTTGGGTTTTCACGAAACTAGTGATTTTTTTTTTTTAAGAGGGAGTCTCACTCTGTCGCCAGGCTGGAGTGCAGTGGCGCAATCTCGGCTCACTGCAACCTCCGCCTCCCAGGTTCAAGTGATTCTCCTGCCTCAGCCTCCTGAGTAGCTGGGACTGCAGGCGCCCACCACAACACCTGGTCAATTTTTGTATTTTTAGTAGAGACGGGGTTTCACCATGTTGGCCAGGATGGTCTTGATCTCTTGACCTTGTGATCTGCCCACCTTGGCCTCCCAAAGTGCTGGGATTACAGGTGTGAGCCACCGCGCCCAGCCCTAATGATGTGTCTCATGATCAATAGCTACCTAGATTCCTTTTTACATGTAATATCTGTAGGCTGATGCCCCAGAAATGAGAATTCTGGGCCAAAGTTACTCCTTTGAGATTTTATGAATATTGCTATGCAGCATTCTATATGTGTCCTGCTTTGCACTCCCACCAGCAATTAATGATCATAGATGTTTCGTTACAGCCCAGCCAACACACTAAATCATCAATAATATCTGGCTTTTGCGAATCTGATAGTTGAAAAATGGTATATCAGTTTTAATTCGCTTTTATGATGAGCGAAGTTAAATTTTTTTTTTTTTTTGAGATGGGAGTTTCACTCTTGTTGTCCAGGCTGGAGTGCAATTGTGCGATCTTGGCTCACTGCAACCTCCACCTCCCAGGCTCAAGGGATTCTCCTGCCTCAGCCTCCCAAGAGCTGGGATTACAGGCATGCACCAACACACCTGGCTAATTTGTATTTTTAGTAGAGATGGGGTTTCACTATGCTGGCCAGGCTGGTTTTGAACTCCTGACCTCAGGTGATCCACCTACTTCGGCCTCCCAAAGTGGTGGGATTATAGGCGTGAGCAACCGCACCCAGCCAGTTAAATATCTTTTAAGAGTCATATATATTCCCTTTTCCATAAACTCTCTGTTCATACTCTTTTTTTTAGACAAAGTCTCACTCTCTCGCCCAGGCTGGAGTGCAGTGGTACCATCTCAGCTCACTGCAACTTCCGCCTCCCAGGTTCAAGCGATTCTCGTGCCTCAGCTTCCCAAATAACGGGAATTACAGGCACATGCCACTTCACCTGGCTCATTTTGTATTTTTAACATGGGTTTCACCATGTTGGCCAGTCTAGTCTCCAACTCCTGACCTCAGATGATCCTCCCTCCTTGGCCTCCCAAAGTTCTGGGATTATAGGTGTGAGCCACCATGCCTTGTTCATATTCTTTATCCATTCCCCTCCCAGATAATTTTGTCCTTTCTTCATTGAATCCAGTAGCTATTTATGATACTCATGTTAGTGATATGAGGTATGATAATAGCTTGGGATATGAGTTACGAATATTTTTTCACAAGTTGTCATTAGATTTTGGCTTTTTGGAAAGCCTTTGGCCATGGTAATTTTTGTTGCCTATTTTCCTTTAAATTTGCAGGAGGCCGGGCACAGTGGCTCACATCAGTAATCCCACACTTTGGGAGGCTGAGGCAGGCAGACCACTTGAGCTCAGGAGTTCAAGACCAGCCTGGGCAACATGGCGAAACCCTGTCTCTATGAAAAATATGAAAAATTAGCCTGGTGTAGTGGCACAAGCCTCTAATCCCATCTACTCTGGGGGCTGAGGTAGAAGGATCGTTTGAGCCCAGCAAGCTCCAGCATGGGTGACAAAGTGAGATCCTGTCTCAAAAAATAAAAAATAAATAAACCTGCAGTATTTTGAATCCTAAGGTAGTCTTGGGTGTGTGTGTGTGTGGTTTCATTGTCCACATTTGAATCTTTGAGCCATTTGAAATTTATTCTCAGGTACAATATAAGGATCAAATTTTTTTTCAATATATTTTCCATTTTTACTGTGCATACACATATATACAATGTATTTTTTAAATGAGCTTTACAATATGTGGTTTTATCACTTGGTTTACAACTAAATACACTGAACATTTTCTCTTCTACAACAGTTAAAAGAATTGCATAGCTTGGAGGAAGCATAATTTATTAAGCAATTTTGTTGGGGACATTGAGGTATAATATTTTTTCTAAAAAGACTTTTTACAAAGGCTGAGGCAGGAGAATCACTTGAACCTGGGAGGCAGAGGTTGCAGTGAGCCGAGATTGCGCCACTGCACTCCAGCCTGGCGACAGAGCGAGACTCCGTCTAAAAATCAATTCTTTTTACAATGCCTTTAGGAAAAAAAGGGGAGTCCTTGTCTTATATATCTTTCATTAGATGATGGAAACTTGCCCTTCCATTTAGCCTTTTAACTTGCTTCTCTACACCCACCTAATCACCAGTTAAATAACCTATTTTATGTTTTCCAACCTCTCTCTCCCATTTGCTTCCTCTTTCTTACCCAGTCTCCCTGCACACATGCAGACAGACTTCCATTCCTTCATCACTCTGGTTCCTCGCCTTAAAGAGGCTGTCTTTCCTTTTAAAGAGACAATGTTAATTGATTTTGATCAACTCTACTCAAAACTGTATCCTAAGGTCCACATTAAGATTAGTCTTTAATAATCTGAAGATATAATTCAGTCGTTTAAAAGAACATATTAAGAAGACCTTGGTAGAATTACATGTATCAATAAACACGAGGCCTTGAGCAGTTGCTCACGCCTGTAATCCCAGCACTTTGAGAGGCTAAGGCAGGCAGATCACAAGGTCAGGAGTTTAAGACCAACCTCGCCAATATGGTGAAATTCGGTCTCTACTAAAAATACAAAAAAGTTAGTCGTGCATGGTGGCACATGCCTGTAATCCCAGCTACTGGGGAGGCTGAGGCAGGAGAATTGCTTGAACCCAGGAGGCAGAGGTTGCAGTGAGCTGAGATCGTGCCACTGCACTCCAGCCTGGGTGACAGAGCGAGACTCCATCTCAAAAAAAGAAAGAAACACTGGACTTGGGTGCAGTGGAGATATGGCTGACTTTCTTTTGAAAAAAGAAGTCGTTTTTTGGGAGAGGGCAGGGCAAAGAAGTAAGAAGTTGTTGATACTGTAAGGAAATGTTAGAGACCATTTTGGAAATATACTCATTATTTTAAGTAAACTAACAAATGATCATCTTTCATTGTAGCAGCAGCTTTTACTGGTCATGAAATTTGCATGATATCTAAAATGGTATTTCTGGAAATAGGTCAGTGTCAATTAATAGTAACTTTGTATAGAAAGGCAGATGCCAGCTAGCATAAAAGTGGTACATGCAGACGGTGGTAGTTCTGGAGTCCTGGAAGCCATGAGATGCTCATCCATCACAAGGCCATCACAGCCAGTAAAATGCCTGAGGAAAGCAGCAGAGCTGGCCGTGCCAGCATTTACACAGGGAACACTTCTTGGGCAGCCAGGTGTCATGGAGCACAGACCCACAGTTCTCTTTGCACACATCGTGCTCACAGTTCCATCCATAGAAGGACGGGGGGCAGGCACAAAAGGACCCCAATGCAGGTTCCCCCATTCAGGCAGCAGGTTCTGCTTAGCTCCTTACTGTCCTGTATCCCCATGGGCAGCACACGCTGGGAAGACTGAGGCCGAATTGCAGGCTCCTCCTGGGGCCGAATGCTGTCATTTCTGAAGGCCAGGTCTCCCTGAGATGGACACGCAAGTTCCTGATGACCCAGCCCAGCAACTAATCCCAGTTCAAAGGCTTCAAAATGGCCATGATCCAAATCACACTGGAAGAGAAGCAGGCCATCTTCCTGCAGTCCATAGCTCTGTTGTTGTCCCCTTGAAGTTACCTTCCAGAGAAGTCCTTTCTTTTGTCTTCTGTGGAATATCACAAATGTGCTTTTTGAAGCATATATGTCACATGTAGGAGAACTCCATCTCTCCAAGAGAACTGTAGAAACAAAGTAAGGTACACGTGAGTCAGAATGATTTCCAACCCAATCAGCTCCCAGACACGACCTGTGATAGGTCAGAATTTTTAGATGGATCCTCCTGAAGTTCAATTGCCAGCAACTCTCATATTTGGATTCCAGCTAAATTCAAAGGATTTTTTTTCGAGACAGGGTCTTGCTCTGTCATACAGGGCTGGAGTGCAGTGGTGCAATCATAGCTCACTGCACAGTCCACCTACCAAGCTCAAGTCATCCTCCCACCTCAGCCTCCTGAATAGCTGAGACTACAGGTGCACATGCCACCATGCCTGCCTAATTTTTTTTTTCTGTAGGGACAGGGGTCTCACTATGTTGCCCAGGCTGGTCTCAAACTCATGGGCTCAAGCGATCCTCCCACCTTTGCCTCCCAACTTGCTGGGATTACAGGCATGAGCCACTACACCCAGCCACAGCTGACTGATTTTAAATGGAACATAGACTTTCACGTTTTGGGTTATCATCAGGATCAGAGCTAGCCACACAGAAAGGCTAACCATATCATTAGAGAGTTGGGGCTTGGAGCCATGTGATATCAGGTAGGAGGCTGGAGATTGACTTCAACAAAATGGACGATGGTTTAATCAAGCATGCCTAGGTAGTAAAACCCCAGTAAAAACTCTGGACACCAAAGCCTGGGTGAGAGTCCTATGTTAGCACTACCCCCACACTTATTGCCACACATGGACGACAAAGGGTAACACATCCCTAGGAACACAGGAACTTCACATTTGGAACCCTCCCCATCCCAGATTGTGCCTTATACATCTCTTCTAATCTGTGTCCTTTGCCTGTAATAAGCATGACTGTGAATATAACAGATTTCAATGAGCTCTGGGAATTATCAAACCTAAAGGTGGTTTTGGGAAACCCCCAAACTTCCAGTGTCAAAATATTACTTACAGGCCAGGCCGAGTGGCTCAGGCCGGTAATCCCAGCACTTTGGGAGGCCAAGGCAGGATGATCACTTGAGTCCAGGAGTTCGAGACCAGCCTGGGCAACATAGTGAGACCCAATTTCTACAAAAAATAAAAAATCAGCTGGGTGTGGTTGTGTGCACCTGTAGTTCCAGTTACTCCAGAGGCTGAGGCAGGAGGATGGCTTGAGGCTGGGAGGTCAAAGCAGCAGTAACCGAGATCGCACCACTGCACTCCAGCCTAGGCGACAGGGCGAGACCCAGTCTGAAAAAAAAAAAAAAAAGACAGGAGCTGGAAAATGACCGTATAAGGAACTTTACATTAATACTGAAGTGGTTGTAATTTAAGATACCGCGCAGTCCGCAGGTCCTCAGGCGCTCAGAGGACCAGAGGCGGCTACAGACGTAATGGCTACTCAGGACCGCTAGGGAACGCTAGAGGATTGGCCACCGTGCTTACGCATGCGCACACTCTGGCACGCACAGCGTTTACGCGCTCACTGAGACTCGCGCATGCGCAGGTCTCGCATACAGCAGTGCAGTGCCGTTATTCCAGTCTCCGTAGAAACGCTGGGACTATGGCGGAGCCGACTGGGCTGTTGGAGATGTCCGAGCTCCCCGGAGATAGCAGTGTCCCACAGGTGGGCACCGCGAGTGGCGTCAGCGACGTACTGCGGGGGGCAGTCGGCGGCGGGGTTCGGGTGCAGGAGGCTCGGGAAGGCCCAGTGGCCGAAGCTGCGCGGTCCATGGCGCGGATGCCGGGCCCTGTGCCCGGGCCCATCCCCAGCAGCGTCCCGGGCCTGGCCTCCGCGCCAGACCCCCATCAGCAGCTCGCTTTCTTAGAAATTAACCGGCAGCTGTTGTTCCGCGAGTATCTGGATGGTAGCTCCATGATTCCGGTCAGATTACTACGGGATTTCGAGGAACGCCGCAGGCTGTTTGTGGAAGGCTGCAAGGCGAGGGAAGCAGCCTTTGACGCGGATCCCCCGCAGATGGACTTCGCTGCTGTCGCGTTTACGGTAGCGCTGACTGCCTCCGAGGCCCTCAGTCCTCTGGCCGACTGAGTCGGCTGTGATGATGACATTGGTGGCAAGGAATAGCCAAGTGACCCTTTTGGGATCAAAAGAACAGGCAGGCTGTGCCAGTTTAGTTAACTCAGTCATTAGGGGGAATGCAAACTGGAAGGGAATACGGCAATGTGCAATTGAAGGAGGAAGCACACTCCGAAATGGAAACAGACAAGACTGTTGAATCTTGTTTTCTTTCTTCTTTTTTAGTATTATTTAAATAGAGAAGGGAGTCTCGCATCCCTAGGCTGGTCCCGAACGCTTGGACCCGAGCGATCCTCCCGCTTCGGCCTCCCAAAGTGCTGGGATTACTTTACAGGCGTGAGCCACCGCGCCCGGCCGAATCTTGTTTTCAAACAGGTCCCAAGACACTTCTGACTTAGCACTTTGTTAGCAATGCATTTTCCTGCATTTGTGAAGAATCCTTCATGACTTTCACCATAAAGGATGGTTTTGCAAAGATATGAGAAAAAAAAAATGCCAATAACAGAACCCATAGAAATGAACCTAAGTGATGAAAGAAAACAAAGAAATAGAGTTGTCAGGAATCCAGGTGTACCTGAGTTACTAGGATTGGAAGGCTATTGAGAGGACTTTGAAATTTCACAATTTGTGGTCATGTCAACAAATCCTAGTGTAAGATTCATATTTGTGTTTTCTGAGGTACTTTAGATGAACAGTAAATATTCAATAGAAAAAACCACGTATTATATGATCAGTGTTTTCAAGTCTATGTGAAATTGGGTAGGTGTGGAATAAACTTGTTTTTTGTTAATTTTAAGCTTTTTATTTTATTCTAGAATATGTATTCTATTCACAAGACTCAACAAAAAAAAGTATCGGCCGGGCGCACTGGCTTACGCCTGTAATCCCAGCACTTTGGGAGGCCACGGCGGGTGGATCACCTGAGGTCAGGAATTCAAGACCACCCTGGCCAACATGGTGAAACCCCATCTCTACGAAAAATAAAAAATTAACTGGGTGTGGTGGCACGCGCTTGTAGTCCCAGCTACTCGGGAGGCTGAGGCAGGAGAATCACTTGAACCTGGGAGGCGGAGGTTGCAGTAAGCCGAGATCACGCCACTGCACTCCAGCCTGGTCAACAGAGTGGGACTCCGTCTCAAAAAAAAGAAAAAAAGTATCAAAAGATGCTGTGAGAAATCTCTCTTGTTGCTGTCCTTTGCCAAACTCAGAACTATTCCATGCAGGTGCCATTGCTTGTGGCTTGGAGTTTTGTTGTTGTTTTCTTGGTTTTGCTTGTTTTTTGCTTTTTCACTGTACGCCTTTCAGGTTTTCTAATGCATATGCAAATAAACATCAATCTAAATATTGTGCATTTTCCCTTTTAATATCAAGGTAGTTAACTTGCATCACGAGGTATAAATTTTTAAAAATATAAAATCAAGGTAACATATTGTATACCTCTATCAGCATCTTGGGTTTTTTCAGTTATATATGGAGAGATTTATATATCAGGGTTTTTTTTTTCTTTTTTTATATATAGAAACAGAGATGGGGCCTCATTATGTTTTCTAGGCTTGTCTCCAACTCTTGGCTTCAACTGTTCCTCCTGCCTCGGCTTCCCAAAGTACTAAGTGCTGGGCGTGAGCTACTCCACTGGGCGTTTTTTTTTTTACAACTACAATGTAAAGCCTTATCTTAGTATAATGAACTAGACACCTTTTGGACATCTGGGTTGTTTGCAAAATGTTTTAACATTTTCTATGCATTTATACGTGTTTACTCGTTTTCCATAATACACTGTTTTTTTTTTTTCTTTTTGAAACAGAGTCTTGCTCTGTCACCCAGGCTGGAGTGCAGTGGTGCAATCTCAGCTCACTGCAATCTCTGCCTCCTGGGTTCAAGTGATTCTCCTGCCTCAGCCTCTGGAGTACCTGGAACTACAGGCACGTGCCACCATGCCCGGCTAATTTTTTGTATTTTTAGTAGAGAAAGGGTTTCACCGGTTAGCCAGGATGGTCTCGATCTCCTGACCTCAAGATCTGCCTGCCTCAGCCTCCCAAAGTGTTGGGATTATAGGTTTGAGCCACCGCACCCAGCCACCTTATTTTTTGTTTGTTTTTGTTTTTTTTCTGAGACGGAGTCTCACTCTGTCGCCTGAACTGGAGTGCAGTGGCACCATCTCAGCTGACTGCAACCTCCACTTCCCGGGTTCAAGCTATTCTGCCTCAGCCTCCGAGTAGCTGGGACTACAGGTGCACCACTGTGCCCAGCTAATTTTTGTATTTTTTTAGAGAAAGGGTTTCACCATGTTGGCCAGGCTAGTCTCGAACTCCTGACCTCGTGATCCACCTGCCTCAGCCTCCCAAAGTGCTGAGATTACAGGCGTGAGCCACCGCACCCGGCCCCACCTTGGTATTTTTAATGTGTCACCAGAGTGCTGTCCTTGGGGCTCAACCAGTTTACCTTCCATTCAGCCAGGGATAGTTGTGCCTCTCGCCACGGCCTGGCTAATCTGACAGCTTTGGAAGCATCTGACAGTAAAAGATGGTTTCTCACTATGGTTTTAATTTGAATTTCTCTAATTACGAGTGAGGACGCATGTTTTCAAATGCTTAAGAGCCATTTGTTTTCATTTCTCAGCGAACTATCTGTCCATATTCTTATTTTTTATTGGCTTGTAAGTTATGTGTCAGTCACTAAAGAAGTTAGCCCTTTGTGATGACATGGAATATAGTTCACAGCAGTTCAGACTGCTGTGATCCTTTTGCCATGCAGAAAAATGTTGGGTGGGCGTGGTGGCTCACTCCTGTAATCCCAGCACTTTGGGAGGCCGAGGCGGGCGGATCACAAGGTCAGGAGATCGAGACCATCCTGCCTAACACGGCGAAACTCCGTCTCTACTGAAAATACAAAAATTAGCCGGGCGTGGTGGCGGGCGCCTGTAGACCCAGCTATGCAGGAGGCTGAGGCAGGAGAATGGCGTGAACCCGGGAGGCGGAGCTTGCAGTAAGCCTAGATTGAGCCACTGCACTCCAGCCTGGGCGACACAGCCAGACTCCGTCTCAAAAAAAAAAAAAGAGAAAAAAATTTTTAATGTAGCTGTGTATATTCAGTTTATTTCTTTTGCGGTTTCTAGACTTTGAGTCATGGGGCCGGGTGTGGCTCACTCCTGTAATGCCAGCACTTTGGGAGCCCGAGGTGGGCGGATCGCAAGGTCAAGAGATCGAGACCATCCTGGCCAACATGGTGAAACTCATCTCTCCTAAAAATACAAAAATTAGCTGAGCATGGTGGCGCGCACCTGCAATCCCAGCTACTTGGGAGGCTGAGGCAGGAGAATCACTTGCACTCGGGAGGCAGAGGTTGCAGTGAGCCGAGATCATGCCATTGCACTCCAGCCTGGTGACAGAGCGAGACTCCATCTCAAAAAAAAAAAAAAAAAAAAAAAAAAGAAAGGTCTTTGCCACTGCAGGATCATGAAGGAATCTGGTTTTTTGTTTGGTTTTTTTTTTTTTTTTTTTTTTTTGCCTCAGGTTGCACCCTACCTTCCCCCCACACTCATGAATAGTTTTAAGTTTTAAATGTTAACATTACAATTTTTATTCATTTGGAATGTTTTAGGTCCTAGTAGTGCTAGTCCACCCTCATTGCTCTTCTTTTCCAAAGTTTTTCAGGCTGTTCTTTGATTTTTTTTTTCTATTGTGGAACTTTAGGATCATCTTGACTAGTTTCAATTTTTACAAAAGCTGTTAGTATTTTTATATAGGTTGCATTCAATATATATACTGTTGAGTGAGAATTGACATCCTCACGATGTCATCCTATCCAGTAATGTGGTAAGTCTTTTCATTTGTCCCCAGATGTATTTTAAAGTTTCCTTCATATAGGTCTTGCATATTTTTGTTAAAAATATTCCAAGGTTTGTTTGGTTTTCTGTTTGTTGTTTATGGCTATTGTAAATGAGGTTTTATGGTGTGTAAATTTGAATGCTATCTTTTTTTTTTTTTTTTTGGTGCTCTATTAAACTTACTCTATTCTCTTATTGTTTGCAGTAGCTTTTCTTTGGTATACAATCATATCATCTACAAAGAACAATAGTTTTACCTCGTTCTTTTTTTTTTTTTTTTTTTTTTTTTTGAGACAGAGTCTCGCTGTCGCCCAGGCTGGAGTGCAGTGGCACCATCTCGGCTCACTGCAACCTCTGCCCCCCAGGTTCAAGCGATTCTCCTGCCTCAGCCTCCTGAATAGCTGGGATTACAGGCGCCCACCACCACACTCAGCTAATTTCTGTATTTTTAGTAGAGACAGGGCTTCACCATGTTGGCCAGGCTGGTCTGGAACTCCTGACCTCAGGCAATCTGCCCGCCTCAGCCTCCCAAAGTGCTGGGATTACAGGCGTGAGCCAGTGCGCCCAACTGGTAGAGAATGTTGTTAAAGGTCAGATCCGCGTTTGTGGATCTCTTTTCTCCCATGATGTATTCATATGTTTTTTGTTTTTTGTTTGAGACGGAGTTTCACTCTCGTTGCCCAGGCTGGAGTACAATGGCACAACCTCCACTCACCGCAACCTCCACCTCCCAGGTTCCAGCAATTCTCCTGCCTCAGCCTCCTGAGTAGCTGGGATTACAGGCATGCACCACCACACCTGGCTAATTTTGTATTTTTAGTAGAGGCGGGGTTTCACCATGTTGGCTAGGATGGTCTCGAACTCCTGACCTCAGGTGATCCGCCCGCCTTGGCCTCCCAAAGTGCTGGGATTACAGGCATGAGCCACCTCGCCCGGCAGTATATTCATATGTTAAATCATGTTCATAGGTTTTGTAGTAATGGTCCTTGCATTTGAAATGCCCCTCACTTAGACATAATACATTATTCCTTAGTATGATATTGAATTCCATTTTATTTTATGGAATAAAATAAAATTTTATTTAAGATTTTGTATTAGAATTCATAAGTGAAATTAGTTTCTAGTTTATCAACCTTTTCAGTATTTAGATCAACTGTATTTCATATATATCATTTCATATGAAGAGTACAGAAGTATTTTATTTTTTCCCTGCTCTGGAAAAAGCTGGCATTGGAATTATCTGGTTTTTAAAGTTTCACAGATTTTTATTCTGAAAACCATTCAGGGCTAATGCTTTTTGGGAGAGTAGTTCATTGATAATTTTCTTTTTCCTGTGAGATAAAATCAATAGAGTTTGTAGGGTACTTGTCTGAGTATTAGTATTTCTCTACTGACTTAGAATATAGCATTTTCAGGCCAGGTGCTGTGGCTCACGCCTGTAATCCCAGCACTTTGGGAGGCCAAGGCGGGTGAATCACTTGAGGTCAGGAATCCAAGACCAGCCTGGCCAACATGGCGAAGCCCCGTCTCTACTAAAAATACAAAAATTAGCTGGATGTGGTGGGGCACTCCTGTAATCCCTGCTACTCAGGAGGCTGAGGCAGGAAGGATTGCTTGAACCTGGGAGGTGGAGGTTGCAGTGAGCCAAGATCCCACCACTGCACTCCAGCCTGGGTGACAGAGCAAGACTGTCTCAAAAAAAAAAAAAAAAGGCCGGGTCCAGTGGCTCACGCCTGTAATCCCAGCACTTTGGGAGGCCAAGGCAGGCGGATCACCTGAGGTCAGGAGTACGAGACCATCCTGGCCAACATGGTGAAACCCCGCCTCCACTAAAAATACAAAAAATAGCTAGGTGTGGTGGCACGCACCTGTAATCCCTGCTACTCGGGAGGCTGAGGCAGGAGAATCACTTGAACCCGGTAGGTGGAAGTTGCAGTGAACCGAGATCGCACCATTGCACTCCAGCCTGGGTGATGTAGCACTTTCTGGCTTATTTTGCCAGAAAAAAAAAAAAAGAAGTGTGTTTCTTAATTCCTGAAGATGTTCAGATTTTTATGTTTCTTTTGTTACTGATTTCTGACTTAAGTACATAGTGGTCAGAGAATGTGGTTTGAATGACGCAAATTATTTAAAATGTATGGAGGCTTTATGGCACAACACATTGTTACATTTTGTAAATATTTCATTTGTGCAGAAAGGTATTCTCCAATTGTTAGATACAATTATATACATTTGTTCATTAGATCAGGCTTGTGGTTTATGTTCTACACACTCTTCTACATCCTGAATTATTTTTTGTCAGTTTCACCTGTCTCTAATTTAGGTGTATTTGACAATTTCACATTATAATATGATCTATAGTTTTCTCAACTTTTGCTTAATGTATTTTGTTTTTGTTTTGTTTTGTTTTTGAGACGGAGTCTCACTCTGTTGCCCAAGCTGGAGTGCACTGGTGCGATCTCGGCTCACTGCAACCTCCCCCTCCTGGGTTCAAGCGATTCTCCTATCTCAGCCTCCCGAGTAGCTGGGATTACGGGCGCGCACCACCAGGCCCGGCTAATTTTTGTTTGTTTGTTTGTTTGTTTTTTGAGACGGAGTCTTGCAGTGTCACCCAGGCTGGAGTGCAGTGGCGCGATCTCGACTCACGTGCAAGCTCCGCCTCCCAGGTTCACGCCATTCTCCTGCTTCAGCCTCCCAGGTAGCTGGGACTACAGGCGCCCCCCACCACGCCCAGCTAATTTTTTGTATTTTTTTTTATAGTAGAGATGGAGTTTCACCGTGTTAGCCAGGATGGTCTCGATTTCCTGACCTCGTGATCAGCCCGCCTCAGCTTCCCAAAGTGCTGGGATTACAGGCGTGAGCCACCGCGCCCGCCCTGCTGCTTAACGTATTTTGAAGCTGTTAATAGGTACATACAGTTTAGAATTGTACCATCCTCCTGCCCAATTAAAATGTTTATTATTCTGTAGTTACTACTTCATGTCTACGATGCAATTCTGACACTAGGAGTGAATATTCGTCTTCACAGGTTTAAGGACTCAGTCTTCCACAAGGCTGTCCTCACTCCAGACACCAGCCACAAGCTCTGGGGTTCCCAGACCTCCTTACTCCTGACCAACAGGCTACAAATTCAGGGGGTTCCCACTCCTCCTTCAGGGTCAATAATTCACTAGAGTGACTCACAGAACTGGGGAAAGTGCTATGATTTTATAGTTTTATTATAGCAAAAAAAAAAGAAAAAAAAAGATAAAAATCAAGATTAGCCAAGAAAGAAACACACACATGGCGAGGTCTGGGATGGTCCCAGTGCACAGTTTCCACGTCCTCTCCCTGTGGAGGCAGGACACATCAGTTTTCTGGCACATGGATTTGTGGTGATACGCAGAGTATTCCTAGCTGGGAAAGCTATCTGGGCCTGCGTGCACAAAGTTTTTTTGGGGGGTTTTCATTTATTTTTTTTCTGAGACGGAGTCTTGCTCTGTCACCCAGGCTGGGGTGCAATGGCCTTATCTCGGCTTACTTTAACCTCCACCTCCCAGGTTCAAGTGATTCTCCTGCCTCAGCCTCCCGAGTAGCTGTGATTACAGGCATGTGCCACCATGCCCAGCTAATTTTTGTATTTTTAGTAGAGGCGGGGTTTCACCCTGTTGGCCAGGCTGGTCTCCAACGCCTGACCTCAGATGATCCGCCCACCTCAGCCTCCCACAGTACTGGGATTACAGGCATGAGCCACTGCACCCGGCCTATTGGGGTTTTATTATGCAGGCGTGATTGACTGGATCATTGGTCATGGAACTGAAACTCAATCTCCAGCTTCCTTCCCCTCCCAGACTGTCAAGCTGATACCACGTGGCTCAAAGTCCAGCTTTCTCATAAGCTCATGGTGGCCCTTCTGTCACTGACAGCTGCCATTCTGATTCACCTAATTACCATAAACAAGAAGTGGAAGTGCACCGTTAGTCACCTTTTGAGTCTAAACTATCAAATATGGGCCGGTGGTGGCTCACACCTGTAATTCTGGCACTTTGGGAGGCCAAGGCAGGCGGATTGCCTGAAGTCAGGAGTTCGAGACCAGCCTGAGCAACACAGTGAAACCCCATCTGTACTAAAATACAAAAAAAAAAAAAATTAGCTGGGCGTGGCGGCGTGCACCTGTAGTCCCAGCTACTCGGGAGGCTGAGGAAAGAGAATCGCTTGAACTCAGGAGGTGGAGGTTGCAATGAGCCGAGATCGTGCCACCGCACTCCAACCTGGGAAACAGAGTGAGACTCCATTTCCGAAAAAAAAAAAACAAAAAAACTATCAAGTATGGCCCAAGGGGTCCACCATGTTAACGGTGCACCCCTGTCACTTGGGAAATGCCAAGGATTTAAAGAGTCCCTCCCAGCAACTGGACACAAAGGCCAACTAAATTCTCTACTATACGACAATATCTAATACTGTTTTTTACTTTAATGACTTTTATGTTAACGACAATTTTTTTTTCCTTTTTTTTTTTGAGATGAGTCTCGCTTTGTCCCCCAGGCTGGAGGGCAGTGGCGCAATCTCAGCTCACTGCAAGCTCCGCCTCCCGGGTTCATGCCGTTCTCCTGCCTCAGCCTCCGGAGTAGCTGGGACTACAGGTGCCCACCACCACGCCCAGCTAATTTTTTGTATTTCTTTTTTTTAGTAGAGACGGGGTTTCACCATGTTAGTCAGGATGGTCTCGATCTCCTGACCTCATGATCCGCCCATCTCGGCCTCCCAAAGTGCTGGGATTACAAGCGTGAGCCACTGCGCCAGGACTTTTTTTTTTCCTTTATTGAGACAGGGTCTCTCGATCTGTCGCCCAGGCTGGAATGCGGTGGCACAATCATGGCTCAATCATGGCTCACCGCAGCCTCGACCTCCTGGGCTCAAGCAATCCTCCAGCCTCAGCTTCCTGAGTAGCTGGGACTACAAGCGAATGCCACCATGCTGGGCTAATTTTTGTATTTTTTGTAGAGACAGGGTTTCCCTATGTTGCCCAGGCCAGTCTTGAACTCCTGGCCTCAAGTCATCCTCCCGCCTCTGCCTCCCTAAGTGCTAGGATTACAGGTGTAAGCCACCATGCCTGGCTCCTTTTAATTGCTAACTCATGTTCCTCAAAATATTATCTTTGGGAACTACCTGGGAAATGGTTCAGCATCTTCTTAGTTGACTTCTGTTTAATCATAACACATACTTGGGAACATTCCTAACCAGACATTAATTTAGATGAAATTTCAGACTTGTCAGATGGCAGGAATTTAGGTCCCAAATTTGTGTGAGTGCAGGCTTATTAACAGAAGGCTTTCTTTCAATCATTTGCTCACTAACAAGGTGGAGACTGCTAATCACCCCAACTGCCTACCTCTGTGAGAGGGGCATTTTTTCCCAGCCTACCCACTGGAGGGTACTGCCTCCTGGGGTTCCCGGCATCCACATGGTCTCCACTCTGGCATCTCATCCCGCTTGGGCCTTGGGTTCTGTCTTTTCCCTTTACATTTTGAGTCATGCAGGTTCTTGCCATCAAAATTAGCAGATTTCCTCACAGCAAGTACCAACTCCAACACCAACCACTTTTGGATTTATATTTCTGTGAGATTTCTGGACTCCAGGAGTTCCCTTACCTTCCCACCAGCTCAATTTTGCATTAAAAATATTTTTAAAATATTTTAGGCCGGGAGCAGTGGCTCACACCTGTAATCCCAGCACTTTGGGAGGCTGAGGTGGGCGGATCACAAGGTCAGGAGTTGGAGACCAGCCTGGCCAACATGGTGAAACCCCCTCTCTACTAAAGATACAAAAAATTAGCCGGGCGTGGTGGCGGGTGCCTGTAATCCTGGCTACTCTGGAGGCTGAGGTAGGAGAATCACTTGAACCAGGGAGGCAGAGGTTGCAGTGAGCCAAGATCGCACCACTGCATTCCAGCCTGGGTGACAGGGCGAGACTCCGTCTCAAAAAAATAAAAAATAAAAATATTTTATGAGGTATGTTAGGCGTTCTGAACCAGGGTGGTGTCACCAAGTTCATAAAAGTGTGATTAAAGCAAACCCCTGGCCAGGCATGGTGGCTCATGTCTGTAACCCAGCACTTCCGAAGGCCAAGGCAGGTGTATTGCTTGAGCCCAGGAGTTCAAGACCAGCCTGGGCAACATGAGGAGACCCCCGTCTCTACTAAAAATACAAAAATCATTAGCCTGCCTGGTGCAGTGGCTCACGCCTGAAATCCCAGCACTTTGGGAAGCCGAGGCAGACAGATCACGAGGTCAGGAGTTCGAAACCAGCCTGACCAACATGGCGAAACTCCTTCTCTATTAAAAATACAAAAATCAGCCGAGCATGGTGGGGCGCGCCTGTAATCCCAGCTACTCAGGAGGCTGAGGCAGGAGAATGGCTTGAACTCAGGAGGCAGAGGTTGCAGTGATCTGAGATCGCGCCACTGCCCTCCAGCCTGGGGGCAGAGTGAGACTCTGTCTCAAAAAAAAAAAAATCGTTAGCCTGGCATGGTCGCACGTGCCTGTAACCCCAGCTACTTGGGAGGCTGACGTGGGAGCATTGCTTGAGCCCAGGAGTTCAAGGCTGCAGTGAACTGAGATCATGCCACTACGCTCCAGCCTGGGTGACAGAGCGAGACTCTTGTCTCAAAAAAAAAAAACAAATCCCTAACTGTAGGGGGTGGAAAGTATCTTTCACATAGGAAATATCCTCTCATGTTTTATACTGCTTGACACATACAGATTTCACTGAGACAAACCCCATATATGTTTTGGGACTTTCCCCTACCCTCCAGCACTCTGTCTTAGCAGGCATGATAGATAACTTATTTCCTACTCACACCAGCATATCATTTGTATGTACAGGGCCAGCACATTATCCTGTCAGGTGTTGAAAACATCAGGCCTGAGGTGGCTCACGCCTCTAATCCCAGCAGTGAGGCTGAGGTGGGCGGATCACTTGAGGTCAGGCGTTCGAGATCAGCCTGTCCAACATGGCAAAACCCCATCTCTACTAAAAATACAAAAATTAGGTGGGTGTGGTGGTGCATGCCTGTAATCCCAGCTATTCGGGAAGCTGAGGCAGGAGAATTGCTTAAACCCAGGGAGGCAGAGGTTACAGTAAGCCAAGATTGTGCTATTGCACTCCAGCCTGGGTGACAGAGCCAGACTCCATCTCAAAAAACAAACAAAACAGAATTTGTGTTTTCTACTGTGTGAGCCATTGGCAGTCAAGTCTGCTGTGTGAGCCATTGGCAGTCAAGTCTGCTGTTACTAGTAGGCAAAAGCACTCTTAACTGAAATCTACTACTAACTGAAACTTACTAATTCTGTGATAAGCCTTCTGCTAATCCTTTCCCAAGCATAATTTAGTATGTAATTATCACAAAAATTCCACAAGTTAAATAGTGCTATGACGTCTATTTTATGGAGGAGGAAATGGAGGCTCAGAGAGGTGGCGTCCCTTGGTGGTGGTCACACAGCAACTAAGTGGTAAAGTCTGAGCCCCCCCTGCCTTTGCCCTTGACCTCCTGGCATGTGACCACTGACCCCACCATGCCAGGTGCAGAGTACGGAGCCCATAAATGTCCAATGAATGTGAAAATGCCTCTCCTCCAGCCCCAGGTCACAGAGACGCTCCCTACAACACTGGCATTCTAAAACCTATGGGTTTTTTTCCTTTTTTTTTTTTTTCTTGAAACAGGATCTCACTCTGTTGTCCAGGCTGCAATACAGTGGCATAATCATGGCTCACTGCAGCCTCCTGGGCTCAAGCCATCCTCCTGCCTCAGCCTCCCAAATAGCTGGGACCACAGGCACACACCACCACACCTGGCTAATTTTTTATTTTTTGTAGAGTTGGGGTCTCACTATGTTGCGCAGGCTGGAACATAGATCTTACAGGTTTAGAAAGTGGGCCCTGGAGCATAATCGAGTTTGGAGTGTCACGGGTTTGAGTCTGACTGCCATCCCCGTTTCCCTCACAACCCCAGAAAATGCCAATAAGATGGAAGGTTTTCAAAATGTATCTGGAACCAGGGCATGGGAAATGACGAATCCACAAAAGAAACAAACTGCCCTCAGGAGCAAGAGGAGTGGAGGCCAGACAGAGGACTGGAGCTACAGGACTAGCCTTCCAAGCTCCCCTCCCTCCCACCCCTGGGGCCAGAATATCAGGTGACTTCCACAGACCTCAGAGGTGAGTGTGGCGACAGCAGACACAGTCAGACTGGACACAGGGGTGCTGACTCTGCATGTATTCTCCTCTTCCCCTCCCTGAGCTCACCCCAGCCCCAGCCACCATCAGAAAAGGACCTGACTTGGCAACATTTCAGCCCTTCTCATCATCCAGCTGAGACTCCTAAGATGGGAGAGAAAGAAAAGAATTTTAAATAACAATAACAATGACAGCTCCATATAAAAATAAGTGTTTATATAGGGTCTACCATGCCTCAGGCAGTTATACTGTTTCCATGGACTACAATGCCCATTCTAGTTTCCTCACTATTTTTTCTTTTCCTTTTTTTTTTTTTTTTTTTTTTGAGACAGAGTCTCGCTCTGTCGCCCAGGCTGGAGTGCAGTGGCGCCATCTCAGCTCACTGCAAGCTCCGCCTCTCAGGTTCACGCCATTCTCCTGCCTCAGCCTTCTGAGTAGCTGGGACTACAGGCACCCGCCACCACGCCTGGCTAATTTTTTGTATTTTTAGTACAGACAAGGTTTCACCGTGTTAGCCAGGATGGTCTCGATCTCCTGACCTCGTGACCCGCCCGCCTCGGCCTCCCAAAGTGCTGGGATTACAGGGGTGAGCCATCCCGCCCGGCACTTTTTTTTTTTCTTGTAGAGACAGGGTCTTGCTCTGTCACCCAAGCTAGAGTGCAGTGGCCCAGTCAGAGCTCATTGCAGCCTCTAACTCCTGGGCTCAAGCAATCCACCCACCTCAGGCTTTCAAAGGGCTGGGATTACAGGCGTGAGCCACTGTGCCTGGCTAATTTATTTATTTATTTATTTATTTATTATTTTTTGTAGAGACAGAGTCTCATTATGTTGCTCTGGCTGGTCTCGAACTCCTGGGCTCAAGTGATCTGCCATTTTAGCCATCCAAAGTGCTAGACTTGTGCCCTGCCTCCTTGCTATTTTTCAAACTCACTGAACACAGTCCTACCCCAGGGTCTTACAGATGAGGCAACTGAGGCTCAGAAAAGAATGTAGGTGACTTGTCATGATTCTAACAGTGAGAACCGGCTGAGCTAGGATCAGGACTGAGACAGAGCCCTGCCCCATCCTCCTACCCGGCCTCCACCCCTCCCACCGCAGCCTTGGGAGCTCCACGCTCACCTCCAGCTCCACCCCTTGCCGGCTACCTTTTCTTGATTTCCTCATCGATAACGCTCACAATTTTCTGCAGCCTGGACTCGTTCACAAAGCCATCACCCCTCTGGGCACAGAGGGAAGAAAGCACACAGGTCTCCCACCCCCAGGACCTCAGCACCACCCCACCTCCCTGTCCCGGACCTTTACTCAGGATCACCTTCTTGGAATGGACCAGTCTCCCGTTCACAAACACCTCAAACTCCCCTGTAGCCTGGGCAGCTCTGTCCTCCTCCTGGGAGGAAATGGTGAGCGTAGGGGAGGCTAAGCTCTCTCCTCCAAGCCCCTTGGGGATCTCAGATCCCTGACCACCCCCCTCTCCCCCAGGACCCCCACACACTTACAAAGAGTAGGTGATTCGGAAATTGCTGCTCCAGGCTCTTTTTCAGTAGAATGTACTGAGGGGAGGAGATGGGGTCATGGGGTTGCAGGGGAGGGGAAACAGGGACTCCTCCCAGTCTTCCTGCCTCAGGCTCCCCCTACCTCCAAAGCCAAAACTACTCACCCGAAGGCTATAGCTTCAGAGGCCACTGGAGGCCAAGAGCAGGAGGAGAAAGTTAAGAGAGAGACCAGGGAAGACACCGCATCAGTATCTTCCCCAGCTCAGGGCACCCTATGAACACCTGAGTTAGATCATGTTCCTCCCCTGTTCAGAATCCCGAAGTAGTGCCATCTCACGCAGGGGAAAAACCAGTCCTTCCCGTGGCCTGCAAGCCACCACAGGATCTGCCTTCTCACCCCTCTGTCTCCATCTTCTCCCACTTCTCCCCAATTCATTCACCCTGTGCCAGCCACAGAAGCCCCTAGCTCATCTTTCTTTCTCTCTCTCTCTCTTTTTTTTTTGTTTTTTTGTTTTTTTGTTTTTTTGAGACGGAGTCTCGCTCTGTTGCCCAGGCTGGAGTGCAATGGCGCGATCTCAGCTCACTGCAAGCTCCGCCTCCCGGGTTCACGCCATTCTCCTGCCTCAGCCTCCCTAGTAGCTGGGACTATAGGCGCCCACCACCACGCCCGGGTAATTTTTTATATTTTAGTAGAGACCGGGTTTCACCATGTTGGCCAGGATGGTTTTGATTTCCTGACCTCGTGATCCACCCACCTCGGCCTCCCAAAGTGCTGGAATTACAGGCGTGAGCCACCGCGCTGGGCTTTTTTTTTTTTTTTTTTTTTTTTTTTGAGACAGAGTCTTGCTCTGTCGCCCAGGCTGGAGAGCAGTGGTGCGATCTCGGCTCACTGCAACCTTCCACCTCCTGGGTTCTAGCAATTCTCCCACTTCAGCTTCCCAAGTAGCCGGGATTACAGGCATGCACCATCACACCCAGCTAATTTTTGAAATTTTTTATAGAGACAGGGTTTCACCATGTTGCCGTGTTGCCCAGGCTGGTCTTCAACACCTGGCCTCAAGTGATCCACTCACCTTGGCCTCCCAAAGTGCTGGGATTATAGGCCCTGCCCCTAGCTCATCTTTCAATACCCCAGGTATGCCCTGCCTCAGGACCTTTGCACTGGCAGTTCCCTCAGCCAAATGCTCTCCCCACAGCATCCACACAACTCCTTCTCTCCTTCCTTCAGGGCTTCGCTCATATACCCCCTTCTCAGTGAGGCCTTCCTGACCACCCCAGCTAAAACTGCAACCCCCCAAAATGCCTTTTGTTCACAGTACGGATCACCTCCTCACATATGAGATCATTTTCTACAGGTCATATTATTGTTTTTTTGCTTGCCCCTCCACACCAGCCCATGGGAGCCACAAGGACGGGGATCTCGGTCTTGTTCACT
Organism: Homo sapiens; assembly: GCF_000001405.40. Classification (NCBI taxonomy): domain Eukaryota; kingdom Metazoa; phylum Chordata; class Mammalia; order Primates; family Hominidae; genus Homo; species Homo sapiens. The sequence continues at coordinate 39,517,361 of NC_000019.10, read as the reverse complement.
GCTGTGTCCCTGATGCCAATAGGACCTGGAACATGGTGGGTGGTGAAGAAGTAGTTGTCGAATGAATACATGAATACACGAATCCATGGAGTCAGAGAAAGAGACAGAAAAGATAAGATGGAGAGAAAGAAAGAGGCCAGAGGTGAGGGAACCGAGATAGGGAGAAGCAGAAACACACAACACTCTGGGAAAGGAAAGACACAGGCTGGGCACGGTGGCTCACACCTGTAATCCCAGATCTTTGGGAGGCTGAGGCAGGAGGACTGCTTGAATGTAGGAGTTCAAGAACAGCCTGGGCAACATAGTGATACTGCCCCCGCACCCCATCCCCGACCCCATCTCTACAACAAAATTTAAAAATTAGGGGCCAGGCGCGGTGGCTCACACCTATAATCCCAGCACTTTGGGAGGCCAAGGTGGGTGGATCACGAGGTCAGAAGATCGAGACCAGCCTGGCCAACATGGTGAAACCCCGTCTCTACTAAAAAAAAATACAAAATTAGCCGGGCGTGGTGGCACATGCCTGTGGTTCCAGCTGTTCGGGAGGCTGAGGCAGGAGAATTGCTTGAACCCGGGAGGCAGAGGTTGCAGTGAGCAGAGGTCGCGCCATTGCACTCCAGCCTGGGCAACAAGAGTGAAACTCCGTCTCAAAAAAAAAAAAAAAAAATTAGGCAGGCATGGTGGTGCACACCTGTAGTCCCAGCTACTCAGGAGGCTGAGGTGGGAAGATCGCTTGAGCCCTGGAGGTCGAGGCTGCAGTGAGCAGTGATTGCACCACTGCACTCCAGCCTGGGCAGTAAAGCAAGACCTGTCCGAAACACAAACAAAAACAAAAGAGAGAGAGAGTGAGGTGGGGAGACAGAGAGACAGAGAGTGGGAGAGACCGCCTGTGGGCAGAGACAGAAGAGGAGGAAGTGAGAGAGAGAGAGAGAGACAAGGGGCCAGAGAGGCTTCCAGGGCAGGAGAGAGGCTGGGAAGGGAAGCCAGAGCCCCTATCATGTGCGGTGTCTTTGGGTTGGTCTTGCTGGGGAGCAAAGTAGATCGATCTGCTCTACTCAGCACCCCATCTCTAGCACAGGCCTGGCACTTGGCCCGCGGGGCACTCAGAAACGAATGAATGAAGCTCAGATCCAAAGCAGGGATTTGAACCTGAAGCTCTCCTGCCCCAAAGAGAATGAGAGACAAGAGCGGGTTTCCAATCTGGGAACTGGAACTCTGGGGCTCTTCCTGAATCCCTCCCCTCGCCCTACCCCAACCCTGACCTCCACGTCCCCGGAGACCCAGCCCCCACTGCCGGCCCTGTCCCCGGGGGTTGGGAGAGGCATGTGTGAGGTCCTCACCAGTAGGTCACTCGAATCAGGACCCTCTTGTCCAGCGCGAAGTTCTCGCTGGAGGAGGGGAAGGTTTCCGTACAATTCTGTAAGGAGATGGCCGACGGGATGGTCCCCAGGATGGGCGAGGGGACAGGACTGGGAATGGGGGGATCCGCCAGCCCGATGGCCGACGGGTCTGCCCTGAAGGTGAAGTCCAGGGTGGGCCCGGGTGAGTTCGCGGCCAGCGGGGTGCGCGTGGGAAGGGGCCCCGGGGCGGGCCCGGCCTCGCTGGAGACCGACGGGATGAGCTTCAGGCTCGGCGCCGGCTCAGGGTCCTCCTCGGGCAACAAAGGCAGCTCCGGAGCAGGTTCCGGGGGCGGATCCAAAGGTAGGGCCGGGGCCAGGTAGGAGTCCAAGACGGGGAGCGCGGCCCGAATCCCTGCCAGGAGCTGGGCTGGGGCTGGGGCTGGGACCCGGACTGGAGGAGTCAGGGTCCGAGCCGGAGTCGGGACCGGAGTTGGGTTCCGGACGGGAACGGGAGTCGGCACCGGAGTAGGGATCCAGGCCGGAGCAGGAGGCGGAACCAGACGGGGGATCCGGGCCAGAGCGGGAGTGGGGACCAGAGTGGGAATCTGGGCTGGAGCAGGAGTCAGGACCAGAGGGGAAGTCCCGGCTGGAGACGGAGTCAGGACTGGAGTCAGGGTCCGGATGGGGGTCCGAGTCCGGACCGGAGTCGGGGTCCGGAGTGGAGTCGGTGTCCGGGTCGGGGTAGAAGCCCGGACTGAGGTTGAAGTCCGCGCCGAGGAGGGGGCTGGGGTCCGCGCCTGGTTATTCATGGGGCCCAGGGGGACCGGGGCAAGCCGGTTGGGGAGTCCCGCCCGCCTTCCCTCTTTGGGCGGGGAGAGCGTCTCCCGCACCGGGTTCTGAGACGCGGCGCGACCACTGGGGGCTCTGTTACACCGAGTTCCACCTGGCCCCCGGGTTCCACCGCGCGACCTCCCGACCTCGCCGAGTAATTCCCGCCCCCTTAACCCCCGACGCCAGGCTGAGAAACACACAGATTGCCCCAGTGCCTCCGCAGCTGTCGGTGACACTCAGGTGTTCAGCATATGTGTACTGAGTGCCTGCTGCGTGCACACTTCTCTGCTGGGTGAATTTGGGGACAGAGCAGGCATCAGGAAAGCCCTGGTCCCTGCCCTCACCAGGCTCCCTGTCCAGTAGGGGACACATACCCATTACCAAAGGGCTACAGCCCAGAGCGTTCAGGGCAGGGATGAGGGAGCCCAGGAGCTGTGGGATCCCAGAATAGGTTCAGTCAGCCTGCTGCAATCAGAGACGGCTCACTAGAAAAGGGGACAACTGACATCTGGAGACTGATGATGAGCACCACGGCAACAGTCTCACTCTGGCCCAGGCTGGAGTGCAGTGGCATGATCTCAGCTCACTGCAACCTCAGCCTTCTGGATTCAAGAGATTCTCCTGCCTCATCCTCCCAAGTAGCTGGAATTACAGGTGCCCGCCACCACACCCAGCTAGTGTTTGTGTTTTCAGTGGAGATGGGGTTTCACTATGTTGGCCAGGCTCGAACTCCTAGCCTCAAGTGACCCACCCGCCTCAGCCTCCCAAACTACTGGGATTACATGCGTGAGCCACTGCGCCCGGCTGAGAGTTCACATTTATTACAGTACTAGGCGCTAAACATTTGCCCACAGCTAGTTAAATGGCAGAGCTGGGATTCAAACTCAACCCGTCAGGCTCCAGCATCCTGGGGCTTAACCACTTTGAGAAGGAATGTCAAGCTGTGAGCTCCTCAAGGATGGGGTCTTGTCCGTCTTGTTTACTGCTGTATTCCCAGCTCCCAGAATAAGATCTGGCATGTAGTAGGTGCTCAATAAATGTTTATGGCATTAATAAAGAGACAAAGGGTTAGCCAGGTAAAGGAGGAGTTAGCTGGAGGCAGCAGGACTAGAGCCCAGACAGTGAGCACAGCAAATATGGCCTTGGAGTAAGGGGCAGGGCCATTAACCAAGGATCTTCTTTTATTTTTTGTAAGCACATCAGACATGTACTTTTTAAAACATTTTTTTATTTTTTGGGAGGACAGGCTGTCACTCTGTCACCCAGGCTGGAGCACAGTGGTGCAATCACAGCTCACTGCAGCCTCGACCTCCTAGGCTCAAGCAATCCTCCCACCTTGGCCTCCCAAAGTTCTGAGACTACAGCATGTGCTGGCCAGTCTTTGGTTGGTTGGTTGGTACGGTAGGGGGTGGAGAGACTTGTTTTCAGTAATTTGAAGGAAGCCAAGAGAGGGGTGTCTGTGTCTAACAGCCTGATGGTTTTACTTCCGAAGCAGAAAAGTGTTCCAGTGTTAGAGACTGATTTAAAAAAAAAAAAAAAAAAAAAAGCCCCTGATGGGGAGCGGTGGCTCACGCCGGTAATTCCAACACTTTGGGAGAGCAAGCCGGTGGATCACCTGAGGTCAGGAGTTCACGATCAGCCTGGCCAACATGGTAAAACCCTGCCTGTAATTGCAGCACTTCTGGAGACCAAACCAAGAGGACTGCTTGAGCCCAGGGGGACTGCTTGAGCCCAGGGGTTCAAGACCAGACTGGACAACATACCAGGAACCCCTCTCTACAAAAAACTTGAAACTTAGCTAGGTATGCTGGTATGCACCCACAGTTCCAGCTACTCAGGAGGCTGAGGCAGGAGGATCACTTGAGCCCAGAAGACTGAGGCTGCCATGAGCTATGATCACACCACTGCACTCTAGACTGGGTGACAGAACAAGAGCAAGACTATGTCTCTTGAACAAAAACGAAAAGCCTGGTGGCCTGGATGTGTGCCATGAACAAAAAAGAAACCTGTGATTGTGTAAGTCAGTAAGATTTGAGGGAAATTTGTTATTGCAGCAAAACCCAACTCTCTTAGTTGGCTCAGGCTGTTATTAAAAAAAATACTATAAACTGGCTTAAACATTTATTTCTCATAGGTCTGGAGATTGGAAGTCTGTGATCACGGTGCCAGAAGGTTGGGTTCTAGGGAGGGACCTCTTGCAAGTTGCAGACCACCAACTTCTTGCAGCCTCACATGGCAGGAAGAGAGCCAGCTAGCTCTCTGGCTTTTTTTTTTTTTTTTTTTTTTGAGACGGAGTCTTGCTCTGTCACCCAGGCTGGAGTGCAATGGCACAATCTCAGCTCACCGCAACCCCCACCTCTCAGGTTCAAGCAATTATCCCACCTCAGCCTCCTGAGTAGCTGGGATTACAGGCACTGCCATCATGCCCAGCTAATTTTTGTATTTTTGTAGAGATGGGGTTTCACCACATTGGCCAAGCTCGTCTTGAACTCCTGACCTCAGGTGGTCCGCCACTGTGACCCACCGCGCCTGGCCATTTTTTTTTTTTTTTTTTGAGACAGAGTCTTGCTCTGTCACCCATGCTGGAGTGTATTGGCACGATCTCGGCTAACTTCAACCTCTGCCTCCTGGGGTCAAGCGATTTTTGTGCCTCCACCACCCAAGTAACTGGGATTACAGGTGAGCGCCACTATGTCTGGCTAATTTTTGTATGTTTTTGTAGAGACGGGGTTGGTTTCACCATGTCGGTCAGGTTGGTCTCAAATTCCTGGCCTCAAGTGATCCACCCGCCTCAGCCTCCCAAAGTGTTGAGATTACAGGCATGAGCCACCGTGCCCAGCCTCTGGCTTCTTATATGGGTATTGATTTGGTGTGGATATTTTTCCCCTCCAAATCTCATGTTGAAATGACCGCCAATGTTGGAGGTGGGCCTGGTGGGAGGTGTTTCGAAGCGAAACCCTCAAGAAGGTCTTGGTGCCCTCCCCACAGTAATGAGTGAGTTCTCGCTCTGTGAGTTCCCTTGTTCCCTCGAGAGCTGGTTGTTTAAAAGAGCCTGAGATGGAGAATGGATGAATCCAGGAGGCGGAGCTTGCAGTGAGCCAAGATCATCGTGCCACTGCACTACAGCTTGGGTGACAGAGCAAGACTCTGTCTCAAAAAAAAAAAAAAAAAAAAAAAAAAAGAGCCTGAGACTGGGCGTGGTAGCTCACTTCTGTAATCCCAGAACTTCGGAAAGCCAAGGCAGGCAGATTGCTTGAGGTCAGGAGTTCGAGACCAGCCTGGCCAAAGTGGTGAAACCCTGTCTCTACTAAAAATGCCAAAAAAAATTAGCTGGTATGGTGGCACACACCTGTAGTCCCAGCTACTTGGGGGGCTGAAACAGGGGAATTGCTTGAATCTGGGAGGTGGAGGTTGCAGTGAGCCGAGATTGTGCCACTGCACTTCAGCCTGAGCAACAGAGGGAGGCTCTGTACCAAATAAATAAATAAATAAAAGAGCCTGGCACCCCCCTCTCACTCCCTCCCTTGCCATGTGATGTGCTTGCTCCCCCTTCACCTTGTATCATGATTGGAAGCTTCCTGAGGCCTCAGCAGAAGCAGATGCCAGCACTGTGCTTCCTGTATAGCCTACAGAGCCATGAGCCAAAATAAACCTCTTTTCTTTATAAATTACAAAGCCTCAGAAGCCTCAGCTATTTCCTTTTTTTTTTTCTGAGATGGAGTCTCGCTCTGTCACCCAGGCTGGAGTGCAGTGGCATGATCTCGGCTCACTGCAACCTCCACCTCCCGGGTTCAAGCGATTCTCCTGTCTCAGCCTCCCAAGTAACTGGGACTACAGGTGCCTGCCACCATGCCCAGCTAGTTTTTGTATTTTTAGTAGAGACAGGGTTTCACCATATTGGTCAGGCTGGTCTCAAACTCCTGACCTCAGGTGATCCACACACCTTGGCCTCCAAAAGTGCTGGGATTACAGGCATGAGCCATTGTGACCAGCCCTTTTTATTTTATTTTTTTGAGACACAGTCTCACTCTGCCACCCAGGGTGGAGTACAGTGGCACCACCACAGCTCACTGCAGCCTCAACCACCTAGGCTCAAGCAATCCTCCCAGCTCAGCCTCCCAAGTAGCTGGGACTACGGGTGAATGACACCACACTTGGCTGATTTTTTCAATTTTTTTTGTAGAGATAGGGTTTTGCCATGTTGCCCATGCTGGTCTCGAACTCCTGGGCTCAAGTGAGTCTCCTGCCTCAACTTCCCAAAATTCTGGAATTACAGGTGTGAGCCACCATGCCTGGCCTTAAGATGAATCTTCTAGGCCAGGCTCGGTGGCTCATGCCTGTAATCCCAGCACTTTGGGAGACCGAGGCAGGCGGATCACCTGAGGTCAGGAGTTCAAGACCAGGCTGACCAACATGGAGAAACCCCATCTCTACTAAAAATACAAAATTAGCCGGGTGTGGTGGCGCATGCCTGTAATCCCAGCTACTTGGGAGGCTGAGACAGGAGAATTGCTTGAACCCAGGAGGCGGAGGTTGCAGTGAGCCAAGATTGCATCACTGCACTCCAACCTGGGCAACAAGAGTGAAACTCTGTCTCAAAAAAAAAAAAAAAAAAAAAAAAAAAAAAAAAAAAGGTGAATATTCTAGCCATCAAATTGTGAAGAAAGAGAAGGAAATTCATGCTAGTTTCACTGTCATACCTCAAACTGCCAAAGTTTCCAAGGCCACAGGGTGTGATAAATGCTCAGTCAAGATGGGAAAGGCATTCAGCTTGTAGGTAGAAGACATAAACAGAAATGTGTTCAGATTGCATTCGGTACTATCAGCAGCTTCAGGCATCCACTGTGAGTCTTGGAACGTATGCTTCAAGGATTACGGAGGGCTACCATAATCTTTTTTTTTTTTGAGATGAAGTCTCACTCTTGTCCCCCAGGCTGGAATACAATGGTGCGATCTCGGCTCACTGCAACCTCCATCTCCCAGGTTCAAGCGATTCTCCTGCCTCAGCCTCCCGAGTAGCTGAGATTACAGATGCGTACCACCATGCCCGGCTAATGTTTTGTATTTTAAGTAGAGACAGGGTTTCACCATGTTGGCCAGGCTGGTCTCGAACTCCTGACCTCAGGTGATACGCCCGCCTAGGCCTCCCAAAGTGCTGGGATTATAGGCGTGAGCCACCGCTCCCAGCCCACTGTAATCCTTATAATTACATAATTACTGTCACGGGTGCTTTTTTTTTTTTTTTTTTTGAGACAGAGTCTCACTCTGTCACCCAGGCTGGAGTGCAATGGAGTGATCTCGGCTCACTGCAACCTCCGCCTCCCAGGTTCAATTGATTCTCCTGCCTCAGCCTCCCAAGTAGCTGGGATTACAGGTACCCGCCACCATGCCTGGCTAATTTTTGTATTTTTAGTAGAGACAGGGTTTCACCATGTGGCCAGACTGGTCTCAAACTCCTGACTTCAGGTGATCCACCCGCCTCAGCTTCCCAAAGTGCTGGGATTACAGGCATGAGCCACCGCACCCAGCCTGCTCTTTGGTTTTTGGTGTAAATTTGAATTACTGTCTGAGGTTACCTGCTTTCAGACTAAGGAGTTTCCTTATTTCTTGTAAGATGGTCTGTCAGTTTGCCTGCCTGACACAGTACTCATTTCTGGGAACAAACTGATCTGAGGGGAGCAGGGACACCCCATCACCTATATATTCCATGTGATCTGGGCAGGCTGACGTCACTCCCTACCACACAACAGGCAATAAGCAAGCCTGGCCAAATCAGAGGAAGCCATACTGCCTGGAGACTGGTTTAGGAGGGCCTACCAACGAGCCAGGGCCAATGAGAGATTCCCCACAGTGAAATCAATCAAGGGGTAAGAAGAGGCAACTGGAGAAAGACCAAGAGCCCCAGTCCATTGCTGCTGGAAACCATATCTACCCCTAGGATTTTTCCATTTTATGAGCTAATGCGTTTTTTGTTTTTGTTTTTTTTGAGACAGAGTCTTGTTCTGTCTCCAAGGCTAGAATGCAATGGCACAATCTCGGCTCACTGCAACCTCCACTTCCCGAGTTCAAGCAGTTCTCAGCCTCCTGAGTAGCTGAGATTACAGGTGCCTGCCGCTGCACCCAGCTAATTTTTGTATTTTTTAGTAGAGATGAGGTTCTGCCATGCTGGCCAGGCTAGTCTCCAACTCCCGACCTCAGGTGATCCACCCACCTCAGCCTCCCAAAGTGCTGGGATTACAGGGGTGAGCCACCACGCCCGGCCACTAATACATTTTTTTTTAAAGAGACAGGATCTTGCTGTATTGCCCAGGCTTTAGTGCAGTGGTGTGATCATAGCTCACTGCAGCCTCAAACTCCTGAGCTGAGGCGATCCTCCCGGCCTCAGCCTCACAAGTATGTAGAACTACAGGTGCGCCACCAGGCCTGGCTAATTTTGTTTTAATTTTTCGTATAGGGGTCTCGCTGTGTTGCCCAGCTGCTCTCCAACTCCCAGCCTCAAGCAATCCTCCTGCTTCAGCACTGATCTCACTCAGTGGTTCAGTGGGATTACAGCCGTGAGCCACTGCACCCAGCCATAAATTCTTTTATATTTAAAGCAGTTTGAGTCGTTTCCGACCCCTACAACATAAAGAGTCCTGTCTACTATTCTCCTCAGGAGACAAAATCTCTTCCCCTCAGCCCCAACATCAAATACAAAGCATTCAGCCTCGTTAGTCAAAACTGATCACAATAATAGCCTTTATAGGTGTTTCTAGAGAGATGGGGTGAGAAAAAATAGGATATAAATAACCATTATTTACAACTTGCAACAGTAAAGTTCCCCCAGACACCCCTTCAAGATTGAACTCCAAAGCCTCTGGGGCAGAGACTGGGCACCACCGAGCAAATACAAAAATCCACGCTCTGACTCCAGGTGCGGATGGAGGAGACGCGTCAGGCCTAGAAACAAAATGAGTAGGAAGCATTAGAGAGGCTGCCCCTCTGCCTCCCCTGCCTCCCCGCTGAGTACAATCAGTGGAAAAGCTCTGGCGGAGTCGGCATCGTGACCTCCTCAAGCCCATAGGTTTTTCAAAGAGAAGATGGCAGGTAGCTCAAAACGATAAGAGGGATGCAAAATAGGATGAAAGTAAGTTAGAACTGAAAATGGGCTTAAAACCTTCCAGAGACTCTACCCAATTCATTTCACGGACAGAATCGAGGAAGGGTAGGGAAAAAGCAGGTGCTGCCTCTGCCCAGCGCGCCCAGTGTGTAGCGGGGGGAAAAGGGGCGTCGCTACCTCCCGAGCGTAGATGGAAGGAGCAGATATGACATAAATCCCTTGAGGGTCTACATCTTCAGGGCGATTCCAATCTACGGACGAGCTGTGGGAGGAGAGAAAGAAGAAAAACTCAGACTCTTTAAATTCTCAGATCTTGTTTTCCCCTACCCATCACAAAGGGGAACCCAAAACCAGCTACCGGGGTAAGAGAGACCGACCAGGGAAATGCATCAAGGAATCGGGCCAACTGCACCACGGAGATGGGTAAAAGCAGCCAGCAGCGCAAGGCGTTCGTCTGTGGCGCAGCCCCTCACCTCGGACCATCCCCGGAACCCTCCTGCGTCCTTAGGTTGTTGAGTGCATCCGGGAGTGCGTGGACTGACGGCTCCGGGGTCCCAGCCAGCAAGCGAGACCCAGCATCCTGGGAGTGGCCACGGCGGCGCACGTGGACCAGCAAGAGCGCAGCGCCGGCCACGCCCGCGGCCACGAGCAGTCCCAGAGCCGGAGGCAAAAGGTAGCGCTGAGGGTCCCCGGGCCTGAGGCCCGGCGGGGCCGCGGGCAAGGCGCTTGCGCCGTCGGGGTGCACTGGGAACTCACACCGCGCTCCCATGTAGCCGGGAGCGCAAGCGCAGACGAGGCCGGAGAAGTGGGCGTAGCAGCGGCCGCCGTGAGCACAGGGGCGCGCGGCGCACGGGTCCGCGCGCTCGCGGCAGTCGCGGCCGCCGAAGCCCAGCGCGCAGGAGCAGCGGTGCGCGCCGCCGCCCTCCACACACGTGCCGCCGTTAGCGCAGGCGCGGCCCGCGCAGTCGTCCAGGTCGTGCTCGCAGCGAGGACCCGCGAAGCCGGCGCGGCAGCGGCAGCGCAGGGCGTGGCCCAGGTCCAGGCAGAGTCCGCCTGTGGGGAAGGGAGCATCAGAGGGCGCAGTCCGGGAGCCGGGGACCCACCTGCCCGCGCTGTTTCCCAGCTCTGTCATCGCTGCACGGGGTCCCCTTTTTCTCTCTAACTTAAGGGCCAGCGTCTTGGAGTGTGCCAGGAAAGCCAGCTCGCTTTTCTTCCTAATGAAGTTTTGGAATAATTAATTCAGCTCCACCTCTTTGGCTCTCGGTGCCCTTGTCTCTTTTTCCTTCGGCTTCGATCATACTTCAATAGTAGACAGCTCCCAGAACTACGTGTTTGAACCCTCTGGCCTTCCTCTGCCTAGAATACCCCTCCTCTCTTCCCTTCCTCCTTTTCTCACATTTTTTCCCACCTTTTCTCTTCCCTAGCCCACCCCTCAGGTTTCTACTCCGATGCTCCTTCCTCCATCCCAGCCCTGATCACTGCCCTGTGCTCCTACATCACAGCCCTGACCACCCACCCTGGGCTCTGTCTGAGGGTGTCTGTCTTCCCCTCTGGGCTGGTTCCCCCAGGAGGGTGCGGCCCAGAGATGTCCTGGTCGGTGCTGAGTCCCTAGTACCACACACCCCAGAATGAACACTCAGTGTTTGGGAGAGAATTATTGTATTCACTCGCAAGAAGATACACAGCCAGCCCTTTACATTCATGATCTTTTTTTTTTTTTTTTTCGAAACGGAGTCTCGCTCTGTCGTCCAGGCTGGAGTGCAGTGGCGCGATCTCGGCTCACTGCAACCTCCGCCTCCCGAGTTCAAGCAATTCTCTGCTTCAGCCTACATTCATGATCTTACTTAATCTTTTTTTTTTTTTTTTTTTTTTTTTTTTTTGAGACAGAGTGTCACTCTGTCGCCCAGGCGGGAGCGCAGTGGCATGATCTCGGCTCACTGCAACCTCCGCCTCCCGGGTTCAAGTGATTCTTCCGCCTTAGCCTCCCGAGTAGCTGGGATTACAAGCACCTGCCATCACGCCCGGCTAATTTTTTGTATTTTTAGTAGAGACGGGGTTTCACCATGTGGCCCGGGCTGGTCTCCAACTCCTGAGCTCAGGTGATCTGCCCGCCTCGGCCTCCCAAAGTGCTGGAATTACAGGCGTGAGTCGCCGTGCCGGGCCGCATTTAATCTTTTAGCACCGATATCAGGTCTCTTCTCTCCTCAGAACCTTCCTGTGGCTCCATCTCACTCAGGGGAAAAGTGAAAGTTCCCCTTCTTGTGACCCAGGGGGTCCCACAAGATGTGCCTCAGTCACCTCCCTGACCTCATCTCAGTATAACCACACTGGCTTCCCTGCTTATCCTCAGCACACCAGGCACCTCAGCTCTATCAGGCAGGGCCAGGGACTTTGTCTGTTTCATTCCCTGCTGTATCCTCAGTGCCTAGAATAGGGCCTGGCACACAGTAAATTCTCAGTAAATATTAATAGTTATGAGATAGGGAATGTCTCCTTGCCCATTTTACAGGCTTGCAGGTGGAAGGTCAGGTCCCCAGGCCCTAGGGTTAGAAGAGTCAAAGCCAGGATTCCAACCCTGGACTGTCTGAGCCATCCAGGACCCCCACCCCATCCCTCGCCGTTCAGGCCTCCAGGCCTCACCATTGCGGCATGGCTGCAGGCTGCACCGGTCCACCCTCTTCTCACAGTTGGAGCCTTGGAAACCGGGTGGGCAGTGGCAGATGTAGGCAGAGTCAGGGTCTGCACCCCCGACACACAAGCCGCCGTTGAAGCAGGGTCCATCTGCACATGTCACCCCGCTCACCTCACACCGCAGCCCGTAGAACCCACGCGGGCAGGTGCATTCAAAGGACCTGGGTGTCTCCTGGGCAGGGACAAGAGTACTTGAGAAGGGTGTTTCCTTGGAGAAAAATCCCATCCCCCTCCTCAGTCCTAACCACTGGGGGCTGCTCCTTGTCCAGTCTCAAGTCCCACTATGCAGGGGCCACCCTGGGAGGTCCTCCCGACATCCCCTCGATCCACTCCACATTCTTCTGTCTGCCCATGTGACCCCAGAGGGAGGAGGCTCTGGGGACCCAGAGTGACCCCATTCCCACCCCTACATCTTTGCCTACCAAATGCTGCCTGCCTGGTCTGCCCTGCTCGCTTCTGTCTACACTGACGAGTCCTACTGGGAGGTCCTAGATCTCAGCCCACCTCCTCCAGGAAGGCTTCTCTGGATCTCTCCTTCCCAGGGCCTCTCCCTAAGTATTTGAACCCTGAGTGTGGCAGTATCCAGGTGGCCCACACTGGACCCTACTCTATCCCAGCACTCCATGCCAGGCTCACTCACTGCCACCTCTGCACCCTTGCTCCCTGCAGGCCACTCACCTGGCCACCCTCTCTAATCACGTCCCAGAAGCCCCAGCCCCGGGCCACCTCCAGGAAGCCTTCTCTGATGTCTCCACCCCCTGTGCCCGCAGATCCCAAATCTCCAACCTATTTGGCCCCACCACCCACTACCTTGGGCCCTGAATCGTTCTCAGTCCCGCAGTAGGGGCAGCTGTGGCCCCACACGGCTCCTCATCATTTCCACTCCTGCATCTTTCGGGGCCACCCACTGAGCCTGCTCTCCCCAGTCCCATCCCCATCACCTAATCCTACTTCAAGGCCCCAGATGCCGGCTGGATGCCTCCAGGAAGACCTCCCTGATAGTTATTCCCAGATCTCCTCCCCAGGCTGGTGTCTCATGGAGCCCCAGGGAGAGGGCTGTGGCTCCCAGGGTAAAGTACTAAGCAGGACAAGGTGGGAAGGGTGACACTGACACTACAGCTGCCTCCATTGGCACACGGGTTCCCGTCACAGGGCCCAGGCCCAGGGACAAGGCATCCGGTGGTAGCAGAGGACGGGCCCCTGGGGCTGAGGCAGCTGCTGGTGGAGACAGGGACCGTGCAGAGGGGTCCAGTCCAGCCCTCTAGGCATCGGCATTCACCGGGCTGTTCACAGAAGCCATGCTCAGGGCTGCAGCCTGCTCGGCACACCACTATGGGGGACAGAGAGGCAGAGAGAAAGGGAACACCAACGTCGGGGAGGGCCAGGGACAAGATGGAAAGCAGGGAGGTTTCTGAGCACGTTCCCTGAGCCACCTTGCTTCATCTTTGTGACAGATAATCATCGGGACTAGATGGTACTGTGACCGCCCCCCCAGTTTACAGATAGGGAAACTGAGGCCCACAGAGACGAGGTGACCAGCCCACCTAGGAAGTGGAGGAGTGATGATGTGAACCCAGGCCATCGGGCTGGAGTCTGTGCTCTTGGAAAGAGGATGGGACAGGGGCACCCAGGTGAGATCGTGAGGATAGGAGACAGTGAGGGGATTTGGGATTGGTGGGGGGACCCCTGGCCTTTCAGGGAAGATGGGAGTGTATTGAATTAGGGTGGCTCTGAGAAGATCTGGATTAGCCTGGGAGTCCTAGGGGCCTTGGTGGGGCTCTGAAATTTGGGGAGAAGTCTGAAGAATTCCAAGCTTTAAGAAGCCATGGGTTCTGGCCTGCAACCCTAGGGAGGGAGGATGGAGGGCCCCTTGGCCAGAGTGGACTGGGAGGAGATTCCAAAGCTTCCGAGTGGGAGTCGGGAGGGCCGCAGAATTAGAAGAGCTTTGGAGTCCTAGCATCAGGACAGGGTGTGAATGTGGGTTAGGGAAGGAACTGGAGGGTGCCAGCATAGAAAATGGACGTGGGCTTCCGATTTGGGGCAACAAGAGGGCTGGGAGAGGGAAGGGGGCTCGAGTAGCAAGGCAGGGCTGGAGAGAGGTCCAGGGTCCTCAGTTTCTCCGAAGGTGGCAGCTGGATGGTGGGCGGGGTTTGGGATACATCCGCAGCAGTCAGCGCGTTCCCCAGCTCCCTGAAGAGGGGTGCCTGGGGTACATGGTGGGGGACTCTAGAGTACCCTGAAGAGGGTGAGTGGGTTGTGAGAGGGGACTGGGGGCCGCGAGTGACGCTCAGGAGGGGCCGGGGTCCCCGGCTGGGACGGGGTGGGGTCGAACGCAGGACTCACGCGGCGCCTCACATTCGTCCTCGAGCGGTGCGCAGGGGCGCAGTCCCGGACCGCACCGCGAGGGGGCGCTGCGCGGACGGCAGAGGCGCGTGCACGCGGTCCCGACGGCAGGCGGCTCGCAGCGCGCGCGGTACGAGAAGCGCAGCTCCCAGGCGCCTGCGCGCTGAATGTCCCGGGCCCACGGGCCTCCGGCTGCCAAGCGCCGCCTGCCAGCCACGCGCGCCAGCAGGCTCCAGGCGGGCCCTGCGAGGACAGGCAAAGGAGGGGTGCTGGGGTGGGCCCGGCCGAACATGGATGCATACGGAGCGCCCCGGCCGCATTCTCCCCGCCCCTCCCAGCGAGGCCAAAACACCCTCATGGAGCCCTGGGGTCCTTGGACCTCGCGAGTAGAATGGCAGTCACCCTCTACTTTAGCAAGGCTGCGAACTCCCCAATGCACCCTGGGACCTGCAATGTCGTGGTCCTTTCTAGTACTCTAGGTAACATTTCTCTCAGCCAAGCATGGTGGCTCAAGCCTGAAATCCCAGCACTTTGGGAGGCCGAGACGGGTGGACCACCTGAGGTCAAGACCAGCCTGATCAACATGGTGAAACCGTCTCTACTAAAAATAAAAAATTCTTTAAAAAAATTAGCCAGGCGTGGTGGCACGCACCTGTAATCCCATCTACTCGGGAGGCTGAGGCAGGAGAATCACTTGCACCCAGAAGTGGAGGTTGCAGTGAGCCGAGATCGGCCATCGCACTCCAGCCTGGGTGACAGAGCAAGACTCCCTCTCAAAAAAATAAAAATAAAAAATAAACAGTTATCTCATAGAAACCGTAATACTCCTGTATTTTGACCCAGATATTTGTTTTTTTTTTGTTTGTTTTTTGCGACGGAGTCTCACTCTGTCGCCCAGGCTGGAGCGTAGTGGTGTGATCTCGGCTCACTGCCAGCTCCGCCTCCCGGGTTCACGCCATTCTCCTGCCTCAGCCTCCCGAGTAGCTGGGACTACAGGCGCCTGCCACCACGCCCGGCTAATTTTTTTTGTATTTTTAGTAGAGACAGGGTTTCACCATGTTAGCCAGGATGGTCTCAATCTCCTGACCTCCTGATCCGCCCGCCTCGGCCTCCCAAAGTGCTGGGATTACAGGCGTGAGCCACCGCGCCGGGCCTTGACCCAGATCTTTGTAAATTGAAGTAATGATGAGACCTCTAACACCCTGTGACATTTGGTACCTCCATATGGCCAAAGAACAATAACATGTCTGAAGTGAGGTCATAACACCCCTAAATTGTGCCTCTGGATCTTCCTATATCAAAATAGTCACAGAGACCCCAGTTACTAGACCATAAGTTACCACATTACCTGAGACCTTGGGATACTGGGAGAGTGACACTTTCTTGAAGGCAAAGGTGTCACCCCCCAAGATTGTGACACAGCTTTCTACATCAGAACGGTGAAGAAGTGGCTCACTCCTATAATCCCAACGTTTTGGGAAGCCAAAGCCTGTGGATTGCTTGAGCCTAGGAGTTTGAGACCAGCCTGGGCAACATAGCAAGATCCCATGTCCATAAAAAATAAAAACAAGAAAAAAAATGGTGACAAAACCCCCGCTGTGGGCCTTACATAGCAACAGAGTCTCCCAAGTTGAGGATAGGAATGCCCTGTATCCCTCCCAGGAACCTCTGCTCAATATTCGCCTTGGTGAAGCTCCAACATCCCACGGGGCTCCCTGGGATGTCCACATGGACAAGGTGACAGAGCTTCACATAGGGGCCGAGCGTGGTGGCTCATGCCTGTAATCTCAACACTCTGGGAGGCCAAGGTGGGTGAATCACGAGGTCAGGAGTTCAAGACCAGCCTGGACAACATGGTGAAATCCTGTCTCTACTAAAAATACAAAAAAAAGTAGCCAGGTGTGGTGGTGGGTGCCTGTAATCCCAGCTACTTGGGAGGCTGAGGCAGAAGAATTGCTTGAACCCAGAAGGCAGAGGTTGCAGTGAGCTGAGATCATGCCATTGCACTCCAGCCTGGACGACAGAGCAAGACTCTGTCTTGGAAAGAAAAAAAAAAAACTTCACATAAAAGAACCAGAAGTAATTCATATCGCACCCTGAGCTCTCAACATCAGATGATAAGGTAGGGCTGTGAAATGCTACACTCTGCTCTGGAGCCTTGATAGTAAGAGAGCTTCCCCTACTTCGTCTGGTACCAGAACCACTGCTACATCCAGTACCAGGGACATTTCTGTGCCTGAGATGCCAAGAGCCCTGGAGCTGTCAACACTCAGCACCACATCCCAGGAGCTGTGATGACATCATAAGACCTATAGATAACACCACCAACCCCGTGTCTCACGTGGGCCCCAGCTCCCCACCAGTCCCAAGACTGAAGACACTCACCTCCAATCTGGTCTCCTAACTCCTCTCTCCAGGTTTCGATGATGAAAGAGAAGGTGCCCTGGTTGGGTGAAGGAAGGGGGAGATGAAAGATGAAAGACAGTGGTTAGGGTAAGTACTCAATGAAGGCCAGAGTTCAGGAATGGAGGGTGATGGCCATTGCTGGGGACTGAGCAAGCAAGGGACAATTCCCAGAGGGACCAGACCAGCCCAGGGAGGGAATGACATCTGTGGCTTTTTTTTGGGGGGGGGGGGAGAATCTCACTTTGTCAACCAGGCTGGAGTGCACTGGCGCAATCTTGGCTCACTGCAACAACCTCCGAGGCTCAAGCAATCCTCCCACCTCAGCCTCCCCAGTAGCTGGGACTACACGCGCATGTCACCATGCCCTGCTATGTTTTTTTTTTTTTTTTAGAAACGAGGTCTCACTATGTTACTGAGACTGGTCTCAAACTGCCGGGCTCAGGAGATCCTCCTGCCTAGACCTCCCAAAGTGCTGGAATTACAGTGTGAGCGACTGGACGTGGCTTGCTTTATTGAGCACTTACTACGTGGTAAGCACTTTATTCAAGAGATGTGGTTGAATCGCTCAAAAGGGACCCTTGTGAGGTACCAGGATGATCCCATTTTTAAGCTTAGGAAACTGAGGCTGGAAACCAGGCAGTCACTTGTCCAAAAGGACAAGGGTCAAGCATTGCAATACAGGTCTGTTCATCTTTGTGCCTTTGGGTTGTGGGGGTGGGAGACAGGATTTTGGAGGTGAAAGAGTAATTAATACAGGACCCAACTGAAAGAACTGAGGACAGAAAAAAAAAAAAAAAGAGAGAGAAGATATTAGTGGTCCCCAAGACAAGGTGTGAGAGGTTTGGGGATAAAGATGAGGACCACAGTTTTTAGGGATCCCCAAGGAGCAGAGGTAGGGTTCCTTGAGTTTAGGATTTCAGAGCTTGGGTTTGAAATTCTGGGAATTTGGGGTCCCAGCATCCAGGGTTGGGGAATCAGAACATTTAGAATCCCCAGTGTGTAGAGTTTAGAGGTCTGTGAATGTGGGGTTCCAGACGGTAGAGTTACTGGTCTGGGAATTTCGTCCACCCCCTGGGAGGCAGGATTAGGGTCTTGGAAGCTGGAGGGGAGAGGAGGTGGAGGTTTCGCTGGCAGGGTTAGGCCTCCAGCACCGGGAGTCCCCCGGGGGCAGCACTTACAGGCCAGGCGTCCCGGAAGGGCACCTGCAAGAGGCCGTCGGGCAGTGGGAGATCAGGCGCGGGCGCTCCGGGCTGCTCGGTGTAGACCGGTCCGCGCGCACTCAGCGCCGCGCCCAGGGCGCACGGGGACTCGGCGGCCTCCTCTGAGAGCCCAGGCTTCAGGCAGACTCTGAAGAAGAGGCGGCAGGGGAGCCGGGCGCTGCAGGGGGACCGCGGGGCCCCAGGGCCTGGACCCGGCCCGAAAGAGTGGATCTGCAGCTCGAAGACGCCAGCGGGCCGTGTCTGGGACGGAGACGGGCGCAGGGTGAGGCGGCCGGGAGGACCCAGGCTTCCCGTCCGCCCCACGCTCCTTCCCCAGGACCTTCAGGTCGCACTCACCCCTCCCCTCCGCATTCATCCCTTTCCACGCCACCTCCCACCTGGCTCTGACCTGGGGGAGGAAAATGAGCGCTAGGATCACAGTCTGGGAGAGGAGCCCGGACATCCGTGGGGAGACCATGGCCTTCTGGTGGGGGGGTCTCGGGAGTCGCAGCTGCTGGCTTCCAAGCCTTATATCTGAGAGAATGGCCCCGCCCCTTCAGGCAGCTACCCGGCCCCAAGGGACCAAGGGCGGGGCGGGGGGGGCGGTCACAGGGGAGGGGGAGCGTGCAGGAGCAACAGCGAGATTCCGTCTGTGGTCGTGGGCACGAGCGAGGTCATGCGTGGGTGATCCCGCGACTTTTTGTGTGGCTAGGGTGGGGTGGGGTTAGGGGGCTAAGCCTGTGTGTGAGGTTGTACATGATTTTAAGATTTTGTGTGTGTGGTATGAACCAGAGCTACCGGAGGGTGCACATGACTTTGTCATTGTGAGTCCACGTGGGACTGTGCGGCTCAGCATACGCCTGGAGTTGTGTGTGATTGACACATTTATGAGGTTGTAAACAATTCTGATTCTGCACGCACACCCGAGTGGGACACTAGAAGTGTACACGACTTCGTGATTGTGTGACGCTTTGAGATTGTGTGGCTGTGTGGCTGCTTCTCTGTGCGTGTGTGTTTATGGGAGATCCTGTATAGGCGTATAAACCTGTGACTTTGTGCTCTGTGCGGGTGTGGTAGAGGCTGTGCAAGGTGGTGAATGGCTGAGGGCGCCTGTGTGTGAATGAGACTGGGTTTGAGAGGTCCACGGATGCAGCCGCGTGTGAATACGATGAAGATCCGGAGTTCTTTGTAGACCCCTGTGTGCGCTGGTTTGTGTGAATGAGACTGGGTTTGGGAGATCCACGGGTGTAGCTGTGTGTGGATACGATGAAGATCCAGGGCTCTTTGTGGACCCCTGTGTGCAGGCGTGTGTGTGTTCCCCCTCCGCAAGACAAAGCCACCCTCCCAAACCCCGCATCGCGGACGCACCAGACGCCAGGGCGAGGAGCTCGGCCTCAAGAGGGGGCTCCCAGCTGTATGTAAATGCCGCCATCTGCCGGGCGGCCGAGCCCCTCCCCCTTCGGGCCGCAGCTGGGCTGCCCGTTTGGCCTCCGGAAGGTGTGAGGAGCAAATGGGCAGGAAATTCCGTCTTCACATACAGGGACCCGCTCCCCCACCCCAGAAGAACTGGGGGGGGGGACATCCCGGGCCCTTCAGAAACCCTTTAGTATTCCAGGACCTCAGCAGGAAAAGCCAATTAGGAGCAGATGTCCCAGCCCCTCTGGTCATAATTGCTCCCTGCCAGGCATGGGGCAAAACCCTTGAGCTGGGGTAACTTCTTTTTTTTCCCCCCCAAAGTAAAAAACTTTAGTGCTTAGAGGCTAATAATTATAGGGGAAAATACAGGTTCAATTTATATGTCTTTTTCCAGAGAAGTAAGATATAGTAACCAACGAAGCCTAGCCCAGCAGAGCCAGGCATACAGTAGGCGCTCTGTTTTTTGTTGTTGCTGTTGTTGTTTTTTTCAGAAGAAGAAGTTTTGCTCTTGTTGCCCAGGCTGGAGTGCAGTGGTGCGATCTTGGCTCACTGCAACCTCCACCTCCCGGGTTCAAGCGATTCTGCTGCCTCAGCCTCCAGAGTAGCTGGGATTACAGGCACCCACCAACACACTCGGCTAATTTTTTATATTTTTAGTAGAGACGGGGTTTCACCATGTTGGCCAGGCTGGTCTCGAACTCCTGACCTTCAAGTGGTCCACCCACCTCGGCTTCCCAAATTGCTGGGATTACAAGCATGAGCCACTAATCCCTGCGCAGTTAATTTTTTAATGAATGAAAGAAGACCAGGCTGGGCACAGCGGCTCACGCCTATAATCCCAGTACTTTCCGAGGCTGAGGCAGGGGACTGCTTGAGGCCAGGAATTTGAGACCAGCCTGGGCAACACAGCAAGACACACTTTTCTACAAAAAAAAAGAAAAGGAGGAGGAGGAGGAGAAAAAAACAGCCTAAAGATTCTTCTCTTAATTCTGACAACAGTGGCGTTTGAGCAAGGCAGCGCCATGGGTCAGATTGGGCAGAACATCCCAGGCTCCTTTTCCCTGTATTTGTCTTTTCCACTCCCTTATTTTTTTTTAATTTATTATTATTGTTTGAGATGGAGTTTTATTCTTTGCCCAAGCTGGAGTGCAGCGGCTCCATCTCCACTCACTGCAACCTCCGCCTTCCAGTTTCAAGCGATTCTCCTGCCTCAGCCTCCCGAGTAGCTGGGATTACAGGTGCGCACCACCATGCCTCGCTAATTTTTGTATTTTTAGTAGAGACAGGGTTTCACCATCTTGGCCAGGCTGGTCTTCAACTCCTGACCTCGTGATCCGCCCACCTCGGCCTCCCAAAGTGCTGGGATTACAGGCGTGACCCAACGTGCCCGGCTCCACTCCCTTCTTTAATTCCTTTTTCACCATTCAGACTTCACCTCCTCCAGGCAGCACTACCTAACACTCCCCAGAAGCATCAAGCACCTCCTCTGAGCTCCCACATCCCCCTATGATTCTTTTATTCTGCCCGACCCCTCTGTCTGTGCCTCCCTCAGCCTTGACCATTCTGGCCTATGAGGTCTTTATTTTTTTGAGATGGGGTCTCTGTTGCCCAGGCTGCGGTGCAGTGGCATTATCCTAGCTTACTGCAGCCTCGACTTCCCGGGCTTAAATGATCCTCCCACCTCAGCCTCCCAAGTAGCTAGGATTACAAGCATGAGCCACCACACCTGGCTAATTTATTATTTTTGGTAGAGATGGGGTCTCCCTATGTTGCCCAGGCTGAACTCCTGGGCAAAAGCGATCCTCCCACCTCGGCCTTCCAAAGTGCTGAGATTACAGGCATGAGCCTCCATGCCTGGCCCTGTGGGGTTTATCTAAGCACAAATCAGACCATTTCCTTCACTTGCATTAGACTTTTCTGTAGCTCCCCAGTGCCTTCTAAATATGTAAGCTTCTAAGGCTGACATTTGAGACCCTCCTTCCACATCCCCCCGAGGTCAGACAAGTTATGTGGCCCCAAGGAGTAAAGCCAGACCTTGTAAACCAAAGTCACCTGGAGGCAAATTAGGTCTAATACTGGGTTAGGTGAGGGAATAGGCTTCCCATCACAGAATATATTTTAACAGAATTTGGGCAACCAGCTATGGAAGGAAGCAAATTCCTGCCCTGGATGATCATTGGGGGGAACAGATTCCAGGTCTGAGATATCTCAGAATGTTTGTTTTTGTTTTGTTTTGTTTTGTTTGGGGTTTTTTTGTTTTTGTTTTGTTTTGTTTTTTTGAGACGGAGTCTCGCTCTGTCACCCAGGCTGCAGTGCAGTGGCTCAATCTCGGCTCACTGCAATCTCCGCCTCCCGGGTTCAAGCGATTCTCCTGCCTCAGCCTCCCATTTAGCTAGGATTATGGGCGCCCACCACCACGCCTGGCCTGTTTGTTTTTTTTTTTTTCCTAGAGATAGAGTCTCACTATGTTACCTAGGCTGGTCTTGAACTCCTGGCCTCGAGTGATGCTCCTGTCTCAGCCTCCTAAAGTGCTGGAATTACAGGCGTGAGCCACTGAGCCTGGCTCTAAAATTTTAAAGATTATAAAAATTGCCAGCCTTTGTGAAGGTTTGTGGCAGGCACGATGGCATTTCTTGTGGATTTTCTTGTGGTGTGTGTGCGTGTGTCGTGTCGTGTACTTTAAGGGATTTCTGAGCATCTTTCTGGCTATTCACAACTTTTCTTTATATGTTGACTGTAGTCACCATAGAAGGCCATGCTGGCCAGGCACAGTGGCTCACACCTGTAATCCCAGTACTTTGGGAGGCTGAGGCGGGCAGATCACTTGAGGTCAGGAGTTCGAGACCAGCCTGGCCAACATGATGAAACCCCATCTCTACTAAAAATACAAAACTTAGCCGGGCATAGTGGTGGGCGCCTGTAGTCCCAGCTACTGGGGAGGCTGAGGCAGGAGAATCGCTTGAATCTTGGAGGTGGAGGTTGCAGTAAGCCAAGATCACACCACTGTACTCCAGCCTGGACAACAGAGCAAGACTGTCTCAAAAAAAAAAAAAAAAAATAGGCCATGCTAAGGTCACATTTAAGCAAAGGCCTAAAGGAGTAAGTTGTGTAGTCTCTAGGGAAAAACACTTCTGGCAGAGCGAACAGCAATTGCGGAGGCCTTGCGGTAAGCATGAGGCCCTGAGTGTGCCTCAGGCACACTCAGCTATCCCAGGGCTTCCCTCCTCACTTCATCCCATCTCTGCTCAGATGCGCCTTCCCAAGAGGCCTCCCGACCATCCCATCAGGTCTAAACCAGTCCTCTGAGTCCCCAGATCACTGCTGCTCCTTGCTATACTTTTTCTTTATGCATTTATTACCCTAGGAAGTTATCTGATCATTGTTTGTCTCCTCCATGAGAACACTGAACATCAGCTCATGACAGCAGAGCTTTGGTTTTTTGGTTTTTTTGAGACAGAGTCTCACTCTGTCACCTGGGCTGGAGTGCAGTGTTGCGATCTCGGCTCACTGCAACCTCCGCCTCCTGGGTTCAAGCGATTCTCCTGCCTCAGCCTCCGAGTGACTGGGATTACAGGCGCCCACCACTACGCCCAGCCACTCTTTGGTATTTTTAGTAGAGGCGGGGTTTCACCAAGTTGGCCAGGCTGGTCTTGAACTCCTGGCCTCGTGATTCGCCCACCTTGGCCTCCCAAAGTGCTGGGATGACAGCTGTGAGCCACCGTGCCCGGCCTGAAACCTCATCTCTCTTAAAAAAAAAAAATGCAAAAAATTAGCTTGGCATGTTGGCATGTGCCTGTAGTCTCAGTTACTTGGGAGGCTGAGGTGGGAGGATCACGAGGGCCCAGGAGGTCGAGGCTGCAGTGAGTGGTGACAGCGCCACTGCACTCCAGTGTGAGCAAGAGTGAGACACTGTCTCAAAACAAAACAAAAAGCCAGGCGCGGTGGCTCACGCCTGTAATCCCAGCACTTTGGGAGGCCGAGGCAGGTGGATCATGAGGTCAGAAGTTCAAGACCAGCCTGACCAACGGGGTGAAACCCCATCTCTACTAAAAATACAAAAATTAGGCCGGGCACAGTGGCTCACACCTGTAATCCCCATACTTTGGAAGTCTGAGGCGGGCAGATCGCCTCAGGTCAGGAGTTCGAGACCAGCCTGGCCAACATGGTGAAACTGTCTCTACTAAAAATACAAAAATTAACTGAGTGTGGTGGCTTTCATGCGCGTCCGTGTGAAGAGACCACCAAACAGGCTTTGTGTGAGCAATAAAGCTGTTTATTTCACCTGGGTGCAGGTGGGCTGAGTCCGAAAAGAGTCAGCGAAGGGAGATAGGGGTGGGGCTGTTTTATAGTATTTGGGAAGGTAATGGAAAATTACAGTCAAAGGGCGGGCAGGAGTGGGGGGTCGCAAGGTGCTCAGTGGGGGTGCTTCTGAGCCAGGAGAAGGAAATTTGCAGGGTTAATCACTCAGTTAAGGTGGGGCAGGAACAAATCACAATGGTGGAATGTCATCAGTTAAGGCGGGGCAGGGCCTTTTCACTTCTTTTGTGATTCTTCAGTTACTTCAGGCCATCTGGGTGTATATGTGCAAGGCACAGGGGATGCGATGGCTTGGCTTGGGCTCAGAGGCCTGACAGTGGCACACGCCTGTAATCCCAGCTACTTGGGAGCCTGAGGCAGGAGAATCACTTGAACCCAGGAGGTGCAGGGTGCAGTGAGCCGAGATCGCCCCACTGCACTCCAGCCTGGGCAACAGAGACTCCATCTCAAAAAAACAAAAAAAAAAGCACAGGTCCCCTCCCTCAGTCCTGCAGACTTCCTCAAGCTGGGAAGGACCAAGGATTTTGGGAAATAACTCCACCGGCTTACAGACAGTGCACCCCAGGACAAAGAGTCATGGTGTAAATTTTAATTATCCTTTGTAGAGGCTTCAAAAAAAAAAAAATCTAGAGTGCAGAGGTTCAGTCTGGTCCACACAGTTCTGAATGCCTTTTAATTATCATCACACACACCAGAGAAGGTCATCTTAGAATATTTAATCAGTTAGCACTAGATGAAGGCTGGAGTAGGAGAGACTGGGATAGTGGGGGGCAATGTGGGGATGGAGGCAGGGCGAGGGAGATAAAGTCAAACTGGTTTTTTTTTTGTTTTTTTTTTTTTTTTTTTTTGGAGACAGAGCCTTACTCTGTCGCCCAGGCTGGAGTGCAATGGTGTGATCTCAGCTCACTGCAACCTCTGCCTCCTGGGTTTAATCGATTCTCCTGCCTCAGCCTCCCAAGTAGCTGGGATTACAGGCACCCACCACCATGCCCAGCTAATTTATTTGTATTTTTTTAGTAGAGACAGGGTTTCACCATGTTGGCCAGGCTGGTCTCGAACTCCTGACCTCAGGTGATCCACCCGCCTCGGTCTCCCAAAGTGCTGGGATTATAGGGGTGAGCCACCGTGCCCAGCTAAGATATTTCAATCTGTGAATAACCCATATGGCCTGGTAACAGCAAGCACCTGGGAATATATACATATAACCCACATACGGACTGTCCCGTTCACTCCTCACAACCACTCTGCTAACATACTACCATCACCCCATTTTAGAGATGAGGAAACTGAGGCAGAGGTGCCTTGCCTAAGGTTTACATAGTTCCATTTGAGTGCCTACATGGGAGTGCTTCATTTGGTCCCCAAAGCTAGCCTGAGACAAGAACTTTCTTCTCCCCCCCCCGCAAGAGACAGGCTCTTCCCATGTTGCCCAGGCTGCTCTCCAACTCCTGGCCTCAGGCGATCCTCCCACCTCGGCCTCCTGAAGTGTTGGGATGACAGCCATGAGCCACTGTGCCTGCCCAGTTATTATTTTATAAATGTAGAAACCGAGGCACTGAGAGGTAAAGTAACTTGCACAGGATCACAAGCCAGCCGAGAAGTGGTAGAGCTTGGATTTGAACTTACACAATCTGGGACTCATACTCTTAATACACAGTGGTACTGTCAATACAGGAGACACATGTGGCTATTTAATTAAAAGTAGTTGGGCAGAGTGGCTCACTCCTATAATCTCAGCATTTGGGGAGGCCAAGGCAGGAAGATTGTTTGAGCCCAGAAGTTCAACACTGCAGTGAGCTATAGTTACACCACTGTGCTCCAGCCTGGGCGACACAGCGAGACCCTGACTCCAAAAAAAAATCTTAAGGTTTTTTTTTTTTTTTTTTTTTTTTTGAGACAGGGTCTCGCTCTGTTGCCCAGGCTAGAATTTAGCGGCACGATCACAGATCATCACAGCCACGCACGACCTCCTTGGCTCAAGGGATTCCTCCCACCTCAGCCTCTCACGTAGCTGGGACTACAGGTATGCATAACCTCGCTGGGCTCGTTACTTTGTTTTTTTTTTAGAGGCAGGATTTCACCATGTTGCCCAGGGTGGTCTCGTACTCCTGGATTCAAGCAATCCTCCTGCTTCGGCCTCCCAAAGTGTCAGGATTACAGGCGTGAGCCACTGTGCCCAGTCTCAAACAAAATTAAAAATTCAGTTTCTCAGTCACACTAGCCACATTTCAAGTGCTCAGAAACTTTATGTGGGGCCAGGCATGGTGGCTCATGCCTGCAATCCCAGCACTTTGGGAGGCCGAGGCGGGCGGATCACGAGGTCAGGAGTTCGAGACCAGCCTAACCAACATGGTGAAACCCTGTCTCTACTAAAAAAATACAAAAATTAGCCGGGCGTGGTGGTGTGCGCCTGTAATCTCAGCTACTTGGGAGGTTGAGGCGGGAGCATTGCTTGAACCCGGGAGGCGGAGGATGTGGTGAGCCGACGTCGTGCCATTGCACTCCAGCCTGGGCAATAAGAGCGAAACTCCGTCTCAAAAAAAAAAAACAAAGGTTTATGTGGCCACTGGCTACTGTACTGGACAGTACAGACCTAGAACATGAACCAAACATCACAGAAAGTTCCAGTGGAGAACACTGCTACATATCTGCCTGTTTTAGTTAGAAGCCAACATTTTATTTTTATTTTATTTTATTTTTTGAGATGGAGTTTCGCTGCTGTTGCCCAGGCTGGAGTGCAATGGTGCGATCTCGGCTCACCACAACCTCCGCCTCCCAGGTTCAAGCAATTCTCCTGCCTCAGCCTCCTGAGTAGCTGGGATCACAGGCATGCTCCACCACGCCCAGCTAATTTTGTATTTTTAGTAGAGATGGGGTTTCTCCATGTTGAGGCTGGTCTTGAACTCCTGACCTCAGGTGATCCACCCACCTCAGCCTCCCAAAGTGCTGGGATTACAGGCGTGAGCCACTGCGCCCCGCTAGGAGCCAACATTTTAAAATAGGGAGATTTAATATAAAAATCCCTATTTTAGCTGGGCACAGTAGCTCACACCTGGAATCCTAGCGCTTTGGGAGGCCAAAGCAGGAAGATTGCTTAAGACTAGGAGTTTGAGACCAGCTTGGGCACCAAGACCCCATCTCTACAAAAAAAAAATTTGTTTAAATTAGCTGGGTATGGTAGCACGCACCTGTAGTCCCCAGGAGGGTACTCAGGAGGCTGAGGCAGGAGGGTCACTTGGAGATCACTTGAGCCGGGAGGTCAAGGCTGTTGTAAGCTAAGATCACATCAATGCACTCCAGCCTGGGCAACAGTGAGACCCTGTCTCAAAAAAAAAAAAAAAATATTCCCAAGTTCTTGCTTCTTTTGAACAACTGGCGTGTCAAGCAACTCCAGGCCCCCTTTACCCCAGGGCCACACTGGCTGGAGCCAACCAGCAGCTGGCCTGTTGAGAGGGGTAATCTCTGGTCCACCAGAGGCCCACTAGGCCCATAACACATTCTCTCCACAGTAGCCTGGCAGCTACCTGTCTTTAAAGCCAAGTGCCATCCTCTCTTCCCTTCTCCACAGATGAGGAGTCTGTGGTCAGAGGGAGATGTATTTTTCACAGATCACGCAACACACAGGAAGACACAGCGAGGGTTTTTAGATTCCGAGACCAGGGTGAAAAATCTGCTCTGATCCAACAAAGCACCCCCACTGTGCTTGGCAGCCGATCAGCCACTGTGGGACGATGACCCAAGAGTCCCGGACCTCACCCTGATGCCCCCATCTGGAGACTCTCGGGACACAGCAGGTGTGGCGTCTGGGATGTACTTTATTGGACAAGTGGTGGCCCAAGTCTTGGTCTGGAAGCACTGGGGCCCTGGACCCAGGCACTGAGTTTGAGGAGGCCCAGAGTTCAGGGCTGTTTGGAGCGAGGCCACAAGCGGCTGGTGAGGGAGCCAAGGAAGAGGTTCTGCTTGTTGGACTTGGAGAGCTCGGCCAGGCGCTGCTGCTCCTCCTGGGGTAGGGGGACAGTTGGAGGAGAGGGTCAGCGCAAGGTGGACAGAGCCTCCTCCCAGATGCCCAGGTCCCCAGGCCTCAGCCCAGGGACCACCTTTCCTTCTGACTTCTGCCAAGTCCAGACCCCTTTCCCCAAACCCTGGGGCCCCCAGCCCAGACACAAGGGACCCTAGACCCCAGTCCCCCCACCCCAGACACTAGGAAGAGCCAGCTCTGAGCCGCAGGAGCCTAGGCTTCAATGTTTGGGGGACGACAGACTCCAATACTAGGCACTCGAGGTATTCAGGCCTGAACTGCAGTAGGTTCTCAGGCCCCAGACTGTCATAATCTCCTTCCCCAGATCCCAGGGACCCCTCCCCTGAGCCTGAGATCCTATCGCAGACCCTGTTACCCCAAGGTGAATGCTGGTGAGATCCCAGGTCCAAACCCCATGGCCCTCCTCACCAGACTGCATCATCCTGCCCCTGGGCCCTCTGAGCCCCATGACCCCTCTCTGGATGCAGGGGTGGGGGGTTCCCTGGGGGGTCCCCAGGCCCAAATCTCTAGGGACTTCTCTGGGCACTCAGGGGCTCCCAACTCTAGGAACCTAACCTAGAATCTGGTGAACCTCAGCCTAGACCCCTGGGAATCTTACCCAGACGCAATCCATACTCTCAGTCCCACTTCCAAATTACCAGGGTCCCACCAAGACTATCACATCTCTCCCCACAGCCTTGGGCCACGTGCCCAGGGAGCCTCTTTCCAGGCCTGATCTAAAACCCACAATCCACCTCCACAAGGTGCCCCCAGACCTACTCAAGACCATCAAGGGCAACCCCTCTCCCAGCCTAATCTCAAATCCTCTCCTGTTTCCTGTTCTCAGAGCAGGCTGCAGAATCAATGCATCCCCTCATTCTGGCAGCCCTACAGGACAGGCTGTGTTATATCCCCCTGGTTACAGAGACTGAGGCAGAGAGGAGGTATCTGCTCAGGGTCACACAGCCAAACCAAGAGTGTGGAGATGGACTGCCCCAGGCTCCTCCTTCAGGAGCCTCAGAGCCGATCCTCCACTCTGGGCATCTGAGCACCAACCTGCTCTAGCCGGCTTTGCCGCTGTTTGAAAGCCGCCAGCGGGTCATCCTCCAGGGCATAGTGCTCCAGCACGGTTCGCACGTCCTCCACACCATTCAGTGCAATGGCTGTGGGCACAACAGGGGGTGGTCAGCCAGGCTTCTAAAGGCCAGAGGGAGGCAGGGCCCATGAGGGGAACGTCCCGCACTGGGGCACGGGGGCAGTCAGTGCTACCTGGAATGCTTCTGAACGCTCTGAAAGGGCTCCCCTGAACATCCCCAAGTATCCCCCAAACATTCCATGAACATCCTAAGAAGCTCCTAAAGACTCCAAGGTGCTCAGGCACCTCTTGCACCTCAGTCGCCCAGCCATGAATCATGCATTTATCCTTCCTCTTCAGAGTCAGGGGCTCTGGGGTCAGAGGCCAAGGGATCAGGGGTCAGCCTTACTCTTGAGGAAGGCAGACAGATCCAACAAGACCCGGTCATCAGAGTTGCCGTCCCAGGGCCGCAGGGCAACGCCGTTATAGGGCTGCAGGCGGAAGGCTTCCTTCTTGCAGTCCACAACTACTACTCGAGCTGGGTCCCGATTCAGACATGAAATATCCTGGAAGTGAGTGACAGATCAGGTCAACATCTGTGCCCAACTCTCCCCCCATCAAGAAGACCCAAAACACACAAAACATACATACATACACAGCATCACACATACTGGGATCACAATGGCAGGGCCTCTCAAAGACCGGCTTTGGATGATGGCATCGACCCCCACAGAGGGCCAGGCATGGTGGCTCACGCCTGTAATCCCAGCACTTTGGGAGGCCGAGGCGGGCGGATCACCTGAGGTCAGGAGTTCAAGACCAGCCTGGCTAAAATGGTGAAACCCCGTATCTACTAAATACAAAAAATGGCCGGGTGCGGTGGCTCACGACCGTACTCCCAGAATTTTGGGAGGCCAAGGTGGGCAGATTGCCTGAGCTCAGGAGTTCAAAACCAGCCTGGGCAACATGGCGAAACTCTGTCTCTACTAAAAATACAAAAAATTAGCTGGGTGTGGTGGTGTGTGCTTGTAGTCCCAGCTACTCGGGAGGCTGAGGAAAGAGAATCGCTTGAACCTGGGAGGGGGAGGTTGCAGTGAACCAAGATCGCGCCACTGCACTCCAGCCTAGGCAACAGAGCGAGACTCCGTCTCACAAAAAAAATAAATAAATAAAAATAAAAATAAAAATTAGCCAGGCATGGTGGTGTGTGCCTATAGGCCCAGCTACTCAGGAGGCTGAGGTGGGAAGATCGCTTGAGCCCAGAAGGTTGAGACTGCAGTGAGCCATGTTCATCACACCACTGCACTCCAGCCTGGGTGACAGAGCAAAACCCTGTCTCAGAAACAAAAAACAAAACAACCCCCAGGATATTGGGGAGCTAATCACATAGACTTCTAGACCCAGGGCCTAGCACACAGAGAGGTGATTAGGAAGTTCCCTGGAGAGGGAGGTGGCCACTCTCGTGTTTAACCCCTGCCCAGGTGACTGTGGTATGTTGCAGGTTTAAGAACCTCTCACTCAAGTAAACAGGTGCAGACAGATCTGCAGCCACACCCAGGGAACCACACAGACAGGCACCCAGACACAGACCCTTCAAGACCCTCGATCACAGCCCACGTATTTTGGAATTTCCAAGAGCAACACAGAACCCCCACCCCGACACGACACAGACAGAAACCAACAGACACACAGACACTTGGAGCCAGACCCACAGAGGCCCATTCGCAGATCCGGACTCCTGAATACAGCACTGGCCACAGTAACAGAGCCCGGGTCAAACAAACCCCAACCAGTCTCATATGTACAACTATAAGCAAACCTTCCCAGAAACACTAAGTTACAGACACAGCAAGATAAAACCAGCTTCTAAATCGTACGACCTTACCACTAACCCCCAACTGTCTTCTTTAGAGAGACCCCATTTCCCCCCACTCCCACACCCAGATTCCAGGGAACAAAGAAGGGTGCAGATGTCTGGCCAAGGCTAGAGGCAGGCATGTGCCTGCCAGCAGGAATCGAATCTGGGCAGAACCATAAGCCAGGTGAGGCTAGGGTCAGAGCTGGGCCCTCCTTCCCTCAGGTGGTGCCAACTCCGCCAAATCCCAGAGGCCCACCCATGAACCCACGGCACCTTTACATGGTGTCCATCCATGTATCTTGTGGCGTCCCGGAATAGGCGGTAGGAGATGAAGCCATGGGGGTCCACACTATCAATGAGTGGAAACGCAGTCTGGGGGTGGGAAGGGAGCGAGAAAAGGTCAGGCTGAGCCCTGGTCCTCCAGATCTCTACGCCTCCCACCACACCAATATTCCCTCCCCTGCCCCAGAGCCTCACCATGCCAGTCTCTGACGTAAAGATGACAATTTCATATAAAGGGGCAAGCTGCTGGAACAAGGTCTCGATGCCTGGGCGCTTCTTAAACCTCCAGCCAGTGGCCAGCTGGGAAGACAGTGAGGACAGTGAAACACCAAGACCCAGAGGTCCTCAGAGTCCCCAAGAGGACAAAGATCCAGCCTGGGGGATTCCCAGAACAGAGTTCTCTCCCTCTGTCTCTGTGGCTCTTGGAGGTCAAGAAGTTCATAGGCTGTGACTGCGGGTCTGGCTCCTTTGTGGCACTTATAGCGTGCCTGGGCACACCTACACTACCCTACAGAGTGGGTGTTAGCATGACTGCCTTCTCCCAGCTGAAGAAAGCGAGGCAATGACAGGTGACATCTCCTCCCCAAGATCACATAGCACAGCCAGGGCTGAAAGTCCACCTCATCACAACCCCACTGCCCAGGTCTATCCCCAACCCACTGGGTTTCCCGGGACACACCGACCACTCAGGATGCAAGAGGACGCCGGTGAGCTCCAAAACGAGCGTGTAGGGTGGCTGGTAGTACGGTTCCTGCAGAGGGTCTGGGAGAAGGCAAGGGCTGGTGGGCTCGATGATCATCTGTGGGAGAGGGACAGGATGGGGGCGCTCAGACAAGGAGGCCAGGGCTGGAGACATGGGGACTGAGCCCAGGGCTTCTGCTCACCTGTCTATAATCTTTGAAATATTTGTATGTCCGGCGCAACTGCTGTACCAGAATTGGATCTAGGAGAACACCAGGCACAAAGAGATTCCACAATAAGCCGCTGTTCAACCTCCCAGACAAACCAGGGGTTTCTTATCTACCAGATACAAACAGGTCTGCATATCTGCCTGGTTTGAACCAACTCATTTCTAGGTCCAAAGATAGAAGGCAATGACATACCGCCAGATAGGAACACAGATTTATTTACTTGCCCTATTTTAAGCTGATACTTATATCCACATACTACCCCAGGTATGAAACAGAATGCTTATTACATTGGCCCACTTAAAACCCACATACAAGGCCGGGCACGGTGGCTCACGCCTGTAATCCCAGCACTTTGGGAGGCCGAGGCAGACGGATCACGAGGTCAGATCAAGACCATCCTGGCCAACATGGTGAAACTCTGTCTCTACTAAAACAGTAAAAAAAAAAAAAAATTAGCCGGGCGTGGTGGCATGTGCCTGTAGTCCCAGCTACCTGGGAGGCTGAGGCAAGAGAATCACTTGAACCCGGGAGGTGGAGGTTGCAGCGAGCCGAGATTGCACCACTGCACTCCAGCGTGGCAACAGAGTAAGACTCCGTCTCAGAAAAAAAAAAAACAAAACAAAACCCACATACATGTAAATCTGCTGACATTACACCAGGGTATACATACTTTTTTAATAGAGACAGGGTCTTGCTCTGTTGACCGGGCTGGTCTTGAACTCCTGGGCTCAAGTGATCCTCCCGCCTTGGCCTCCCAAAGTGTTGGGATTACAGGCGTGAGCCACCACACCTAATTTATGCCACTGTATTTTGCCCACTTTGAATCACTAGGCTTCCAGATCTGCCCACTTTAATCCAGTGTGCTGAATCTAAACCACAATAAATATATAAACACATCCATATACCATAAAACAGTGGTTCAGAACTAGGAACAATTTTGTCTATCTGCCTACCCCTGGGAAATCTGGCAATGCCGGGAGATATAACCGGTTATCGCAATACTGGCATCTAGTAGGCAGATGCCCAGGATGCTGCAAAAATCCTTCAATGCACAGGGCAGTCCTCTATAATTATCTGGTCCAAAGCGTCAATAGGGCCAAGGGTGAAAAACCCTGGTTTAAGTGAATATATTGACTCCAGTTTACTTTCTCATTTTAACTTATTTTTTTTTAGAGATGGAGACTCACTCTGTCATCCAGGCTAGAGTGCAGTGGCGGGATCACAGCTCACTGCAGCCTGTAACTTCCAGGCTCAAGTGATCCTCCCACCTCAGCCTCCTGAGTAGCTGGGACCACAGGCACAGGCCACCACTCCCGGCTAATGAATCCAGTATAAAACAGTAAACTTACAAGGCTACCTACTTTAATACAGTATTTTTAGTGCAATACATGGGCCTGCCTCTTAAAAAAAACACAATATATTGGGCCAGGAGTGGTGGCTCAAGCCTGTAATCCCAGCACTTTGGGAGGCTGAGGCGAGTGACCACCTGAAGTCAGGAGTTCGAGACCAGCCTGACCAACATGGTGAAACCCTGTCTCTACTAAAACTATAAAAATTAGCTGAGTGTGGTGGTGTGCGCCTGTACTCCCAGCTACTCGGGAGGCTGAGGCACGAGAAATGCTTGAACCCAGGAGGTGGAGGTTGCAGTGAGCCAAAATTGCATCACTGCACTCCAGCCTAGGCAACAGAGCAAGACTATGTCTCAAAAAAAAATAAAAATAAAAATAAACCACAATATTGAAACCAGTTAGGCTAGTAAACATATACACTTTAAAACTGCAGATGTACCTGCCCAATTTAAATCAGCATACTGATTTGTTGAAGCCAGCATGATTCTACAACTGCCCAGTTTGAAACAATCAATGTATTAACATGACTGTTTGCAAACATCCCCCAGCATAAACAGGTGGCTTTCTGGACCCACCAATTTCATTTTTCTCCTAGGAAGAGCCAGGTGTGACAGGATTGACAGCTACTCTCTACTATCCAATTTGTCATCTACTTCACCACCAAAAGCTGGTTAACCAGAAGGGGAGAGAGGAAGGCGGCATAGTTTTGAAAATGAGCCTAATGGGGTAGGGGCTCGAGGGGGATGGGGAAGGAGTTGGGAACCGCAGATGCTTGGTCTAAGGCACAGGAACCCATGTGTCTGGAGATAGGCCACCCTGTGTCCCCAAGCCCTCCCACCCAAGGCTCCAATCCCCCATCTGTCTCTGACCATCTGCTCGGGGCTGAGGGGCCAGGGAAGTGGGCTTGGGCTTTGTAATGTCCCTCCCCACAAAGCCATCCAGCTGCTGGCTCCCCCACCTCCCCAGTGGAAGGAGGAGGGGCCGGAGACACCAGATGGGGAGAGAGACATCCTTACAAATGACAGAGTTGAGAGGGTCAGGGACTCCAGAATCTGTGCTTGTTTACTCACCATTGTCGAACTCATCAGGAATCTGGGAGGTAGAGAGAAAAATGGAAGGTTTAGGATGTCAGAGGCAGAACCCCATCACATACAGAAAAGGAATCTCCAGGACCCCAAGAGGAACAGGCAAAGGTCACTGGGAAAGAAAGGCTCACTCCAGACCAGCAATGTGCCTGAACAGACCAAAGGGGACCCCTCTCACCCACAGACTAGGACTCCTGGCAAGGCCTCGGTCTCTTTCCCCCTCACCTTGGCACCATTTTCGTCCACCGGGTTGTTTCCTGCAAGGGAGACCAGGATGAATATGAGGAATTAGGGCCCAGTCCCCTGGGTCCCGAGGGAGGAGTGGGATAAGGGGCCTGGACTCCTGGATCTGAGGAAAGAGAGAGGCACAGCCTCCTGGAGTCAAGCCAGGAGGGGGCTGGGAGCCAAGATTCCTGGGTCTTTGAGAGAAATGGGGCTGGGGCTAGGTCTTTTGGGTCTGTGGGATTTTTTTTTTTTTTTTTGAGACAGAGTCTCGCTCTGTTGCCCAGGCTGGAGTGCAGTGGCACGATCTCGGCTCACTGCAAGCTCCGCCTCCCGGGTTCACGCCATTCTCCTGCCTCAGCCTCCCGAGTAGCTGAGACTACAGGCGCCCGCCACCACACCGGGCTAATTTTTTTTTGTATTTTTAGTAGAGATGGGGTTTCACCGTGTTAGCCAGGATGGTCTCCGTCTCCTGACCTCGTGATCCGCCCGCCTCGGCCTCCCAAAGTGCTGGGATTACAGGCGTGAGCCACCGTGCCCGGCCGGGTCTGTGGGATTTAAAGTAACTAGTGGGAAGGCTGGATTTTTGGCTGCTGAGGAAAGACAAAGTTTAGGAAGCTGATCCAGGCCTATCCTTCCCCATCTTCCCCTCTTTCCTTTATCCTGGTACAGGAACCAACTAGAAAGACTAGAACCTTAAGGAGTGGAAGGGAGAAGAAAGAAGACTTCCCTGGTTTTCAAGGTAGGTGTCTTATTTGGCTGCCCTATTGAGGAAGGAGCCAGGGAATGAAGACGAGAGAAGCTGGTAGTGGGCAAGAGTGGGAGGTTCCACAGTGGACCAGGGAGGCCAAGGAACAAAACTGGGGGACAGGGATATGTCCCTCACCAAAGATATAGACGACGCTCACAGTCCCACCAGCTCCAAGCAGCCCAGCAAGCCAGAGCGCAACTTTTTTGGCATAGCTGGGACCCTCTGAGCCCGGCTGCTGCTGTGGCCCTTGCGCCTTAGTGCTCCCGCGGCTCCCGATCTCTGCGGCCTGCGGTTGAGAAAGGGGAGGTCAGCCAAGAGAGAAGAGAGGTCAGGATGGTCCCCACCCTCCAGTCCAAGAAGAATCAAGTTCAGGAGCCAAGAGGCAGACACCCACAGAGCCCTGGACATCTGTGTCCCTGGAGTAGCAGTCAGGATGTGGGGCTGCTCAGAGGGTCAAAACCAGACTGTCCCGCACCAGGATGCCAGGAGTTTTAAAAGCTAACAGGCCAGGTGCACAGGATCCTGAAGGCAACAGGACTGGAGGGTCTGCAGCCCAGAAAAGCAAAGCACGGAGAATAAGGGATGGGAGGGCCTAAACACTGGGATGAGAGGGAACGGAGGGCACAAGTGGTGGGGGAAGGGGTACAGACAGAACCGGGAGTTACGACGTCCGGCTGCTTGGGGCTAAAAGTAGCAGAGTTATAGGGTAAGGGATAGGAGCGGAGGCGGGGAAGGGCAATCACTTGTCTGGGGCTTGGGGAACTAAGGCACAGAAGTGATAGACTTGGAGGTCAGAATGGCTGGGTCTCTGTCAACATGGAGGCAAGTCGAATTGGAAACCCAAACGTCTACCTCGCCACCACCAACGCCACAGAGAAAATAACTCCCACGGCCAGACTGGGACTCCAGCGTCCCAGGCCCCTCCTGCTCAAGTA
The DNA here is from genome assembly GCF_000001405.40 of Homo sapiens. Taxonomy (NCBI): domain Eukaryota; kingdom Metazoa; phylum Chordata; class Mammalia; order Primates; family Hominidae; genus Homo; species Homo sapiens. The sequence goes on along the minus strand of NC_000019.10, from coordinate 39,481,233 downwards.
TCACCTGAGTGGTCACTGAAACGGGGAACGGTAACCCCCTCCTCCTCCGGCACCCACGTGGGTGGGAGGTGGGGTCTAAGGACACACCTGGATTCCCAGCCTCCAGCCTAGGGGAGCAACCACCCAGGAGGTTGGGAAGGGCCCCAAAACACAAGCGGCGTTTCATTCAGCACCCTGAGGTGAGGCGTCCCGGAACCCCCAAGGGGCGGCGATATGTCCGTAACTCCAGGGAAGGGACCCCACATTCAGAGGGCCACCCTCGTTCCGCTCACCTGATCTGGGGCCCGGCGGGGCGGCGTCGCCAACCTCGTGCACAGTCCCCGCGAGCCGAGCCGGAGCCCGCTTCGCAAGCGCGAGAACACCGCTGCCGAGGCCGCCATCTTGCGCTGACGCCACGCGGCCCCGCCCACTCGCTCCCTCTTCGCCCGCCCCGGGCCGGAGCTACAGCCAATGGAAACGCGGGGGAGGGGCGGGTGGACGGAAGCCCGAGAGAGACCAAAGGCATCGGGCGGATTGCCGCAGGCGCGTTTGCTTCTGACTAGTCTCCTGGCTGACCCTGGGGGCGACAACTGGGATTCAAAGTCATCTGGACCACGCCCCCTTGGGCCTTGCAGAGCGCCACCGCCCCTGCAAAGGACGCAGCGAAGGAAGGGATCACACTTATTGCCCAGAGATAAAGCTGAGGCCATAATGAAGGGAGTCAGTGGCTGCCTGATTTGTCCAAAAAAATAGTCACGAGTCAGGCCGCTTGTCTCACCGTGTAAGGCAATCGGCCCTCACCTCCCAATTGTCTGAAGGGATGGGTTGCCCCTCCACACCTGTGGGTGTTTCTCGTTAGGTGGAACGAGAGACTTTGGAAGAGAAAAAGACACAGAAACAAAGTATAGAGAAAGAAATAAAGGGGGCCCAGGGGACCAGCGTTCAGCATACGGAGGATCCCTCCAGCCTCTGAGTTCCCTTAGTATTTACTGATCATTCTTGGGTGTTTCTTGGAGAGGGGGATGCGTCAGGGTCATAGGATAATAGTGGAGAGAGGGTCAGCAGATAAACACGTGAACAACGGTTCATAGACAAGGTAAAGAATTAAATGCTGTACTTTAGATATGCATACATATAAACATCTCAGTGCCTTACAGAGCAGTATTGTTGCCCGCATGTTCCACCTCCAGCCCTAAGGCAGTTTTCCCCTATCTCAGTAGATGGAACATACAATCGGGTTTTATACCAAGACTTGCCCAGGGACGGGCAGGAGACAGATGCCTTCCTCTTGTCTCAACTGCGAAGAGGCGTTCCTTCCTGTTTTACTAATCCTCCTCAGCACAGACCCTTTACGGGTGTCGGGCTGGGGGACGGTCAGATCTTTCCCTTCCCATGAGGCCATATTTCAGACTATCACATGGGGAGAAACCTTGGACAATACCTGGCTTTCCTAGGCAGAGGTCCCTGCGGTCTTCCGCAGTGTTTGTGTCACTGGGTACTTGAGATTAGGGAGTGGTGATGACTCTTAAGGAGCATGCTGCCTTCAAGCATCTGTTTAACAAAGCACGTCCTGCACAGCCCTTAATCCATTTAACCCTGAGTTGACACAGCACATGTTTCAGAGAGCACGGGGTTGGTTATAGAGAACCCCGTCATCTATAACAGGGTATGGTTATAGATTAACAGCATCTCAAGGCAGAAGAATTTTTCTTAGTACAGAACAAAATGGAGTCTCCTATGTCTACTTCTTTCTACACAGACACAGTAACAATCTGATCTTTCTTTTCCCCACATTGTCAGAAATAGACATTGAGGCCCAGAAAACGACCTGAAAAGCCAGCCCTCGAAAACTCTTCTGGCCAGGCGCTGTGACTGACACCTATAATCCCAGTGCTTCGGGAGGCCGAGGCAGGAGGATCGCTTGAGGCCAGGAGTTTGAGACCACACTGGGTAACATAGCAAGACTGCAATCTCTATTTTTAAAATTAATAATAATAGGCCGGGCGCAGTGGCTCATGCCTGTAATCCCAGCACTTTGGGAGGCTGAGGCAGGCGGATCACCTGAGGTCAGGAGTTTTGAGACCAGCCTGGCCAACATGGGGAAACCACGTCTCTACTAAAAATAACAAAAAAAAAAAAAAATTAGCCAGGCATGATGGCACGCGCCTGTAGTCCCACCTACTGGGGAGGCTGAGCAGAAGAATCGCTTGAACCCAGGAGGCAGAGGTTGCAGTGAGCCTAGATTGTGCCACTGCACTCCAGCCTGGGCGACAGAGGGAGACTCCGTCTCAAAAAAAATAAAATAAAAATTAATAATAAAACTCTTCCTCACGTGGAGCTGGGAGGCAGAATCTGTTTTCTCTCCCATTCCTTCCTGCCATGATTTTCTATAAAGGACTGGAGAGCCAACCATTTTACCTGAGGCTCAGCCAAAGAACAGCAGTATCTGGCTGTACAGGGCTTGAGTGAGAAACGAATTAGAGGCTATAGATAAGACACCACGAACCTCCCTTAAATTGAGTGGAAGAAAAATCAGATCCTGTTTATGTAAACTTTAAAACCAAATACCAAGGTAGTAAAAATACAAATTCAAGAAAGGGAAAGACACAAGGAACTCGGCCCTCCTGGTTACTTCTGGGGGAATGGATTTAGGGTGCTGCTGAAGTGGGTCCTATCTAGTACATATTGTTTCCTGTTTCCTCAGCTGGCTGATGGGGACATTGGTGTTCTTGGTATATAATCTTGAACGTCTGAAATGTTTTTTGGTGTTTTTTTTTGTTGTTGTTGTTGGTTTTTTTTGGTTTTTTGAGACAGAGTTTTGCTCTGTCACCCTGGCTGGAGTGCAGTTGGTGCAATCTCGGCTCACGGCAACCTCCACCTCCCAGGTTCAAGCGATTCTCCTGCTTCAGCCTCCCAAGTAGCTGGGAATACAGGCGCCCGCCACCATGCCCAGCTAATTTTTTTTGTATTTTTAGTAGAGACAGGGTTTCACCATATTGGTCAGGCTCGTCTCAAACTCCAGACTTCAAATGATCCGCCCCCCTCGGCCTCCCAAAGTGCTGGGATTACAGGCATGAGCTATTGCGCCCGGCCTGAAATGTTTTATAATACATTTACATTTGTAAAAAGACAGGAATATCTAACGAGGAAGGGAAACAGGTTCTGGGTACTAAGCCCCAGTCTCTAAGATTGCACTCACTCCTGCCCCCAAGTCATTGGATGAACTACAGCAATCCTGGTGTCACTGCTATCAGGGTTCAAGAAAAAGGACCGCTGAGCACTGTGGCTCACGCCTGTTATTGCAGCACTTTGGGAGGCCGAGGCAGAAGGATCACTTGAAGCCAGGAGATCGAGACCAGCCTGAGCAATATAGTGAGACCCGTCTCTATGAAAAACTTAAAAATAAAAAAATTATCCAGGCGTGGTGGCACACGCCTGTAGTCCCAGCTACTTAGGAGGCTGAGGCAAGAGGATCGCTTGAGCGCAGGAGGTTGAGGCTGCAGTGAGCAATGACTGCACCACTGAACTCCAGCCCGGGCAACAGAGGGAGACCCCACCTCAAACAGAAAAGAAAAAAAAAAGGATCATTGGCCAGGTGCAGTGACTCACGCCTGTAATACCAGCACTTTGGGAGGCCGAGGCGGGCGGATCACGAGGTCAGGAGTTCAAGACCAGCCCGGCCAACATGGTGAAACCCGTCTCTCCTAAAAGTACAAAAAAAAAAAAATAATAATAGCCAGGCGTGGTGGCTCACGCCTGTAATCCCAGCTACTCAGGAGGCTGAGACAGGAGAATTGCTTGAACCCAGGAGGTACAGGTTGCAGTGAGCCGAGATCATACCTCTGAACTTCAGCCTAGATGACAGAGAGAGACTCTGTCTCAGGGGAGGAAAAAAAAAAAAAAGGCCAGGTGCGGTGGCTCACGCCTGTAATCCCAACACTTTGGGAGGCCAAGGTGGGCGGATCACGAGGTCAAGAGATCAAGACCATCCTGGTCAACATGGTGAAACCCTGTCTCTACTAAAATACAAAAAAATTCGCTGGGTGTGGTGGTGCACGCCTGTAATCTCAGCTACTGGGGAGGCTGATGCAGGAGAATCGCTTGAACCCGGGAGGCGGAGGTTGCAGTGAGCCAAGATCGTGCCACTGCACTCCAGCCTGGTGAGAAAGCAAGACTCCATCTCAAAAAAATAAAAATAAAGAGAAAACAAAGAAAAAGGACCATCAAGCACTGTATCCTGCACCACAGGAGGAATTTAGGTTTCCTGGGGGATACTGTGATTTTCACTTAGCATAATTCATGCCTGAATAAGATATAATGTCATCAATCACATGACAAGCTCTACTCTGATCATCTCCTTCCGACGTCTTCTCATACACACTCCCCTCAAGAGCTCTCTGGGGCAGGCACTATCACTATTATCTAGATGGGAAAACAGATTTAGGTAGGGTCCAGTTATTTGCCCCAACCACAAAGCAAGGAAGTGGGGTCTGCAAATGACCCCACTTAAAAACAACACCCTCATTCCCACGGCATACACACACACACACACACACACACACACACACACACACACACACGCACTTTTAGACCAAACAGCTTCTTTTTATTGAAAGACGGTACAACAAAAGCAAGCTGTGGGGAGGAGGTACAGGAAGGTGGGGACCCTCCCCCAGACTCTACTCAGATTCCAATGAGCACCAGGGAGGGAAAAGATGGAAAACTAAAAGGAAAAACAAAAGGAAATCCAGAACAATCCGCCTAGCCCTGCAGGAGGATCTTGTGTCACAGCCAAGGGCCAGGGAAGGAAGGAGGATCACTCTTCATCCGACGAAGTCCACCGGCCCTGCCTGCTTCAGGCTTCCAGGAGCTTCCCCAGGAAGCGGAGGTTGAGGATCTTGAGCTGCTCATCAAGGTCCATACGGACAATGCCATCCTCACCATCAATGCTCAGTAGGACGCCCGTGGCTTCCCGATCCTCGCCCAGGATCACTTTCACCTGGGGGTGGGGGGAATATGGTCAGGGTCCATGTCAGCACCCAACGGCCCCATCTTATCTCCTTGCCCCCTGCCCTTACCTTGTTGTTCTTGGTGGGGGTGATAGGCTCCAGGTGCTCACTGGAAATGCTGACAACCTTCTCACTGTCCTTCAGGTACACAGAGCACATGCCCCCCTGGAGGATGGGGACAGCCTGGTCAGCCTGTCCTGCTCCCAACATGGGACTGAGGCCCATACTCCAGGGGACACAGGCTCAGGGCTCATTCTGAGAACTCAAGGTGAAATGGGGGCAGGAAAGGCCAAGGCTGGGCCTGGTTCCAAGGCCTGGGGCCTGTGGTGCATGTCAGGGTGGACAGGGTGACCCAATCAGCAAGGGAAGCATCAGAATGAAGCTAACAGGCAAAAAGGAGACTGCTTCTTGACTCTTCATGTCCCAAACTGGCCTCAGCGTCTTCCCCACACCTGCTCCTCTTCCTGGACCTGGTCTCAGGGACCGCCCCATGGTCTGCAGGCCCCACCAGAGCTCTGGACCTCATCTTGGTCACCTCCCTCACCAACAAGCCCCTAGCTCTGAGGCCTGGCCATTCAGCCCGTGAGGGTCTCTCCCACCTGCCTCCTGCCTCTTCCCCACAGCCCTGCCCCAGTGCAGCCCAACCTCCCCCTGGGGTCCCAGCCCAGTCTCCCCACCCCCAATCCATCACTGATGGAGAATTCCATACCACAGATCTGCTCCCACCCCTCTCCTGCTTAGATTCCTTCATGGCTCTCCGGCGCCCTCTGGACAGTCTAGGTCCTCCAGGCTGGTGCATGACAGGGCCCCAGCCAACTCTCTGGCCTCATCACTCACCATTTTTTTTTTTTTGAGGAGTCTTGCTCTGTCACCCAGACTGGGGCGCAGTGGCACGATCTCGGCTCACCACAACCTCCACCTCCTGGGTTCAAGCGATTCTCCTGCCTCAGCCTCCCAAGTAGCTGGGATTACAGGCATGCGCCACTATGCCCAGCTTTTTTTTTTTTTTTTTTTTTTTTTGTATTTTTAGTAGAGACAGGGTTTCACCACGTTGACCAGGCTGGTCTTGAACTCCTGACCTCAGGTGATCTGCCCACCTCGGCCTCCCAGAGTGCTGGGATTACAGGTGTGAAGCACTGCTTGGCCCCCTTTGGCTCTTTATGTTCCAGCCACAACAAACCCTTCAGCTCCTGGAATGTGCCCAGGTTCCCCTCACCTCCAGGCCTCTGCACATGCAGTTCCCTCCATTTGGAACTCACTCACCCCAGTCACTTTCCTTAGCTTACTCCTATTCATTTGTCAGGTCTTGGCTCAGATTTCTCCTTCCCCAGGCAGCCCTCCCTGATTCCCCGCTAAATCAGGTAAGATGCCTCCTTTGGGTTCACATAGCTCCCCTTGCCCTCTAGGCTTCCTCAATCCCAGCTCTGCCCACTCTGGGCTGTCACCATCTGGGGACAGGTCTGTCTCCAGTTTAGGGGGTACCAAGGAGAGGATGCCTGCTCACCCACCACCCTGGGCCCCACGTACCGTGACACTGCGGATGACACCTGTCTGTCCCACCACCTGTGTATCCAGGTAGGTGTCCCGCACCTTCACCTGAATGTCAGTGGTTACCCAGTCGCTGGAGTTCTGCTCGATGCCTGAGCCTGGCGTGTGTGGGTTGTAGCCACCAGGGGAGGGAGCTCCAGGTGTCATAGGACTGTAGCCAACGGGGCTCGGGCTGGGGCTAGCCTGCAGGGGAAAGAGGAAGTGTCATTGGGAATAGTCATCTGGCCTGGCCGACCCTATATGCCCAAAGTCACCCTAGCCCACCACCCTTCAGGGCAGGCAGGCAGACCATTACCTGATAGGCCATGGGCGACGGTGTAGGGTGGTAGCTGGCTGGGGAGTGGGTATTCTGGTAGCCTGCTGGGCTTGGCGCCACCTGGTGGTAGCTCTGGGGGCTGGGGCTGGGCTGGTAGGAACCTTGTGGGGAGGGGGCAGCATAGGGAGAGAACTGGTCTGTGTTGTACCTGCAGAGACAGGAGAGAAGGGGGCATTTGTTGGAGGAGGGAGGGGAAAAGAGGTGGTGGCAGTAGGAGGGTTTGGGCAGGGGTAGACGAGGGCAGGCCCCAGTGGACTCACATGGCCGGCGTCCCTGGCGTCTGCGGGTTGTATTGTGGGTTGACCTGTGGGGACGAGGGGTCTGGGTAGCCAGGTGTTTGGGGATTGGGGGTTCCCCCATAGGCCTGCGGGGACGGGGTGGGCTCATCATCGAAAGCATACTCATATTCTTCCTCAGCCCTGTTGGGAGAAAAGTCTGTTGACAGCGACTGTGGTGATAATGCGATGGATGCTTCCAGAACAGCACCCTACACCAGACCCCCAACTGAAGCAATTTCATTCTCACGGGAGCCCCATCCAGAGGCACTCCTGATGTTATTTCCCTTCCACAGCTGACACTGTGGTTGACAGAGATGAGGGTGCCCTCCCAAGGTCACTCCACCCAGGCAGTCTTTCTCCAGGCCCAAGGGTAACCACAATCACTACTGAGGTTGGGGATGGAGAGGAGGCCGCTTTGCCCCCGCCCCGCCATGCTATGCCTCCTCCTTCAAAGGGACCAGCCTGAGGCTAGGAGCAGAGAATGCTGGGTGGGCCCCACAAACCCCTCCAATGCCCCAGACACCCAGCATCATCCCTCACACACACCAGCACACACCAGAACCTGGGGAACCCTGGACTCACCGTGACGGCGTGTTGGGGTTGTTGGGGTCCCAGGCCCCACTCTGGGCAGGAGTGCGGCTGCCATCATGCAGGGGCGTCTGTGAGCCGTAGTGTGGGGTGCGGCTACCTGGAATGGGGGAAATGAGTGTGTCTGTCCTGTCCCTTCTCTAGGTCCCCCTAGCCCCTCTTCCCTGTCCCCTGCGGGCACTCACCATCCTGGAGGGGTGTCTGTGAGCCGTACATGGGTGTTCGGGAGCCAGAGCCATACATGGGCGTCTGGGAGCCATACATGGGCGTCCTCCCATAGGTCGAGGTCATGCCGCCCGGGCGCCGTGAGCCCCTGGGGACGCAGAGAACAAATGGGGTGAGCAGACCCCTCTCACTGCCTAGCAAGCCCCACCCTGGCCCTCCCCAGGCCCCGCCCGTACACCGTGGTGAGCCGCTGACGGTCCACAGAGATGGTCTGGCAGGTGGAGTGCAGCTCCACACGGGCCGTGGACTCTGTGGCATCTTTCACCACACCGATGTAGCCTGCAGGGGGACAGGAGGTCAGGCTGGGCAGGCTCTCCTTCACCATGCCCCTCCCCAGGCCTCCACAGGCCTCGCAGGTCACCTTTGTAGGGCCCCTGGGAGATGCGCACGGTCTGGCCGATGAGTTCGTTGTCCCTCCGGCCCCGGCCCCTGCTCATGCCACCACTGCCGCCACCTGGGCTACCAAAGCCGCCACGCTGACCTGGGGATTGGGGAGAATGTCACTGGTCCCCCACGGCTGTGCCCACAGCAAGGGCACCATCAGAACGTCCCCTTCACTTGCTTGACTCCTCCCTACTTGGGTTAAGAGCCTCCTCTGCCCACCCCTGCCCCATGGCTTTCCTATGGAAGCCCTGACCATTCTGGGCTGTCACTGTGGCGTCTACCCTCCTGTGGGTGGTGAACCCCTAATAGCAGTGCCCAGCCCAGCACAGGCACTCAGTGAGTGTAGGCTGAACAACCAAGTTCCTTCCAGCCCCTTCTACCCACCACATCCCCTGACCCTGAACCCCTCTCACCTCCAGCACTGGGGTGCATGGGGCTGCTGATCCGGGGACTCATAGGCGCAAAGCCACCCACGGTGAAGTTGGTCACATCACGGGGCTAGGATAGAAGCAAGGAGTGAACTGGCAGGCAGGGGATGGGGGAACCACAAACCACAGGAACTCATCATCCCACGTGCAGGGCCCTGAGGAGACCACCCAGCCACCCACACCCCAGGCCTGAATTCCTCTGTGACAGCTGGTCCTGCACACTTTCCTACAAGCCCCACCTCAGGGCCTTTGCACTTGCTGTTCCCCCAAAATGCTCACTCTCCATCCCTTCATTCAGGTCTCTGCTCCAATACTGCCTCCCACTGAGGCCTTTTTTACCCTCCTCTGTCTAAAACAGCAGCCCTGGTCACTCCCTGTCTCCTGAGCCCATTCTGTTTTCTTCACAGCGCTTGCTATCACCTCAAGCTGTACGATGGGTTTATCTGTCTGTCCACCTCTAGAGTATCAGCTCTGTGAGAGCAGAGTATTTTTGTCTTGTTCACCACTGGTTCTCCAGTGTCTGGCACCTAACAGGTGCTCAGTAAAATGAAATGAATAAATAACTTAAAATAACTTGGTGAACAGCTCAGAATCCCAAATAAACCTTCTCACTCTTTGCCAAGGACCTGACAATGACACTGCTCTCCTAATCCCTCACAAGCCCAATCTTATCACTTCTGGGGCCAGAGGAGGCTTGGAGAGCTGAGCCAGGTACCCAACGCACAGGGTCCTGCCATGCCCACCTCACCTTTGAGCCCCCAGCCAGCACCAGGTGGCGGGTCTTGCAGACAAACATGCCCCCGTTCTCCACCAGTTTCTTGCAATGTAGGAAGGCGAAGCTTCGGAAGAGATGGCGAATCTCCCCTTCTCGGCCCTAGCCGGGGAGAGAAGGGTCACTCTCTTGACCATGTCCCCCTCACCCCCAACCAACCAAATTCTTTCAGATGCAGCTCAAAAGCAGGAACTTGTACTCACTGAGTGGGGGCCATCAATGACCTTAACGATGTCTTTCACATGGATGTTGTTCTGCTCTGAGTCCAAGGCCACAGCAAAGCGGTTGTCCTTCTTCCGGGTCACAGCCTGATGTCTGACAGTCACCACCTTCCCGTACATGTTCAGCACCTACAGAGGGAGAGCAGGGAGGCTGTGGGGGTGAGAATGGGAAGGGGAGACACGGGGCAGGGGTTCCCTAAAGTGGGATAATCCTTCCTTGTGGGAGACAGTCCCAAGCTCCACAAGGCATCTCAATTCCCTGGCTGCGGGGCAGGCAGGCAGAGTGCCACCCTTTAGGTACTGGGTCAACCAAAAATGTTCCCAGTCATTCTAAAACACCCTTTGGAAGGAGACTCCACCCCCGATTGGGCAACAGGGACCTGAGAGATGGAAGAAGGGGCTGATAGCAACATTGTTCATCCATCATTCTGTGTCAGGCCCCGTAAGATTTCACTGAAGCCTCAAAACTTCCTCTGAGGTGGATTCTGTCATGATTTCCATCTTACAGAGGGAAACTCAGGCTCAGAGAGGGTGAGTCACTAGCCCAGGGTCAGACAGCACAGGAGCAACAAAGCCAAGATGTGGATGTGGAGTCCAGGATCCTAAGTACTGTGCTCCATGACTCCCACATCCATGAGGAAGGAGCAAAGGCAGGAGGGCACATGTGGCACTCCATCCTTGAGCGAGCAACAGCCACCAGGGTACAGATCTAACCTCAGGGAATCATTCACTATGAACAAAGTAGACGCTGCTCTCGTTTCCATTTTATAGGGTGTGAAAACAGGCAAGGGGAGGGATCAATGACTTGCCATGTGCCCACTATCAGCCATTCAGATGTAAGTGACAGAGCCAGATCTGCAACCCAGAGCAGTCTGGGGGCTCTGCCACCTCCCAGGATGAGGGGTTGAGGGACAGGAAGCCTCCTAAAAGCAAGTCCCCGCCACAGAGCACAACACACACACCTGGAAGGTCTCCCGTTCTAGTCGCACGATGACACCCACAGTCTGGGGATCCAGCTGCACCAGCTCGCCCCATTCATGCTGGCCCCCAACATCCACACCTGATGCTGTCTCTGAGCAGAGCTGCAGGTCCCGGGGGAGCACCTTCAGCTGCCAGGGATGGTGAAAGGGGTGAGGCCCAGTCCAGGTGGCTCGCCTACCTGGGTCTCCTCTTGGCACGTGCACCCTTCCCCGACCCTTCTATCCACCTACCTCATGCATGGTGAGGTCAGAGAACAGGATAACGAAATTCTCCTCCACCCGCACAATGAGGCCTGTGTCGCCCTCGAATCGGCCAGCAATCACCTTCACGTGGTCCCCCATCTTGAAGTATTTTCTAAGTTCCTGGGCTGGGAACTCCAACATGTCCTGGGGGATTGGGTGTGGGGACAACAAACAGGTGAAGGGAGACCACCACAACCTGCCTGCCCCTCCTGTCTTCAGAATCTACGCATGTTCTCAAAAACCCCACTTCAGGCTCTTACCACCCACCCCAGACTACCTTAGTCCACCTGGACGACCCCTCAGACTGCCCCAGAAACAGCTGACCCCAGACACAGGACACCAACCTGGACAACCTTTACCCCAGCCCGCCCTCAAGACACACGATGCCTACCTATACCCACACAGAGAGCCTGCCCCTCAGACACAGGACCCCCGACTGGACAGCTCCTCAGCCCCACCCGGAGACAGCCTCACCCCACACATCACACTGGGCCTGCACAACCCCTCAGACATACACCAGACACAGACAAACACACACCCCGCTCTAAGCAAACAAAGTCAAGCCTCAGATTACTCCTTGGTTAATCACACTCTCAACCCAGTACTACCCAGATATCTTGCTTTTCAGAAACAAAAGATAGACCAAGTCACTCTCCAGAGACAGACACCACCAGGCAGGCCTGCTGCCCACCGACCCTGAGCTGCACTCAGACAGAGCCTCTCAGGCACCTGAGAATGCTAGAAGGGCCTCAACTTACCCTCCTGGAAACCAGGTGTCACCAGGCACACCACCGCCTCGACAGCCACATACAGTCAGATGTGCCTGAACACTCCAACCCCTGCCCGAGAACACCGGGCACCCACCTTGAGGTCCTCATGCTTGGGCATGATGGTGATCTTGTTGCCATCCACGCTGAGGATCTTGCCCTGCAGGTTGATGAGCTCACCCTCACAGACCTCCACGTTGTCCCCAGGTTGGAAGTTGTGCTCCCGCTCCTTCCCTGCAGGGGCAGTCGTAGGGCTGACTCGGGGGTTGCCACCATGGGCCGCCCCTGCTCCTTGGCCCAGGTTATAGAGGGGGATCAAATACCTGTGCTCTCAGTCACCACCTCCAGGTCAATGCCCTCTGGCTGGTCCTCAAACTTTTCCAGCTCAGAGAGTGTTGGCTTCACACCCTCCGTGATCTAAGCCCCCAGCGGTGAGGGGAAGAGAAGGAAATGGACCGAGGTCAGTGCAACAGCCCAGCTGAGTGGGCTGAGTGGGTCCTAGGGGAATAATTCTCCTAGGGAACACTCCTAACTTGAGGAGTGGGACAGAACCAGATAACCCACAGCCCAGGGCATCACCTGCAGGAGAACACTCACACCACCCCCATTACCAACACCCCTCTGGGACCCTCACCACAGCAGACATGGCGAAGCTCTTGAACAGAAAGCCCTTCCGGCTGTAACGGTTCCCCTCAAAGATGAGGAAGTCACCATCAGAGGCAACATCACCCCCCAGGGACCTGGAATTTGATGGGGGAGAGAAGATTAGAAGGGAGAGTCAAGAAGAAAATCTTGCTGTACCTCAGTCTTCTCAGCTGGCAACAGAAGGAGAGGACCACAGGCAGACTGACCCATCCCATCCCAGCACACACCCTCTTGGCAGCAGTGACTTCTCACAAACCCCAAAGGCCCGCCTCCCACCTCCCTGCACTCCTCCACCCATTCCCTGATTTATCTTTGAGCACCGATCACCATCTGACAATCTAGTGTTTGACCTGTCCCCCTAACTAGCATGTCAGCTCCAGAAGGTCAGGGATGTAACATTCACTAAATTTCACCAAGAATAGTGCCCAGTACACAGAAAGTATGCAGTAAACATTAGCTGAACAAAATAACAGTTTCAGACAATGATACCAGTGAATATTCGCAGAGCGCTCAGCCTGGCCTGCACACTCATGACCTCACAGGCTCTTCCCCAAATCTGTGGCATCAGTAACTGCTCATCATTTCCAGGTGAGGGAATGCAGGCTCAGGAAGGTCACATCACATGCCCAAGGGTGCCAAGCCACAGTCTTGACAGGATTCAAAAGCAGGCAGGTGGGACTCCCAAGCCTGCAGCTCCCGGCCCCAAATGTGGAGTGGCGGCCGCTTAGTGCCTGTTCCGAGTCTCCGGGGTGGGGAAGGAGCCTCCTTCATGGAGGAGCAGGTCAAGTTCCTCCTGCGCTCATGCAATCGCCTTCTCCCATGGTGAATCTGGGAGAGGGGCCAGCATGCTCTGCTGGGCATGCTGGGGTACTTGGTCAGCTGGCTTGCTGGGGGGTAAGGGAGCACTAGGGTTTGTTCTTTGCAAAGAGAGGTTCAGGTGAGTCGAAACCAGTGGTATAAATGGGTCCGAACTCAGGCAGGTGAAGTATTAGCAAGGCCCTTGGGTGCAGACTCAAAGGTGCATTCCACAGCTCTTCCTTTATCTGAAGGAAAACCTGACTGGCTGAATCACACACAATTAGTTCTAGAACAGGACCAGAGGGAAGAGTGTCACTGGCACCTCTCGTTTCTCCATGTCCTCCTCTCCTGCCCTCCCTGCCGGAGCCCCCAGTTGGCCCTGGGATGTTGAAATTCCTGGGCTGCTCCAATTCTCTACCCAGCTAGGGAGTCTGGGGGGCATCCTGAGGGAAAGGCACTCCATACCCCCCCATCTCAAGTGGGCATAAGCAGATCAGGAAAGGAGACTTTCTAAAGCCTGACATAGTCCATGAATCCCATTTCAATATATCACACCATGGATCACACTTACTACGTGCCAAGGGCATTCTGAGTACATATGCATACTAATTTATTTAATTCTCACTATAATCTATAATCTGAGGAAGCAGAGGTTGTTTTCTTTTTTTTTGAGACGGAGTCTCGCTCTGTCACCCAGGCTGGAGTGCAGTGGCACGATCTCGGCTCACTGCAATTTCTGCCTCGTGGGTTTAAGCGATTCTCCTGCCTCAGCCTCCCAAGTAGCTTGGATTACAGGAGCTGACCACAACCCTTGGCTAATTTTTGTATTTTTAGTAGAGACAAGGTTTCACCATGTTGGCCAGGCTGGTCTTGAACTCCTGACCTCAAGTGATCCGCCCGCCTCGGCCTCCCAAAGCGCTGGGATTATAGGTGTGAGCCATCACGCCCAGCCTCATCAATCTTTTTAAATATTTTTTTAACTTTTTTCTTTTTATTATTATTATTATTTTAAAAGATGGGATCTCATTATGTTGCCCAGGCTGGTCTCGAACTCCTTGCCTCAAGCAAGCCTCCTGCCTTAGCCTTCCAAAGTGCTCCCTCCCGCTGCGCCCAGCCTCATCAATCTTTATAGCAGAAGAAACTGAGGCACAGGGATGTGAAGTGACTTGCCTGAGGCTATACTGCCAAGCTAACCAATTCACAGGCTAAACCTGTGGCGGGGCCACCCCTGGGGAGGAACCTGCAAAAGGCACATTCTACACACCGGCCCTGGGGACCCAGCCCAGCCAGTCCCCAAGGACACGCACCTGATCTTCTCAGCATCAAACAGCCTCTGTGGAGGCCGCTTAAACTTCTTCCTTTTGGCAAACCAGTCTTTCTATGGAGGAAAGGGGCATGGGTGGGAAGGGTGAGGGAGGGGGCTTGGCCACCAGTGGGATCGAGCACACTCCCTCCCCCCCAGGCCACAGATTCCCCTGAGTACCAAGCTCATGCGGGCCTTGATGCGATCGTAGTCGATGCGTGGGATCATCTTCAGGGAGATGGTGTTCTGGCTGGGCTCCACGTAGTCCACCTGAGCAGGGCGAGCAGAAGGTCAGCAGGGCCCCACTCTCCTCCCTGACCCCAGACACAAGAAGGGTCAGGAGATGCTAGGAAGGAGAAGGGACGCAGGATGGTGGGGAAGAAACCAGGCTGCTGACCACTCCCAAAAGTCCCACGCTAGCTTGTCTGTCCCCTCAACTCTGGCACTGAGTAGCCACTGCCTGCTTGGTATCTCCACCTGGATGTCTAAAGGTCCCTCAAATCCAGGACGACCGCAGCCAAACCGCTGATTCCCCCAAACCTGCCGCCTCCCACTCCATTCTTCCCTCTGCTCAGGCACACAACCTGGGAGCCACTCTTGACTCCTTTGTTTCTCTTACACCCACACCCGACCCGTTGGCAAATTCCATCAGCTCTGCCTTCAAAATACCTGACCTCTTCCCCTCCTCCACTGCAGTCTCAGCATTCCAAATCCAAAAACCCAAAATGCTCAAAAATAGGAAACCCTGTGAGCACCAACATGATGCTCGAAGGAAATGCTCACTCTTGGATTTTCAGATTTGGGATGCTCAACCGGTAAGTATAATGCAAATATTCCAAAAGCTGAAAAAATCTGAAATCTGAAAAACACCTGTGGTCTCAAGAATTCAGGTTAGAGACACTCAACGTGTATTAGGGTCTTGGTCCTATCCCACCAGCACTGCCATCTGGGTGGGATGTGCTACAGCAGCAGCCTCCTCCCTGGTCTCCACGCTCTTGCCCATGGCCCCCTCCAGGCTATTCCCGGGTTTCTCAGCCTTGGCACTATTGACTTTTTGGGCCAGGTAATTTTTTGTTGTGGGCAGCCATCCTGTGCATTGGAGGATGTGTGTGTCTAGCATTTCTGGCTTTAACCTGCTAGATGCCATAATCGTCAACCCCCTCCCCAGCTGACATAACCAAAAATGTCTCCAGACGTTACCAAATGTCCCCTGGGGAAACATCACCCTGGCTTGAGAACCAGTGGTCTAGTCTCAACACAGTCACCAGAGAAATCTTATTAACATTGAAGTCTGCCTGTGTCCCTTACAGCCCTCCCATCCTACGCCAGTAAACACCAAAGCTCTCCAATGGGCCGCAGGCCCTCGTGAGCTCCCTAACTCATCTCACGCCATCCCTGCTGTAGCCAGTGACTGTGCCATCCTATCTCACAGGCCACTCCTGCTGCCTACAACACTCCTCCCCAAGAGCTCCACATGCCTCACGCCCTCCGATCCTTCAGACCTTTACTCAACACGCCTGGGAATGTGCACAGAAGACAGCCAACCGTTTCCTGTGTGCTCACAAAACCCAGGCTCTGCTTCAACTCATCTGAGTGGGATTCTATTCTCTGCAGCACAAAGAGGGTGGGAAGGACAAAAGGAAAGGAAGGGAGAACAGAATGGAGGGACCCTGACCCCCATGCCACCCCGCCCCGGGCACCTGAGCAATGTCATCCTTGTAGATGCCCCGCTTGAGGCGGACCCAGGACTTTGGTTTCAGGTTGGCCACCTCCTTCACCACTTTGAGCACGTCTGTCATCTCCTTGATGGGCACCATCTGCTGGTTCCAGTAGCCAAGCCGCAGGTTGCCCACCCCCTCAATGGCCTGCTTCACGTGGGTCTGCTTGTAGGCCTCCACGTAGATGTAGCCCTTCACATGCTCTGGTGCCACTACTGACTTGATCTGCAGGGGCTGCAGGGTGAGCCGGTGGAAGGAGGAAACAGTGAGACACAACGGCTAATAACAGAAATGACTGCCACTCATCAGCAGTCCCTCTTCTAGGAATTTATTCCACAGAAACACACTGGCACAATGACATGGACACAAAGGTGTTCCCTGCAGAATTATTTATCACAGCAAACAAACCAGACTAAAAATTTTAAAAATATCCAGAAACAGTAACTAGTTAACTTATGGCTTAATGTACCATGAAATACAATGTTGCAGTTAAAGAATACAAAAACTAGCTGGGTGTGATGGCACATGCCTGTAGTCCCAGCTACTCAGGAGGCTGAGCAGGGAGGACTGCTTGAGCCCGGGAGGTTGAGGCTGCAGTGAGCTGAGATCGCACCACTGCACTCCAGCCTGGGCAACAGAGTGAAACCCTGTCTCTTAAAAATAAAAAATAAAATAAAAATTAGATTAACCTGTATGTACTAATATAGAAAGCTATCCAACATATGTTCTGTGTAAAAAAGCAACTAGAGCCGGGCACGGTGGCTCATGCTTGTAATCCCAGCACTTTGGGAGGCCGAGGCGGGTGGATCACTTGGGGTCAAGAGTTCAAGACCAGCCTGACCAACACGGAGAAACCCTGTCTCTACTAAAAATATCCAAGATTAGCCGGGTGTGGTGGCACATGCCTGTCATCCCAGCTACACGGGAGGCTGAGGCAGAAGAGTCGCTTGAACCCGGGAGGTGGAGGTTGCGGTAAGCTGAGATCGCACCATTGCACTCCAGTCTGGGCAATAAGAGCAAAACTCCGTCTCAAAAAAAAAAAAAAAGCAACTAGAAGAAGAACCAAGAAAGGAGTGCTTACATCAGACAAAATATACTTTAAGACAAAAATTGCTACCAGAGACAACAAAAAACATTTTGTAACAATAAAAAGGTCAATCCATCAGGAAGATAGAATTACAAATGTATATGAAACTAACAGAGCCTCAAAATACATGAAGCAGAAACTAATGAAAATGAAGGAAGAAACTGACAACTCAACAGTAACAATCACTGACTGCAATACCCTGCTTTCAATCATGGATAGAGCTAGACCCAAGATCAACAAGGAAAGAGAACACTTGAGCAACACTGTAAGCCACCTAAACCTAATAGCCAGCTATAGACAGAACATTTCGTCTTCACTTTCCACTTATTAAGCGGAAATGGGAAAAAAGAACACTCCATCTAACAACAGCAGAATGCACTTTCTTCTCAAGGGCATATTAAACTTTCCAGAATAAACCACAGGTTAGGCCATAAAACACGTCTCAGTAAACATAAAAGAACTAAAATCATATAAAGTATATTCTCCATCCATATGTAATGAAGTTAAAAACCAACAGAAAGATACTTAGGAAATTCACAAATACATGGCAACACACTCCTAGATACCAAAACTTATGAGATTTGAAAAAAGCCATGCTTAGAAGTAAATGTATAGCTGTAAATACCAACTAAAAGAAAAAAAAGGCCAGGAGCGGTGGCTCATGCCTGTAATCCCAGCACTTTGGGAGGCCGAGGCAGGAGGATCACTTGAGGTCGGGAGTTCAATACCAGCCTGGCCAACATGGTGAAACCTTGCCTCTACTAAAAATACAAAAATTAAGGCCGGTTGGCCAGGCGCAGTGGGTTCATGCCTGTAATCCCAGCACTTTGGGAGGCTGAGGGGTGGATCATCTGAGGTCAGGAGTTCAAGGTCAGCCTGGCCAACATGGTGAAACCCCATCTCTACTAAAAATACCAAAAAAAAAAAAAAAAAAAAAATTAGCTGGGCATGGTGGTGGGTGCCTGTAATCCCAGCTACTTGGGAGGCTGAGGCAGGAGAATCGCTTGAACCCGGGAGGTGCAGGTTGCGGTGAGCCGAGATCGCATCATTGCACTCCAGCCTGGGCAACGGTGCGAGACTCTGTCTCAAAAAAAAAAAAAAAAAAGAAAATTAAGGCTGGGCACAGTGGCTCACGCCTGTAATCCCAACACTTTGGGAGGCCGAGGTGGGCCGATCACCTGAGGTCAGGAGTTCGAGACCAGCCTGGCCAACATGCTGAAACCCTATCTCTACTAAAAACACAAAAATTAGCCAGGCGTGGTGTCGGGTGCCTGTAATCCCAGCTACTTGGGAGATTGAGACAGGAGAATCAGTTGAGCCTGGGAGGCAGTGGTTGCAGTGGGCCAAGACTGCACCATTACATTCTAGCCTGGGCAAGAAGAGTAAAACTCCATCTCAAAAAAACAAACAAAAAAATGAAGTCTTGATATATGCTACAATATGGATGAGTCTTGAAAACATTAAGTGAAGCAAGTCAGTCACGAAAGGCGACATATTGTATGATTCCCTTTGTATGAACCATTCAGAGTTCCAATAGTCAAATCCACAGAGAAAGAAGGTAGATTCATAGTTACCAGGAGCTGTGAGGAGGGAGGAATGGGGAGTGATGACTAATGGGTATCGGTTTATTTTTGGGATAATGAAAATGTCCTGGAATTAGATGGTGATGATGGTTATGAATACACTACAATATATAAAATCCACCACAGTTTACACTTTAAAAAAATTAAATTTTAGGCTGGGCACAGTGGCTCAGAACTGCCATCCCAGCACTTTGGGAGGCCAAGGCGGGTGGATCACTTGAGCCAGGAGTTCAAGACCAGGCTGGCCAACATGGTGAAACCCCGTCTCTATTAAAAATACAAAAAAATCAGCCGGGCATGGTGGCGGATGCCTATAATCCCAGCTACTCGGGAGGCTGAGGCAGAGGTTGCAGTGAGCCGAGACCACACCATTGCACTCCAGCCTGGGCAACAAGAGTGAAACTCCGTCTCAAAAAAAAATAATAATCAGAGACATAACTCAAATGAAGTAACTAGAATTTTACCCCAGGGTACCATGTAGGAGGATTTGAGCACACTTCTTTTAATTATTATTATTATTATTTTTTTTTTTTTTTTTTTGAGACAGTCTCGCTCTGTTGCCCAGGCTGGAGTGCAGTGGCACGAGCTTGGCTCACTACAACCTCCAACTCCTGGGTTCAAGCAATTCTCCTGTCTCAGCCTCCCAAGTAGCTGGGATTATAGACATGCACCACCACCCCTGGCTAATCTTTTGTATTTTTGGTAGAGACGGAGTTTCACCATGCTGGTGAAGCTGGTCTCGAACTCTTAACCTCAGGTGATCCACACGCCTCAGTCTCCCAAAGTGCTGGGATTACAGGCGTGAGCCACCGCGCCCGGCCTATTATTATTTTCTTTGTAGAAATCAGTTGTCACTATGTCACTATGATGTCCAGGCTGGCCTCGAACTCCTTTTGCCTCAGCCTCCCAAAATACTGGTATTACAGACATTAGCCACCACACCTAGCCAAAAGGTACCTTTTCAACCTCCCTGTTGGGGAATCATACCCCACAAATCCCAATCTCACCCATGACAGGCAGGGACACTTATTACTATAATAATGAGGAAGACATTCCACCCCCTACCCACCCCGAGACGGAGTCTCACTCTGTCGCCCAGGCTGGAGTGCAATAGCGCAGTCTTGGCTCACTGTAACCTCTGCCTCCTAGATTCAAGTGATTCTCCTGCCTCAGCCTCCCAAGTAGCTGGGATTACAGTCAAGCACCACCATGCCCAGCTGATTTTTGTATTTTTGGTAGGGACAAGGTTTCACCATGTTGGCCAGGCTGGTCTCAAACTGGCTGGTTTCGAACTCCTAACCTCGTGATCCACCCACCTCAGCCTCCCTAAGTGCTGGAGATTCAGGCATGAGCCACCATGGCCGGCCTTTGAGGAGGACATTTGAGCACATTTAAAAGCATAGTTTGCAAACCCTACAACTGTCTACTTGGTCCCACTGGGTCACACCCAGTGGCTGGACAGGTGAAAGCATGATCCCTAGCAGGGATCATGTTAACTGAGAAAGTTACCAGCCAGCACCCTTCATAGCGTTTGCCCTGGTTCCCAAACTGCCAATGAAGCCTTTGACAACAGCTCTGCTAAGTAAATGCAAGCTGCAGAACAAGTCCTAGCTGAGAGCTGGACATAAAGCCACCTAATCCTTTTTTTTGTCACACTGGAGTGCAGTGATGCGATCTCGGCTCACCGCAACTTCTGCCTCCTGGGTTCAAGTGATTCTGCCTCAGCTTCCCAAGTAGCTGGGACTACAGGTGTGCACCACCACGCCCAGCTGAGTTTTGTATTTTTAGTAGAGACGGGGTTTCACCACGTTGGCCAGGCTGGTCTCAAACTCCTGACCTCAAGTGATCTGCCTGCCTCAGCCTTCCAGAGTGCTGGTATTACAGGTGAATGCCACTGCACCCAGCCAAAAGCCACTTAATCCTAATGATGCTGAGAGGCAACCAAGGGGCCCAGAGAGGGGAAGTAGGTGCATCAGAGTCACACAGCTAAGAAGTGGCAAGGGCAGGACTCAAACTCTGTCAGTCTAAAGAAAGACCTGGGCCTTGGATGCAGCATTTGCTGCCTGGCATGTGGTGAAGTGGGTGACCCCAGCCCAACAGGGCTGGTGAACAGGCAAACCCACTCTCATGAAGAAAAGGTGCAGGAAGCTAGCTGGCTGACTTCCAAAGGGCTACAAGGGTGGGAAGACCCTGCCATAAATGCAGAGAACAAAGACAACATATCCATCTAGGCCGAGAAGAGCCCTTCCATCTAGGCAGTGGTCTTATTCCAGCTCAAGCAGCTCACTCAGCAGGCAGCTCTGCTCACAACAGAGGCACCTGGTACCCCTGAAGTTGACAATGTTCTTCCCTCTGGGTGTTGCCATGTCTCCCCACCAAGCCGCCTGTCTACCCGACTTACCGTGTCTGTGAACTGGTAGGCAATGAACTTGCGCATCAAGGAAATGGCCGTGGCCCGTTCCTCCCCAATCTGGAAGATGAGAGGCAGATTTGAGAGAGATGACAGGATGGAGGAAAGGACACAGGAAAGGGGGAAGGAGACAGCAGCAAGAAAAATAAAGTAGGACCAAGAGAGGAGAGAGAAAGAAGGATGGACAGCCAGGAAGATGGAGGTGGGAGATAGCCAGTCAGTAACGTGGAGTGAGGGATGGAGACAGAAGGACCAAGTGACTGGCAGGCCACGGAGACCCGGGACAGACAGACACTTCTCCCCCACAAAGCAGCCTCCCTCATTCTCCCACCTCCTCCAAGCCCCGAGATCAGAGCACATACCTTACATTTGACAGTCCACAGATTGGGATCCCTAAGCAGCAGAGGAAAAGGAAGGCCTTCAGTGAAGCTGGATCTTCAGTAACAAACAGACGAACCCCCAGGGCCACCCCCTTCCTCTGGTTTCACATCCAGGTTCCCTCACACTCACTGACTTCCCCACGCTTCTACCCAGGAGCAAGAGGAAAGAGAAAGTGCCACCTTGCCCTCCCTACCCCTGCCATCCACCACACTGCCTGTGTGACTCTGCCCTGACTTATTTCAGGGAGCCACCTGTCTAGGCACCATCACCCCATACAAGATTCGCACCCCAGCACGGCCCCCACCATCCCAACCCCCTTACTTGACTCCTGGGAGCAGCTGCTGCTGGGTGATGTCGTCTGAGAGCTCATCAGATCCTCCATACACCCTGAAGGGAGGAGGGCAGTCAGGAAGGGGTGAAGCTCTGTCAGATCCCCGCCCCTTCCCGCTTAGGGACCACCTGCTCCCTGCCCCCACCTGCCCCCACCATGCCCTTACGTCTCTCCCACAGATGACTTGGCGTATTTCTTCATGTAATACTCGCCCAGTTCTTCTTCTCGCTGGTCCCTGGAGCACGAGTGGGGAAGCAAACACGAATTGAAGGTTGAGGACAGCAGGTGGGCTGACCTACTCCCAAATCTCCCCACAGGAGCCAATCCCACCACGTTTCCCTTCCTTGCCCACCTCCAGAGGTTTTGCAGGCGGCGAGCCCCAGAACGATCTTCATCCAGGACAACATTATCGATATTGGAGGCTGAAAAATAATGGGCAGAGGGCGTGAGCAAGGGCAGGTGGAGGGCAGGGGCCTGGAGAAAATAGGAGCGTGCAGCTAAGAGGGCCAGGGTTTGGCCCTGGGGCAGGAAGATGACATCTCACAGAGGAAATCCCAACCCCTCATCCCCTACTCTGTCCTACTCAGCATCCTGCTTCTTGTCAAAAAGACTGGGGATGGGGCCCAGCAAGTTGGGGGGCTTCCAGCTGTTCCCATCTCAAAGTCCAGGCACACCCTGGACTGCACCCCACCCCACACATCGCTACCACCCACAAATGCTCAGTCCCAGACAGACACATCCGTGCTTTCCCAGGTCAACAACTGGGGTATACCTGGCCCCAGAACTCCCTGACTCTGGATCCTACATGGGTCAGAGCCCTCAGGGCCAGACCGGGGCTGGTGGGGAGGCTACCGGTGAGGGCAGGTGCCTCAGGAAGGAGGAAATGTCAGGATATGGGAGGAAGGTCAGGGAATCACACTTTTCATATTCTTACCTTCAATCTCTTCTACTTGGAGGAAGAGGAGGTGGTGGTGGTGGTGGTGGTGGTGGTGGTGGTGGTGGTGGTGGGCGAGGGCAGACAAAGTATGAGCCAAATTATAGCAGCAAAATCAACCAATGGGTTGGGGGAGGGGAAGGGAGGGACACAGAAAGGTTGAAAACCAAAAGTAAAGGCCAGGCACCAGGTGGTTGGGGAGAAGCCGAAATGTATGAGGCGCACAGAACGGAAAATAACGGGGAAAGGGGGGCACTGGCCCAGGAAGTGGGGGGTATCTTGGGACAGAGCTCGCCCACCCTACAACCCCAGAAGGGATTCACTGGGCCCTGGGATCCCAGAGTCCTCTCCCCACAACATCCCCACCCCAGGGCCCCACCCCCCACTCATGGGCCTAAAAGGAAAAAGCAGGGAGCTGGTCTCTCTGGGAAGGACAGAAAGAAGCAAGGTGAGGACGGTGGGAGTTGGGGTGTACAGGGGATGCGGGGGTCGGGGGAATGGGCTCTGAAGACCCTCTCAGCCACCCTCTTCCCAGTAGTCTTGTGGAGGCAGGGCTCACACACACCTTTCTCTAGAATGTCCTCTGCTCCATCCTCCCACTGGTCCTCGTCCTCATACTCATCGTCAACATCTAAAACGGAAAGGCCAAGTGGTAAGTGGCAAAGGTGACCTCATAACAGCTCCCAGGACACGAAGCATCTCCTCTGGGAGATGTGCACTACAAATCCCCACCGCACAGAGCAGGACACTGAGGCTCCAACAGGGAGGCACTCGTCTGGGGCCGTGCCACAGAGCTGGTGCACGCATCAGGATCGAGGGGGACATACAGCTCCAACTAACTCTAAAAGTCATCCCCTCTCCTTACTCCACTCCCAAATCCCTTTTAAAAAACTAAGATCAAAGTAAGCAAAAAGAAAAGTTCCCTCCCAACTATCAGAAAATGATCAATAAATAGTTTTTTAAAAGATGGTTCATGGTCTGTTGGTTTTATGATTCTTGTACATTTATAACAGCTAATGCTGAGAGCATACTATACACCCTGCCCTGTTCTGAGTACCTGACACAGGTTCCTCACTGATCTTCCTGGCAACCCCGAGGGAGGCACTATCGTTGTTCCTATTTTACAGCAAAGGCTCTGAGACCCAGAGAGATTAAGGAACTTGCCCACAGACTCAGCTGGGATCTGAGAGAGGCAGTCTGGCTCCATGGTCCATGTACTTAATCTCTTTACCATGTTGGATGTACTGCTTTGCAGGTATCAAACATTACACTAAAAACGTAATACATGCACATAATGAAAAACTCCAATGTCCATAGAGGATGTAAGTATCAATTAAGTCTCCCTCACATTTCTAACCCCTAGAATCTCAGTAACCTCTCCCAAAGGCAACTCCGTGACTAGTTTCTTGCCTAGAGATATCTGTGTACATATATGAAATCCATGTAAGGCTGGACGTGGTGGCTCACACCTGTAATCTCAACACTTTGGGAGGCCGAAGTGGGAAGATCACTTGAGCCCAGGAGTTTGAAACCGGCCTGGGCAACATAGTGAGACCTCCTAAATCCAAAAACTTAAAAAATTAGTTAGGGTTGGGCACGGTGGCTCATGCCTGTAATCCCAGCACTTTGGGAGGCCGAGGCGGGTGGATCATGAGGACAGGAGCTCATGATCAGCCTGGCCAACATGGTGAAACCCCCGTCTCTACTAAAAATACAAAAAATTAGTCAGGTATGGTGGTGGGCGCCTGTAATCCCAGCTACTCGGGAGGCTGAGGCAGAGAATTGCTTGAACCCGGGAGGTGGAGGTTGCAGTGAGCCAAGATCACACCACTGCACTCCAGCCTGGGCAACAGAGGGAAACTCCGTCTCAAAAACAACAACAACAACAACAACAACAAAAAAAAACAGTCTAGTCAGGCCTGGTGATGCACACCTGTGGTCCCAGCTACTCAGGAGGCTGAGGTGAGAGGATCACTTGGACCTGGGAGGTAGAGGCTGCAGTGAGCCATGATCATGCCACTGAACTCCAGCCTAGGAAACGGAGTGAGATCCTGTCTTTAAAAAAAAAAAGAAAAAAGAAAAAAAAAAGGTCTGGGCACAATGGCTCATGCTTATAATCCCCGCACTTTGGGAGGCCGAGATGGGTGGACCACCTGAGGTCAGGAGTTCGAGACCAGCCTGGCCAACATGGTGAAACCCCGTCTCTACTAAAAACACAAAAATTAGTGGCACACGCCTATAATCCCAGCTACTCGGGAAGCTGAGACAGGAGAATCCCTTGAATCCGGGAGGCAGAGGTTGCAGTGAGCCGAGATCACACCACTGCACTCCAGGGTGGGCAAGAGAAACTCCGTCTTAAAAAAAAAAAAAAAAAAAAAAAGAAGAGGCGGGGCGCAGTGGTTCACGCCTGTAATCCCAGTACTTTGGGAGGCCAAGGTGGGTGGATCATGAGGTCAGGAGTTCGAGACCAGCCTGGCCAACATGGTGAAACCCTGTCTCTACTAAAAATACAAAAATTAGCTGGGCGTAGTGGCAGGCACCTGTAATCCCAGCTACTCGGGAAGCTGAGGCAGGAGAAGCACTTGAAACCAGAAGGTGGAGGTTGCAGTGAGCTGAGATTGCACCACTGCACCCCAGCCTGGGTGAAAAAGCGAAACTCCATCTCAAAAAAAAAAAAAGAAGAAAAGAAAAGAAATGCATGTAATCCACCCCGCCACCACTATGTTCCCCCCATGTAATTTTTTTTGTTTAGACCGAGTCTTGCTCTGTCACCCAAGCTAGAGTGCAGCAATCTCGGCTCACTGCAACCTCCACCTCCCGGGTTCAAGCAATTCTCCTGCCTCAGCCTCCCAAGTAGCTGGGATTACAGGCGCCCGCCACCACGCCCAGCTAATTTTTGTATTTTTAGTAGAGACAGGGTTTCGCCATCTTGGCCAGGCTGGTCTCGAACTCCTAACCTCAGATGATCCACCCGCCTCAGCCTCCTAAAGTGCTGGGATTACAAGCATGAGCCACCACGCCCAGCCCCCACGTAATTTTTTTAACACACCGTTCTGTACCTTTCTTTTTCTCAAAACTACTACTAACTCAGAGCTCTCCCACAGCAGCACATGCCTCATATACTATATGGCCCATAATTTGTTTAACCAGGCCCTAATCATCAATAAACATTTAGGTCACCAAACTTTTGCAACTGCGAACAGGACTACAACAAGCATCTTTGTTCTCAGGTCTTCATGCACTCATGCAAGTTTAACCATAAAGTAAATTCTAAAGAGGAACTGCTTGGTCAAAGGGTTCCTGCATGTTAAATGCTAACAGGCACTGCCACACAGCCTTCCACACAGGCAGTGCCCACCAACACTTCCACCACCAACATATGGGTGTCCCTGGGAACCCACAGCTTTTACCCAGCATGGTATCCATTCTCTTGCTCTCCAAGAACATCCAGAGCACCTCCTGTCCCTTTGACAATAAACTACTTTTCTTCTCAGGTAAAACAGTCCCAGGAAAACAGAGGCAGGATGTGTTCTAAGTAACCCCTCTTCCCATAGGTAAGGGAAAACATGCACATTCATTATCATCATGGAAGTATGAACTAGTCTTATCTTTTTAGGAACTGATATTTGGCCGTAAATATAAAAAATCTTTTTTTAAAAAAAGTGCGGCCAGGCATGGTGGCTCACGCCCGTAATCTCAGCACTTTGGGAGGCCAGGGCGGGCGGATCACAAGGTCAGGAGTTCGAGACCATCCTAACACAGTGAAACCCTGTCTCTACTAAAAATATAAAAAATTAGCCAGGCATGGTGGCACGTGCCCGTAGTCCCAGCTACTCAGGAGGCTGAGGCAGGAGAAACAGTTGAACCCAGGAGGGAGAGGTTGCAGTGAGCCATCGCACCACTGCACTCCAGCCTGAGCGAGACTCCGTCTCAAAAAAAAAAAAAAAAACAACGACAACAACAAAATGCACCACCTTTACCTAGCAATTTGACTAACAGGGATTTAACACGTAGAACAGAGATTTTTCATCTGGGGTGGTCTGTGTTCGATGAAAAAACTACAGCTCCTATTTTCAGTAACCTGGAATTGAAATTTAGCATTTACATCAATTACATACAATGGCAACAAACCACACAATGTTAGCTGTGTCACTGGCTCTTTCACAGCACATTACAGCTATAGGTATCTCAAGGCAGCATTTACACTCACTGCTACTTGAAAATTAGATTCTCAGACTACCTACAAAGTCTTATTACCTAAATATGTTAACAAAGAAACATATGCACCAAAATGTTCTTTTTAAATATTCTGATAACTGTACTTCAATAAATTGTCCTCTTTGGAATCCTATGTATTTTGTTTTATGCATTTCAGAAGATGATTCTGAGAAGGGAACAGGGTTTCACCAGACTACAGAAGGGGCCGTAGCACGAGAAAAGTTAAGAACTTTGGTCCTTCACGCCTGTAATCCCAGCATTTTGGGAGGCCAAGGCGGGCAGATCACGAGGTCAGGAGATTGAGACCACCCTGGCTAACAAGGTGAAACCCCGTCTCCACTAAAAAATAGAAAAAATTAGCCGGGCGTGGTGGCGGGCGCCTGTAGTCCCAGCTATTCAGGAGGCTGAGGCAGGAGAATGGCATGAACTTGCAGTGAGCCAAGTTCATGCTACTGCACTCCAGCCTGGGCGACAGAGCGAGACTCCGCCTCAAAAAAAGAAAAAGAAATGGAACTAAAAGTAGAAGCTCAGCCTCTGCTCGGCACTGGCCAAGCACTATGACATACCAGCCTCGTCCAGAATGAAGCCTCCATGGCGGGGTTTCTTGGGGGGTCGGTCATCATCTTCTTCCTCCTCTTCCTCATCGTATTCCTCCTCCTCTTCCTCCTCCTCTTCGTCCTCAGGCTCTTCTTCTTTCTCACTGCCCGCTGCACTCCGCCGCTCTTCGTCTACCTACAGGGGTCAGGCAGGGTTGTAGCACCAGAATTCTGCTACCCCAAAAATCCAAAAACCAAGTTCCTCACCCTAAATCTGACCTCAGATTGGCCTGGCCAATCATAGCCCACTTTGCTCTGCATATATCCCTTTCACTCTAGCCTGGCCTCTCTGGTTACCATCCTATCTCAGCGACAGCACTGCCATCTCCCCAGCCACCCAAGCAACCCTGGGAGTTGACCCGGGCTTCTCCCTGCACTAGACCTCTTGCTCACTTTCCACCGAGTCTTTAACTATAATAGCTTGATGAAGCTTGGTCCTTGGGCCTCATTTCTTTCTCTCTCTTTTTTTTTTTTTTTTTGAGACAGAGTCCCACTCTGTCTCCCAGGCTAGAGTGCCATGGCAGAATCTTGGCTCACTGCAACCTCCACCTCCTGGGTTCAAGCAATTCTCTTGCCTCAGCCTCCTGAGTAGCTGAGATTACAGGTGTGCGCCACCACACCTGGCTAATTTTTGTATTTTTTTAGTAGACACGTGGCTTCACCATGTTGGCCAGGCTGGTCTCGAACTCTTGACCTCAGGTGATCCATCCGCCTCTGCCTCCGAAAATGCTGGGATTACAGGTGTGAGCCACAGCACCTGGCCCATCTCTTCCCATTCTACAACTCCCCAAGGCCATCTCGTCCTCTCCCTTGGCGGTGGTGGACATCTCTGTGACAGTGACTCCCATCTCTGTTTCTAGTCCACACTGCTCACGAAGATCACTGGCCACCCCTGTTGCTAATTCTGTGGCCATTCTGTATTCCCTACCATCCCAGCAGCATCTGGCACCCCAACCATGCCCTCCCTGGAGAAATGCTCCTCTCTTGGCTTCTGCCGTATCATGCTCTCCTGGTTTTTCTCAAAACTCCACCAGCTCCTCTTCAAGCTCCTCTTACTGTTAACCCCTTCAAATCTGACATCAATTACCAGGGCTCAGTCCAGGGCCACTTTGTTCTCCCTCCATGCCCTCTCTCCCTGTCCATTTTACTTTCCATGACCTCAGTTCCTGTCTCTAGAGATGACACGTGTCCTCATCTGTCTATAGAGTCCCACTTTTTTCCAGAACTCAAGACCTCCATGCACCAGCAGCATCCTGGATGCCTCCCCTAGATGGCCTCTGAGCCCTTTCATACTCACTGTGTCCCAAACTGACCTCAGTGTCTTCCCCTAGACCTGTGATGGCCTCCTCCAATTACCGACAGGCACCAAATCCTCATCCTTTCTGCCTGTAAACATCATTTCTCCAACCCATCCTTTTCCCCCAGCCCCATATATCTGAGCCTAGGCCAGGACACTGCCCTCTAACACCTGGATCCTTACCCCAGCCTCCTCCCTACTCTCCTGGCCTCTAATCCCTCTTTCCATACCAGAAACAACATTAATGGATGCATACCAAACTTCAGTCTTTAACTCATGAACTTCACGACTTCTTCCATGTCATTACTACAATCCATTTACCTAATACAGGTTGAACATCCCTAATCCAAAAATCTGAAATCTGGTCAGGTGCAGTGGCTCATGCCTGTAATCCCAACACTTTAGGAGGCCAAAGCGGGTGGATCACCTGACATCAGGAGTACAAGACCCGCCTAGCCAATGTGGTGAAACCCCGTCTTTACTAAAAATACAAAAGCTAGCCCAGCACGGTGGTGGGCACCTGTACTCCCAGCTACTCAGGAGGCTGAGGTAGGAGAATCGCTTGAAACTGGGAGGTGAAGGTTGCACTCAGCCGAGATTGTACCACTGCACTCCAGCCTGGCCAATGGACCAAGACACTGTCAAAAAAACAAACAAACAAAAAACTGAAATCTGAAAGGCTTCAAAATCTGAAACTTTTTCAGCACTGACATAATGCTCAAAGGTCATGCTCAGGCTGGGCGCGGTGGCTCGCGCGGATCACCTGAGGTCAGGAGTTCAAGACCAGCCTGGCCAACATAGTGAAACCCCATCTCTACTAAAAATACAAAAAAAAAAAAACCTAGCCAGGCATGGTGGCACGCCTGTAGTCCCAACTACTTGGGAGGCTGAGGCAGGAGGATTGTTTGAACCTGGGAGGCACAGGTTGCAGTGAGCCAAGATCGCACCACTGCACTCCAGCCTAGGCGACACAGCAAGACTCTGTCTCAAAAAAAAAAAAAAAAAAAGGTCATGCTCAAAGTAAATGTTCACTGGAGCATTCTGGATTTTCAGATTAGGGAACGCTCCACAGCAAATATTACAAAATCAAAAAAAAAAAAATCCAAAATCTGAAACACTTCTTGTCCCAAGCATTTTAGATAATACTCAATGTGTATTTTCTTCAAATCTACTCACCTTCTTAAATAAAAACATTTTTATATTATGCAATGTTTCAAAATTTAAAACTTTTTGAAGGTTTGTCATAAACACAAGGTAACTATAAAGATAAAAGCAAAACAATGTTATTAAGACCCAGCAAGATACTGCTGCCTGCTGCAGGCTCTAAGCCTAAGGCCTGTTCTCCCACCCAGAGGCGTTCAAGACACAGTAGCACTAAGATGAAACTTTCTCATGACCCAATCAAGATAAGACACACAACTGAAAAGGAAATATTCTCACTAAATGATTCAATGTAGCTTAAGGTCTTGTCCTTATTCCACCTAAAAGCACCTTTCATCATCCCCAACCTAGAATATATGGTACAGTCTTAGAAAACTGTAATCTAAAACATGAACCTGACCATTTGTTCCCCTGCTCAGCTTCAGCCAGCCTGAACTAGAAGCACATGCTCTGCCTGCTGCCTCTCCCCGTTCCCCACCATTCAGGACTGCCTCCCCAACACTAGGCCTCAGCTGCACTCAACTACTTGGACCATACTCTCTCAGTGCTGGCCATCATCCATGCTGGTTTTCTGTATAAAAAGTCCCCTCTGGGCCTGGGCGCAGTGGCATGCGCCTGTAATCCCAGCTATTCAGGAGGCTGAGGCAGGAGAATCACTTAAACCCAGAAGGAAGAGGTTGCAGTGAGCCGCGATTGTGCCACTACACTCCAGCCTGGGCGACAGAGTGAGACTTCATCTCCAAAAAAAAAAAACTGTGCCTCCCATTCACACTTCAACGAAAATATTCCCTCCTTAGCTAGGCATGGGGGCTCACACCTGTAATCCCAACACTTTGGGAGGCCAAGGTAGAAGGATCACTTGAGCCCAGGAGTTTGACACCAGCCTGGACAATCTGACAAAGCCCTGTCTCTACCAAAAATACAAAACTTAACCAGGCATGGTGGCAAAATCTTGTTGTCCCAGTTCATTGGGAGGCTGAAGCAGGAGGATTGCTTGATCCTCAGGAGGCTGAGGCTGCAGTGAGTCGAGATCACACCACTGCACCCCAGCATGGGTGACAAAGTGAGACCCTGTCTCAAAAAAAAAAAAAAAAGGCTTAGCGTGGTGGCTCATGCCTGTAATCCCAGCACTTTGGGAGGCCGAGGTAGGCGATCACTTGAGGTCAGGAGTTCTGAGACCACCCTGGCCAACATGGTGAAACCCCATCTCTACCAAAAATATAAAAATCAGCCAGGTGTGGTGGCGCACCGCTGTAATCCCAGCTACTCAGGAAGCTGAGAGAGGAGAACTGCTTGACCGTGAGGTGGAGGCTGCAGTGAGCTGAGATCGTGCCACTGCACTCCAGCCTGGGTGACAGAGCAAGACACCAAGACAAAAAAAAAAAACCAAACTAACCTTCCTCCTCCAGGCAGCCATCCCCGCCCCCTCTCCCCCAGGCAGAGTCAGGCACATCCTCTATGCTCACAATTCTCTGGGCTCCCTCCATCACAGCCCTGACCACTGTGAGCCTCCCAATAGTAGGGCCCAGTCCATCTCAGGCACTGCTGGGTCCCCCAACATCACCCAGCCCAAGGCCAAGCACAGAAGACTTCAGAAATATTTGCTTAACACAAATCTCGACTAGCCCACGATGAAGCACATTTTAACAACCCAAACTATGACAGGACCACAGGCTGATTTCTAGGAACCTTGTCATCAGTTCCCCTCTGACAGGTCCCAGAGATGCCTCTTTCCAAACCTGGCTCCTCCCTCCCAGTGGAGGATGCCCCCACCACTCTCTGCTCACCTCAGGGCTTGGATGTGCTCTCACCGTCCTCAACATCCCCTGCAGTAACTGTGTATCTATAAAACTGCCTCTGCCTTGAGACTGAGATCTCTGTAAGGGAGACTGTGACCCCAACATGCCAAGTCAAGGAACATTTGTTTTTTGTTTTTTGTTTTTTGAGATGCAGTCTCGCTCTGTCTCCCAGGCTGGAGTGCAATGGTGCGATCTCTGCTCACTGCAAGCTCTGTCTCCTGCGTTCACGCCATTCTCCTGCCTCAGCCTCCCAAGTAGCAGGGACTACAGGCACCCACCACCACGCTAATTTTTTGTATTTTTAGTAGAGACGGGGTTTCACCATGTTAGCCAGGATGGTCTCAATCTCCTGACCTCGTGATCCACCCACCTCAGCCTCCCAAAGTGCTGGGATCACAGGCGTGAGCCACCACACCCAGCCAGAACATTTGTTGAATGAATAAATGAACAGGTTACTGGAGCCATGATGGGTGAACCAGCAGCTCCCCTCAAAAGTAGCTCATTATTTGCCATCCCTACCTGTCTAGCCACAGAACCCTGTCCTTCAAGGACCATGTCATCATTTGGCTGTCTGAAAAGGCCATCCAATCCTGTCCCTGGCAGTGGGGACAGGCCTCACAGTGCCCTCTTGCCTCACCTGGTAACTGAAGAGGAGCCAGCGGCGGGGGTGGGGGGTCAAGTATGGTGTAGTGTTGGGGAAGTGAGACTAGTAACAGTGCAAACGAGAATGTCCCAGACAGGAAATGGAACTGGGGATCTTGGTCTCATTTCCACCTGACTTTAACCACCAAGCAGTGTCTCCAAGCCATGAATCAGAGACCAAGAATCCAGTGCTACAGCTTAGAGAAAAGGCCCTCCCTGTCACTCTCCCACCACAGCATCCCAATTTCTCCAACTCTTCACTGCAAGCCTGGAAGCCAGGCACTCTCCAAAGGTCACAATAAAGATTGGCAATCAAATGTCCACAGAGGATAAGCAGGCAACATAAGTGACTGGGACAAGTCACCCGAAACACACAGCACTCTCCATCTACCAAACGTTTTCCAGAACACAGCCACATGAAATCTTTTCCTTTTCTTCACTCTGCCACAAGGCAAGCAAGAGGACAAATGGCAACTAACATATCCTGGGAACTGGAGAAAATTCCCAGCTGTATAAGTAGGGCAGCCACTCATCAAGCAAACGGCTGCTCTGCAGAACAACTCTGTGTCCCAGGGTGCCAGCTCCTTCCATTTCCCCAGAAAAAGAAATCTTAATCTTTATGTTAAATCTCCCTCACAAGCATTGGCAACTAATTTAACAGCCAATTTAAGTTTCTGTGCATCAAACAAGGGATCTATAATCACCCTGTCATCTGTTTACTGGTTTGTGATTGCTACCTACTAAATGTCAACTCCAAAAATGCAAAGATTTCCTACCAGACACCTGAGAAGTAAGTGGAACACAGTAGTAGATGCAAACACTGATTTGTTCAACAAACAAATAAAACAAAAATAAGTTTAAAAGGTGGATAATGGGCTTGGTGCAGTGGCTCACGCCTGTAATCCCAGTACTTTGGGAGGCCAAGGAGGGTGGATCACCTGAGGTCAGGAGTTCAAGACCAGCCTGGCCAACACAGTGAAACCCCGTCTCTACTAAAAATACAGAAATTAGCCTGATGTGGTGGTGCATGCCTGTAATCCCAGCTACTCGGGAGGCTGAGGTTGCAGTGGGCTGAGATCATGCCACTGCACTCCAACCTGTGCAACCTAGTGAGATGCTGTCTCAAAAAAAAAAAAAAAAAAGATAATGGCAAATAAAAGAACATTTGAAATCAGAAATGCCCCAGGAAATGTTGGTTTTTTGGTTCCTGGAACAGAGGTACAACAGACCCAAAGCCAGAGTGATCCTTTCAAAACATTAGATCACATCTTCCACTTGCTCAAACTTTTTCGTGGTTTCATTTTACTCAGTTAAGACCAAATTCCTTACCACAGCCTTCAAGATCCTATATGACTTGGCTCTCATAAATTCTTTGTTGCACTCACTCTGATCCAACCAAAGTGGACCCCCTTTTTTTAGGGGGTGGTGGGGAGACAAAGTCTCACTCTGTCACCCAGGCTGCAGTGCAGTGGCACCATCACAGCTCACTAGACCTTCACCTTCTGGCTCAAGCAATCTTCCCACCTCAGCCTCCCAAGTAGCTGGGACTACAGAAGCGTGCCACCAAGCTCAGCTAATATTTTTATAAGACGGAGTCTTGCTCGTCGCCCAGGCTGCAGTGCAGTGGCGCGATCTCAGCTCACCACAGTCTCCACCTCCCTGGTTCAAGCGATTCTCAGCTTCAGCCTCCCGAGTAGCTGGGATTACAGGTGGGCGCCACCATGCCAAGCTAATTTTTTTGTATTTTTAGTAGAAATGGTGTTTCACCATGTTGACCAGGCTGGTCTTGAACTCCTGACCTCAGGTGATCCACTGTCTTGGCCTCCCACAGTGCTGAGATTACAGGTGTGAGCCACCAAGCCCGGCCTCAGCCAATGGTTTTTATATTTTTGTAGAGACAGGGTCCCGTTGTGTTACCGAGATTGCTCTCAAACTTCTGGGCTCAAGTGATCCTCCCAGCTTGGCCTCTCAAATCCTCGTTAATCCCTGAACACGGCGGACACACTCCCATCTCTGCACCTGCTGGTCCCCCTCACTGGAACACTACACTTCCAGCTAACCACGACTCACTCCCTCACCTCCAACAAGTTTTTGCTCAAATGTCACCCCTCAGACTCATGCTGATGACCCTATTTCAAGAGCAACCAGGACTCTCCATTCCCCTTTTCTGTTCTTTTCTCCAGAGTACCTTCCAGCTTACTATATAGTTTATTCCTTGGCTATATTTATTTACATTCCCGAAGGCAGACATTTTTAAAATCTTTTTGTTTACTGGTGTACCCTAAGAGCAAAGAATTGCGCCTGGTACATAGTAGGCACTACAAATATAGTTATGGAATGACTAGACATAACTAAAAAAAAAAACTAATGCTAAGTGCTTACTATATGCACACAGAGTAAACTTTCAAAACATCACCTGTTATCTCACTGGACCTGACCCATTTCTGGCCTCCAGAACCTGTCCCTTTGCTTGACTTCGACTTGCCTAATTCTCTATCTCTTGAGACAATCTGGGAGTTCCCAGAAGCCAGAGCCCGCTGTGAACCCCTCGAGCCTCCCACAGGGGCCTTTCTGCCCGGAGTCCTGTCCCCAGACGCAATGTCTCCCCCAGCGCCCCAGCCACAGACCTCGGCCTCCTCGCCGTCACTGCTGCGCTCGCTGTCCTCCTCCTCGGAAAAGTTGCTGTCCTCGCTGTCCGACATCTTCCGCTGCTGCTGGGAAAGACAGCAGCCTTGGCGCGTCCCACAATCCTGCGCTCCACCCCGAGCCTCAGTTTCCCCGCTGGTTCCCTGGGAGAAGAAAACCCCTTAGGGCGCTTCCGGCAGGCTCGTTTTGGCAATCGCGAAGCGGAGTGAGGACCCCCTCCTACGCCACATGCTAGACCTCCCCAGTTTCCGAATCTGTTCTCTACACCTCCCCGGCGCCCGGAACTGCCACCTCTGCACACGCACTTACCTCTCGGGCTCCACCTCCGCCTTCGGTACCAGCTGCTGTTCGCACGACGCCTGACTGGGGCTGACGGGTCCTCTCGCGAGAACCTACCCGTTGACCTCGCCTAACACGAGATTTCCGGGGCTGGCACGGGCGACGCACTTCCAGGTCGCCATCTTGAGAGAGGCAGGGCTGGCCTGGGCGGAGTGCGGGGCCGACATCTGCGGAGGGTTAGGAGGGGAAAGGTTTTTTCTACCCGCCGGCTCGGCGACCAGGCTGAAACTCATGTTTGAATTTAGTGAGCCGTTTGTTCGTTAGTCCGGAACACTAGCGCGGTAGGCCAAGCTGCGAGGAGGCGGCGAAATCAGCGAATAGCAAATTATAAAAGAAACAAGGCTTTATCTCCTAGGCCCTCTAAAGCATCCCCAGGAGATCCGTATCCCCGTTTTGGAGAGAACGCTGAAGCTCAGAAAAACTCAGTGGAAAGCGGCAGACCCAAGCCTCCTCGCCAAGTCTGAGTGACCGTGAAGCCCTGGTTTTTCCTTCTTTTTCTTTCTTTTTGTACTTTTTTTTTTTTTTTGGTAGAGTCGGGCTGTTGCCCGGCCTGGTCTCAAACTCCTCTAACTCAAACTAAAAAGCCATCCTCCGGCCTCGTCCTGCCAAAGTGCTGAGATCACAGGCATAACCTGCCGCGCCCGGCCCAAGTCCCTATTTTTCTTTCCAGGCTTCCTAAGTTCATTTAAAGGCGAATTTATCTATTAGTAATGACGGCTGACGAGTGATGGCAGAGTGGACAGGTGTAATGGAGAGATGAAAAATGAACCTTCGCCTGTAATCCCAGCGCTTTGGGAGGCTGAGGCGGGAGGATCACCTGAGGCCAGGTATTTGAGACTAGCATGGGCAACAAATTGAGACCCCATGTATCCAATTTTTGTGTTTTTTTTAATGTGGTGTGGTGGCGTGTGCCTGTGGTCCCTGCTACTCCAAAGGCTAAGGTGGGAGGATCACTTGAACCCATGTTGAGGCTTCAGTGAGCTATGATTGCACCACTGCACTCCAGACTGGGTAATAGAGACCCTGTCTCTAAAAAAAAAAAAAAAAAAAAATTAAAACTTAAATTTTTAAAAATTGAAAAATTAACCTGATAGGGGAAATTTTAAAAATCAGAAGTCTATGTCAGTCGCGGTGGCTCATGCCTGTAATCCCAACACATTGGGAGGCCGGGGCGGGCAGATTGCCTGAGGTCAGGAGTTCGAAACCAGTCTGGCCAACATGGTGAAACCCCGTCTCTACTAAAAATACAAAAAAATTAGCCGGGCGTGGTGGCATGTGCCTGTGATTCTAGCTACTCGGGAGGCTGAGGCAGGAGAATGGCGTGAACCCAGGAGGCGGAGCTTGCAGTGAGCCGAGATCGCGCCACTGCACTCCAGCCTGGGCGAGAGTGAGACTCAGTCTCAAAAAAAAAAAAAAAAAAAAGAAGCCTCAGGACACATTGGTAAAATTTCTCACATAAGTATGACACACCTGGGCCGGGCGCGGTGGCTCACGTCTGTAATCCCAGCACTTTGGGAGGCCGAGGCGGGTGGATCACGAGGTCAGGAGACCGAGACCATCCTGGCTAACACGGTGAAACCCCATCTCTACTAAAAATACAAAAAAAAATTAGCTGGGCGTGGTGGCGGGCGCCTGTAGTCCCAGCTACACGTAAGGCTGAGGCAGGAGAATGGCGTGAACCCGGGAGGCCGAGCTTGCAGTGAGCCGAGATCGTGCTACTGCACTCCAGCCTGGGCAACAGAGCTAGACTCCATCTCAAAAAAAGAAAGGATTCTCCACCGGGCGCGGTGGCTCACGCCTGTAATCCCAGCACTTTGGGAGGCCAAGGCAGGCGGATCACCTGAGGTCAGGAGTTCAAGACCAGCCTGGCCAACATGGTAAAACCCTGTCTCTACTAAAAAATACAAAAATTAGCCAGGTGGCGTAGTGGCGCACACCCGTAATCCCAGCTACTCGGGAGGCTGTGGCAGGAGAATCTCTTGAACTTGAGAGGTGGAGGTTGCTGTGACAAAAGAGCAAGACTCCGTCTCAAAAAAAAAAACAACAAGAAAATAGGATTCTACATATTAAATCGCTACAGACACTGCTGCAGAAAGCCATTCCCTGCAGAAAAAAGAGGGCACAGTCATTTCCCCAGCCATGGAAGTTTCTTCCTTGGTGGATCCGTGGTTCTGAACTCAACTCTGGTAGCACATCAGAATACTTGAGAATATTTTAGAAAGAAAGAGTTGCATAATAGCCCTAAACTGGAAACACAAAAATTAGGGCCGGGCGCAGTGACTCACGCCTGTAATCCCAGCACTTTGGAAGGCCAAGGCAGGCGGATCACGAAGTCAGGAGTTCAAGACCAGCCTGGCCAATATGGTGAAACCCCATCTCTACTAAAAATACAAAAAAAAAAAAAAAAAAAATAGCCAGGTGTGGTGGCGCACGCCTGTAATCCCAGCTACTTGGGAGGCTGAGGCAGGAGAATCACTTGAACCAGGGAGGTGAAGGTTGCAGTGAGCAGAGATCGCACCACTGCACTCCAGCCTGGGCAACAGAGTGAGACTCGTCTCAAAAGAAAAACAAATTTTGGTACATCCATCCATGCAACAGAATAGTAACAACTACCAATACACCCATGACTGAATCTCCAAAACATTATGCTGAGTGAAAGAAGCCAGACATCAGGAGATGTCCAGCATGATTCCATTCATATGAAACTCCAGAGCAAGCAAAACCAACCTATACAGACAATGCAGATTAGTGGATGTCTGGGGCTGGAGAGGGAGGTGGAAATTGACTGGGAAGAGAGAGAAGGAATGCTTTGGGGTGATGGAAATGTGGCCATCCAGTCCACCAGCCGGTGCACTCCAGCCTGGGTGACAAAGGGAGACTCTGTCTCAAAAAAAAAAAAAAAATGTCAGGTGTGGTGGCTCATGCCTATAATCCCAGCACTTTGGGAGGCCAAGGGGGGAGTATCGCTTGAGCCAGGAGTTCAAGATTAGCCTGGGCAATAAAGGGTAACCCCATCTCTACAAAAAATACAAAAATTAGCTGAGTGTGGTGGCATGCGCCTATAGCGCTAGCTACTTGGGGGACTGAGGTGGGAGAGTCACTTGAGCCTGAAAGATCGAGCCTGCAATGAGTTTTGATCATGCCACTGCACTCCAGCCTGGGTGACAGAGTGAGACCCTGTCTCAAAAAAATATATGGGCAGATGCCAAGTTACAGCCTGTGCAGCATAGTGAAACCCTGTCTCTAAATAATAATAAAAATAATATAGATGCTCAGGCTTCACCAGAGACCAATTATCAAATTATCTGGGCTGGGGTCTGGCCATCAGTATTACTTGAAAGTTCTCCAAGTGGTGGGCTGGGCACGGTGGCTCACGCCTGTAATCCCAGCAGTTTGGGAGGCTGAGGTGGGCAGATCACAAGGTCAGGCGTTCGAGACCAGCGTGACCAACATTGTGAAACCCCATCTCTACTAAAAATACAAAAATTAGTCAGGTGTAGTGGCGCGTGCCTGTAATCCCAGTTACTCAGGAGGCTGAGGCAGGAGAATTACTTGAACCCAGGAGGTGGAGGTTGCAGCGAGCTGAGACCATGCCACTGCACTCTAGCCTGGGCAACAGAGTGAGACTCTGCCTCAAAAACAGAAAAGAAAAGAAAAGAAAGTTCTTCAAGTGGTAATTTTTTGTAGCCAGGGATGTAGGGATGTGAACCACAGGACCCTCCCTGTTCTCAAGGTATAGGGATGAGGTTAGAGAATACCTGTGCACTTCTCTGTCCCTTCCTGGAAGAAGAGAGAAGAGTATCTAAAGGAGGGTGAGAATGGGGGCAGGTGGGGCAATTTATCCAACTCCCTGCCCAAGAGGTCAGAGACTTCAGATCGCACCTTACTTTCCTCCTTCTTAACTCTTCCCCTTGGCTACTAGGGCTCCAGGTGGGGTCCTCTGGCCTAGAGGGAAGAAAAGGCTTAGGGTTTGGCAGTTGGAGCTGAAGACTATTCCCTCCCTCTCTCTACCCAGCCTCTCTGGGTGTACCTGGGAGCCCATGTCCTCCAAAGCTCAGGCTGTGGTAGGGTGCCAAGCACAAGCTCCCTGTAGTAACTCCAAGAGGGGGACAGGTCTCTGGGGATGTCCTTCACAGGACAGGCAAGGGCCCTGGCTGGCCACCCACAGCCGGGACCCCAGGAGATCCAGCAGGTACTGTAGCTGGAACACAGCAGTTCCCATAGATGGTCCCTCCTCAAACCCAATCACAGACAGCTCCAACCTGGAGCAGCCTAGAGTCTCAGCAGGACACACAGTAGGGACAAAGTGACCTGGTATCTATGGGTAAGGGCATGAGTCCAAGTCCCCACTCCCAAGATTTCTTATCTGTGTCCTGGAACAAACCCCTTCAGTTCTCTGGGCCTCAGTTTCCTCATCTGTAAATAGGGCTCTGGATAATCCCAACCGTAAGGCCTGACACTATCCCATGCTGTACTTATGTGCAAGCTAGAAAAAGACACTCAGCTGGGCACAGTGGCTCATGCCTGTAATCCCAGCTCTTTGAGAGGCCAAGGCAGGAAGATCACTTGAGCCCAGGTGTCCAAAACCAGCCTGGGCAACACAGCGACACCCCATATCTACAAAAAAAAAAAAAAAAAAAAAAAGGTCGGGCACGGTGGCTCACGCCTGTAATCCCAGCACTTTGGGAGGTTGAGGCAGGTGGATCACGAGGTCAAGAGATCGAGAACATCCTGGCCAACATGGTGAAACCCTGTCTCTACTAAAAATACAAAAATTAGCTGGGCATGGTGGCACATGCCTGTAGTCCCAGCTACTCGGGAGGCTGAGGCAGAAGAATTGCTTCAACCCAGGACGCAGAGGTTGCAGTGAGCAGAGATCACGCCACTGCACTCCAGCTGGCAACAGAGCAACACTGTGTCTCAAAAAAAAAAAAAAAAAATTAGCCATTAGCTATTTGTGGTGTCACGTGTATGTGGTCCCAGCTACTCTGGAGGCTGAGGTGGGAGGATTGCTTGAGCCTAAAAGGTCAAGACTGCAGTGAGCTGTGATTGTGCCACTGCACTCCAGCGTAGGGGACAGAGCAAGACCCTGTCTCAAAAAAAAGAAAATAAAAAGACCTTCCTTAAGTTCCTTCTACCTTCTAAGTCTTGATTTTATTAGAACAAGATACTTTACTGCCATCTGCCGCAAGTTGGCAAATATGCAAATCTACAATATCCAGCCTGTGAATATAGTACTGTCTTTGTAGATGTGGGATCCTTGTGCAGTGTACAACATTCACATCCATACATGGTGGTCCTATCTATCTTATAGGATTGGTGTACAGAGTAAATAAGCTAACATACTTAAAGCATTTAAACCAATACCTGGCACAGAGTAAACACTATTTACATGCAGCTGTAGTCATCATCATCATTTGTTATTATATACCTCCCTATTCTAGGTGTTGGAGACAGCAGTGAGCAAAATATATCTGTCAAGGCTAGGGGCTGGGTCAGGAGATAGTCCCACTACTTCCTCCCCGCAACATATTCATATGGTCACACAGCAGCCCTCACACATGGAGACCACTGAATTCTCTCAAAACCTGCAACTGCAGAAAGAAGCGAATGCAATACTCACTGAGAGATCATCTGGGGTGTAGAGGGTGTCATCATTTTTGTTTTCCTACAGTTCAGGGGTAAGGAGGAGAATCAGATCTTGGAGGGAAAGAGGCTGACCCTTCCTCAAACACACCCCCTACCACGCCCCATCAATTGGCCCACCCCGTCTGCTGGCTCTGCTCCCCACTCGCTGGTATCTTCAGAGGGCTGCAAGGAAGTAAAAAGGCTCCCTCCAGCAGAGGGGCGGGCGTTCCTAGGCCCTCCCAGGGCTGTACAAGCAGGAGGATGATCCACAGAAGCAACATGGGCACCTTGCTCACTCCCAGGCCTTCTCTGGTGCTTGGCCTGGGGTTCTGGAAGAGAGAGGTACAGGAAGGGGGAGCAGACTGGAAGGCTGAAGTGGATGAGGGGAACTCCCCCGCCACCCCTCATCCCATCCCCTGCTTGCTCCACTCAAGCCACAGATAATTCAGGGAGTGTGCCCATAGAGGCTGGGGAAAGATGGTGACCCCAAAGTCAGGAGGGCTTAGGTCAGAGCGCTCCCTGACTCCCAAGCTCAGGGACGATACGAGACTTAGCAAATGTGTGAAGATCAATCTGGAGAGACGAGAGAACCTGAACTCCCCTGCCCAACAGGCCCTTAAGACAGTGCAGGCTAGGCCAACCGCTGTGGCTCACACCTGTAATCCCAGAACCTTGGGAGGCCGAGGTGGGCGGATCACTTGAGGTAAGGAGTTCAAGACCAGCCTGGCCAACACGATGGAACCCTGTCTCTACTAAAAAATACAAAAATTAGTGGCCAGGCACAGTGGCTCACACTTGTAATCCCAGCACTTTGGGAGGCCGAGGCAA
Organism: Homo sapiens; assembly: GCF_000001405.40. Classification (NCBI taxonomy): domain Eukaryota; kingdom Metazoa; phylum Chordata; class Mammalia; order Primates; family Hominidae; genus Homo; species Homo sapiens. The sequence continues at coordinate 39,439,151 of NC_000019.10, read as the reverse complement.
GTGGATCACTTGAGGTCAGGAGTTCAAGACTAGTCTGCCCAGCATAGTGAAACCCTGTCTCTACTAATAAATACAAAAATTAGCTGGGCATGGTGGTGCATGCCTTTAATCCCAGCTACTTGGAAGGCTGATGCAGGAGAATTGCTTGAACCCAGGAAGCTGACGTTGCAGTGAGCTGAGATCAAGCCACTGCCCTCCAGTCTGGGCGACAGAGCGATACTCCATCTCAAAAAAAAAAAAGAAAAATTATTAGTCAAGCATAGTGGTGGAGGCCCGTGATCTGGGCTACTCAGGAGTCTGAAGCAGGAGAATCTGTAATCTCAGCTACTCCAGAGTCTGAAGCAGGACAATCACTTGAACCGGGGAGGTGGAGGTTGCAGTGAGCTCAGATTGCATCACTGCATTCCAGCCTGGGTGACACAGACTCTATCTCAATTTAAAAAAAAAAAAAGAAAAAGTACAGGTAGAATGTGTGCATCCTCTCATCTGCCTGTGTCTTCATTGGAAAACACCTGTGCTAGCCTTTATCTGTGTCTGCAAGTGAATATTTGAGGTCTCTGCTCTATTTATTTTATTTTATTTATTTATTTTTGAGACAGAGTTTATTTATTTATTTATTTTTGAGACAGAGTCTTGCTCTGGCGCCCAGCCTAGGGTGCAGTGGCGACATCTCAGCTCACTGCAACCTCCGCCTCCCGGGTTCAAGCGGTTCTCCTGCCTCAGCCTCCCTTGTGGCTGGGATACAGGCACCTGCCACCATGCCCAGCTGATTTTTGTATTTTTAGTAAAGGCGGGGTTTCACCATGTTGGCCAGGCTGGTCTTGAACCCTGGGCTCGAGTGATCCTGCTGCCTTGGCCTCCCAAAGTGCTGGGATTATAGGTGTGAGCCACTGCACCTGGCCTCTGTCTCAAGTATTTTGGAAACATCATGCCTGCCTTTATCTCTTTTTTGTCTGAGGGTTGGCCTCTCTGCCTCTAAATCTGTCACTGGGCTTGTTTTGGGGGTCCATCTCTTGACTGTCCTGGTCTCTCCCTTTTCTCCTCCTCTTCTCCCTTGGCCTTTCATCTTTCTCTTCTTCTCCACTTGTGCCTACATTTCTTTGGGCTGTGTCTGTGTCCCTCCCGGTCAGCCTCTGGGTACTTCCTTCCTCCCTCCCAACAGCCCCCTCCCCCCTCACCCTTTTAGAGCTGGACTCCGGGCTGGCTTTTCCCTCTGGCCCCAGACCTGCCCTCCAGTGTCTCCCTGTCTCCACCCTCTTTGGCAAGGTGCACCACGACGCCCTTTTGAACCCTGGATCCCAGACCCTGTACTGCCAGAGAAACTGAGGCAACTGTGGGCTCCCTCTAGCTCTGAGAGAGGAACCTCTTCGCTGGGGAGACTCTTGATGGGGTGAGACGCAGGGACATCTGCCGGGGAACCAGAGGACAACCCAATCCTGGGGTTCCTCAGGTGGGGTTGGGGGGCTGGGGATGGAGAATTCTGTGGGGAGGAGGCTTAAGTGGAGGGTGATTTGGGGGAGAGGAAAAAGATGACTGGGAGATTCTGGAGAAAGAGATTCTAGGGGCTGGGCGCGGTGGCTCACGCCTGTAATCCCAGCACTTTGGGAGGCTGAGATGAGTGGATCATTTGATGTCAGGAGTTCGAGACCAGTCTGGCCAATATGGTGAAACCCCGTCTCTACTACAAATACAAAAATTAGCCGGGCGTGGTGGTGCATGCCTGTAATCTCAGCTACTCAAGAGGCTGAGGCAGGAGAATCGCTTTAACCGGGGAGGCAGAGGTTGCAGTGAGCAGAGATCATGCCACTGCACTCCAGCCTGGGCGACAGAGCAGGACTCTGTCTCAAAAAAAAGAAAAAAAAAAAACAAAAAACAGAGAGATTCGGCCGGGCGTGGTGGCTCACGCCTGTAATCCCAGGACTCTGGGAGGCTGAGGCGGATCACATCACCTGAGGTCAGGAGTTCGAGACCAGCCTGGCCAACGTGGTGAAACCCCATTTCTACTAAAAATACAAAAAACGACCAGGGCGTGGTGGTAGACGCCTGTAATTCCAGCTACTCGGGAGCCTAAGGCAGGAGAATCTCTTGAACCCGGGAGGCGGAGGTTGCAGTGAGACGAGATCGCACCACTGCACTCTAGCCAGGGCAACGAGCGAAACTCCGTCTCAAAAAAAAGAGAGAGATTCTAGGGTGGGGACGGGGAAGAGGTTAATTCTTGGGGGAGGGTCTCTTAGGAGAGGGGGATTCTAACGGAGGGAAAACTCCAGGGAAGGCAGTTGCTGGGAAGAGGAGTCTCGGAAGGGAAATAAACTCAGGAGAAAGGTAGATTTTGAGGGACGGGTCTCTGAGAGAAAAGTTTTTGTGGATTTGCGGGGCGGGGTGTTCTGGGAAAGGGGGATTTGCCGGGAAAGGGGGATTTGCCGGGAAAGGGAGATTCTGGAGGAGGGAGATTCCAGGGGTACTGGGTCCTGACAAGAGAAAGATTCTGGGAAGGGTGACTGAGGGGACGAGGACCGAATGGAGGGAGATTCAGGGAAAAGGGGGGTCTAAGTTGAGCACTCTTAAGAGGGACATTTGGGGTTGGCCATCTGAGAGAAGGATGGGAAACATTCTGGGAAGAGGAAACTGAAAGGAAGGACATTCTGGTGAAAGGGAGATTCTGAGGGGAAGGGGCTCTGAGGGGAAAAGGATTCTGGGAGAGGATCCCCAAGGAGGGGGATTCTAGGGAGGATAGGATTCTGGAAGTCCTTAATCTGAGAATCCAGCCAGATTTCTTGCAGTAGATTCCAAAGGAAGATTCTGATGCGGGGGATTCGGGGAGGAGGGAGTCCAGAGGGGAGAAAGATTACAGGTGTTGGGAGGGTGGGAACTGATTTAAAGAAAGGGCGAAGGGAGATTATTAAAGAGCCAGAATGCAAAGAAGAGCTGCGGTAGTCGACTACAGAGGACGCGAAGCACACTCCCGCAGCCTTCCCTTCAGTCCGCACACGACACTCCCAGGCCCCGCCCCTTCCGCCCACAGAGCCCGCCACTTCCGCCTCACAGGGCCCGCCCGCTCTGAGCGCCTAAGGGCCTTCCCGCCGCTGACCAGACGCCCCGCCCGTTAGCCGCAACAGAAGCCGTAAAGCTCTCTCCCGTCGCGACGCAGTGCTCAAGGCGCCTGCGCAGACCCTGAAAAGCGGCCAGGGTGGCCCCTAGCTTTCCTTTTCCGGTTGCGGCGCCGCGCGGTGAGGTTGTCTAGTCCACGCTCGGAGCCATGCCGTCCAAGGGCCCGCTGCAGTCTGTGCAGGTCTTCGGACGCAAGGTGAGCCAGACGCCGGATGGGAAGGGGAGGGGAAGGAGAAGGCCAGGGTCTGGGAGAGGTCGGTGGGCAGGAATCTAGGGGGTAACATGGGAGCTGGAGCCGGAGCTCACGGGGCCCCTGTTTCTCTTGTATCTTACAGAAGACAGCGACAGCTGTGGCGCACTGCAAACGCGGCAATGGTCTCATCAAGGTGAACGGGCGGCCCCTGGAGATGATTGAGCCGCGCACGCTACAGTACAAGGTGCTGGGATCCGGCACCGGCGTTGAGTGGATGGAGGACTCTTGGAGACAGAGATGTTGTAGCTCTTGAAAGCTGGGGGGGCTGGCATCAGCAACGGGATGTTTAGAAGTTGTGTTGGGTGTAGAACAGTGGGGTATTTGGCAATAGAGCTGGGCTTGGGGTTCAGAAGATGTAAAAGCTGAGATGGGGTTGTTGAAGATTAAGGGTTTGCTTTGAGAACTGGGATGTTAGGAAGCTCACCTCACTGGGGCGGGGGGACCCAAAGGGTGAAGGGACACCGACTATTTTTTATTTTATTTATTTGTTTTGAGAGGGAGTCTCGCTGTGTCGCCCAGGCTGGAGTGTAGTGGCGCGATCTCGGATCACTGCAACCTTCGCCTCCCGGGTTAAAGCGATTCTCCTGCCTCAGCCTCTTGAGTAGCTGAGATTACAGGCATGCACCACCACGCCCGGCTAATTTTTGTATTTTTAGTAGAGACGGGGTTTCGCCATATTGGCCAGAGTGGTCTCGAACTCATTACCTCAGGTGATCCACCAGCCTCGGCCTCCCGAAGTGCTGGGATTGCAGGCGTCAGCCACCGTGTGCGGCCGAATTTGGGTCTGTTTAAATGCTTGCTTGTAAAAGGGGTTCCTCTGTTCCCTTTTTGGGACTCTCAATTTCTTTGGCTCAGAATGGAAAGAAACCAGAGTCTGATTTCTGCCCCTTCTGAACTCTACTACTTTTAAAAGAAAGAATATCTACATTGCAGGGTCAGTTAAAAAAATTTTTTTTGAGTTATAAGGTTCTTTTTTAAAAACAGTATCTTGCTGTCACCTACCCTGGAGTGCAATAGCACAATCCTAATGAACTGCAGCCTTAAACTCCTGAGTTGGAGATCCTCCCACCTCAGCCTTTCGGTTGCCAAGACTACAGGCACATCACCACGCCTGGCTCATTTGAGAAATATTTTTCTGTAGACGTGGGGTCTCACTTTATTGCCCAGGCTGGTCCTTGGTCTCATGTGATCCTTCTGCCTGGACTGGGATTACAGGTGTGATCACCATGCCTGGCCTAGAATTTAATAAAAATTCTGAGATTTCCTTTGTGTAGCAGATGTTGAATGTTACTGTTATTGGCTGTCACTGTATTTGAAGGATTTGTATGTGTACCCTCTGTTGAGTTTTGGGGACATAGCAGTGATCCAGATGACTTAAGGTCTTGCCTTCATGGACCTGCCAGCCTAGTTGGGGAGAAGGACTGGGCCCAATACCAGAAGCTGATCCAAAGTGGTCAGAACTGGGGAAGGAGACCTGTGAGCTGAAAGCAGGTAAAGGAAGTATCCAGACAGAGGCACTGGTAAAAGACCTGGAGCTGGGAAGGGTCTAGGGACCAGGGACAGGTTGTACTGTAATTCTGGAAACCTGTGAGGCTCAAAGAAAGGGCAGAGAGCTCAGGTGGGAAATAGAAAAGGCACCTGAACAGTCCAGGGATGGCTTTCGACTACTTGAAACAGCCTTGGGAGTTTCAGAAGCTATTGGAATGCTCCTTACTGTTCAGCCTTCTAAGAACCAGTCTTAGAGGTAGGGTGTCTGAGGTCCAGTGAGGGACACAAGTAGGAGGGAGCCCAGATCTTGTTCCCTTTACCTTGCCTATATTTCTTAACACCACTTCAGCAGTCTCATATCTGGCTTTTTTGACTTTCCTCTTCTCTGGGTCTGTAGAGGGCCTTGGAGTGACACCCTGACCCCCATCCACTAGTACTTGAAGGCCAGTGGTGGCAGAAGCCACAGAAACAAGAAGCCCAGTGAGATGGCTAAGCTGCCCAGCATGTAACTTAAATCCCTGTTCATTCCCCATTCCTTTAGCTGCTGGAGCCAGTTCTGCTTCTCGGCAAGGAGCGATTTGCTGGTGTAGACATCCGTGTCCGTGTAAAGGGTGGTGGTCACGTGGCCCAGATTTATGGTGAGTCCCAGGAACTGGGCGCATGGAGGAGGTGGCTCTGGGAGGGAGGCCTTCACAGCGCTCCTGTACCCTTTAATTGTGTGTCTTTCTCACAGCTATCCGTCAGTCCATCTCCAAAGCCCTGGTGGCCTATTACCAGAAATGTGAGTGAGCATGGGTCCTTCCCATGAGGTAGATGGGTGTGTGGGGATCAAGTCAAGGACTCTGTGTGATTATCTAAATCCTCGTCCCTGCTCTTCTTGCCAGATGTGGATGAGGCTTCCAAGAAGGAGATCAAAGACATCCTCATCCAGTATGACCGGACCCTGCTGGTAGCTGACCCTCGTCGCTGCGAGTCCAAAAAGTTTGGAGGCCCTGGTGCCCGCGCTCGCTACCAGAAATCCTACCGATAAGCCCATCGTGACTCAAAACTCACTTGTATAATAAACAGTTTTTGAGGGATTTTAAAGTTTCAAGAACTGTGTGTGGCCTTATGTGTTGGTATTGGATGTTTAACCAGACAGAAATCAGTAAACATCCTGGACCTATTGCCAGTCTGGATTTTGACCCTCCCCAGAAGTGGTCGCGCTGGGCTTGGTGTGGGTGAGTGGAAGCAGAAGGCAGGGGGTCTCTGTCTCTACACCTCCAGTAGAGTCCAGTGTGCAGGCAAAGCTGAGATGGCAGTCGTTTGGGGCCATTAGTGGCTGCAGACCTTGGCGGATATATGGCTCATCCTTGTGGATGTCTATTTTTTTCAAGCCCAGCCTCCCAAATAGCTTGGATTACAGGTACCCACCACCACGCCATGCTAATTTTGTATTTTTAGTATCGATGGGTTTCACTGTGTTGGTCAGGCTGGTCTCAAACTCCTGACCTCAAGTGATCCGCCTTCCCGGGCCTCCCAAAGTGCTGGGATTACAGGCGAGAGCCACCACCCCCAGCTGAATTTTTGTTTTTGTAGAGACAGGTCTCACTATGTTGCCCAGGCGTGGTCTCCTGACCTCAGGCAATCCTCCTGCCTCATCTTCCCAATGTGTCCAGGTTACAGGTGTGAGCTACCATGCCTAGCCAATAATCTTTAATACAAAGAAAACAAGGAGAGTCGGGCACGGTGGCTCACGACTGTAATCCCATCACTCTGAGAGGCCAAGGCTGGTGGATTACAAGGTCAGGAGTTAAAGATCAGCCTGGCCAAGATGGTGAAACCTCATCTCTATTAAAAGTACAAAAATTAGGTATGGTGGCAGGCGCCTGTAATCCAGCTACTTGGGAGGCTGAAGGAAAGAATTGCTTGAACAGGCGCCTGCCACACCCAGCTAATTTTTTTTTTTTTAAGTAGAGACAGGGTTTCAACATGTTGGCAAGGTTGGTCTTGAAATCCTGACCTCAAGTGATCACCCGACTCTGCCTCCTAAAGCGCTGGGATTATAGGCGTGAGCCACTGCACCCAGCCTAATTTTTGTATTTTTAGTAGAGATGGGGTTTCACCATGTTGGCAAGGCTGGTCTTGAACTCCTAACCTCAAGTGATCCTCCTGCCACAGCCTCCCAAAGTGCTGGGATTACAGGCATGAGCCACCATGCCGAGCCCAAAGTGGCATTTTGGACAGGTAACCGGGCTGTGGAAGACCCCAGGTTCTTTTTTTTTCTTTTTCTTTTTTTTGAGACAGAGTTTTGCTCTTGTATCCCTGGCTGGAGTGCAATGGCGTGATCTCGGCTCACCGCAACCTCCGCCTCCCGGGTTCAAGCAATTCTCCTGTCTCAGCCTCCCGAGTAGCTGGGATTACAGGCGCCTGCCACCTTGCCCAGCTAATTGTTCTATTTTTAGTAGAGACGGTTTCACCACGTTGGCCAGGCTGGTCTGGAACTCCTGACCTCAGGTAATCTACCCGCCATGGCCTCCCAAAGTGCTGGGATTACAAGTGTGAGCCGCCACACCTGCCCCCCCCCCCCCGCCTTTTTTTTTTTTGGAGACGGAGTCTTGCTCTGTCACCCAGGCTGGAGTGTAGCTGCACAATCTCAGCTCACTGCAACCTCCGCCTTCCGGGTTCAAGCAATTCTGCCTCAGCCTCCTGAGTAGCTGGGACTACAGGCAAGTGCCACCACACCTGACTGATTTTTGTATTTTTAGTAGAGACGTGGGTTTCACTATGTTATCCAGGCTGATCTTGAACTCCTGACCTCAGGTAGATCCCCCTGCCTTGGCCTCTCGAAGTGCTGGGATTAACAGGCGTGAGCCACCGCGCCCGACCTAGAGCCCAGGTTCTTGACTACTAGTTTAGGTTGTCACAGATCTGCTCAAGAGGCCCCATCTCTACCCTGTGGCCCCTCAACATGAGGAGCTAAGGAGTCAGGGTGGCCGCTTGTGGGAAAAGCACAAGAGGCTGTGGGACTCAAGCGGTGCCTGACAGCCTGGAGGAGTCAGGTGGACTCCTTGGGGGAGAGGACATGGGAACCAGGGTCTGCTGGCCGGTAGGAAGAGTAGCCAGGGAGACCATGTCTGTGATGAGTTGTTTTCGGGTGTCTGTGGCCTCAACTTGCTCATTCACTTTCCTTGAACACCTGTGCCGGGCCATGTGCTCGTCATGGGGCACTGAGTGACCACAGCCCTCTTCCCCCTCCCAAGGAGTCACAAATGACGCAAGGGTTGCTGCCGGTGCTGGAAGAGGAGTTGGGCTTCAAAGCACAGTGCATCCTCAGCGTTTTGTATAGGTGCTTGGAAACGGACTTAAGCAAAACAAGCAGATCCTGTAATAACAGTCCTTTAAACAAACTGGTTTCCTTATACGTCGTTTCGCTTAAGGTCACGGTTTCCCAGAACCTATTGATGACGTTAAGTGAGGACTTCGTTGAGTGGCTAATGACTCATAGGAAGCGAGTGAACTTCATTGTTTGGGGAGCGCAGAGATTTCTACTTCCTAGTTCCAGCCTCTGCAGCCAATAGGGAAGTCCCGCACCTAAATGCTCAGGGGGAATGTTTTACAACTTGAGATTTTCTGTCCACTTGCCCACTTTCTATGTATCTACCCTAGTTAATACAGTAGCCAGTGCTCAGAAGCCATGTATGGCTACCAAGCGGGGCTGCACATATTAGAACATTTCCGTCATCAAGGAAGGTTATATGGGACAGCACTGACACAGGATACATAAAATGAGTCGGGGGCTGGGCCCAGTGGCTCACGCCTGTAATCCCAGCACTTTGGGAGGCCAAGGCAGGTGGATGGCTTGAGGTCAGGAGTTCGAGACCAGCCTTGCCAGCATGGCGAAACCTGGTCTCTACTAAAAATACAAAAAAAAAAAAAAAGGCTGGGCATGGTGGCGGGTGCCTGTCGTCCCAGCTGTTTGGGAGGCTGAGGCAGGAGAATGGCTTGAACCCGGGAGGTGGAGGTTGCAGTGAGCTGAGAGATTGCACCACTGTACTCTGGCCTGGACGACAGAGCGAGACTCCGCCTCAAAAAAAAAAAAAAAAAAAAGCCAGGCGTGGTGGCTCACATCTGTAATCGCAGCACTTTGGGAGGCCAAGGCGGGTGGATCACCTGAGGTCAGGAGTTGGAGACCAGCCTGACCAATATGGTGAAACCCCGTCTTTACTAAAAATACAAAAACTATCTGGGTGTGGTGGCGTGTGCCTGTAGTCCCAGCTACTCAGGAGGCTGAGACAGGAAAATTGCTTGAACCCTGGAGGTAGAGGTTGCAGTGAGCTGAGACCTTGCCGCTGCACTCCAACCTGAGCCACAGAGCAAGGGTCCGTCTCAAAAAAGAAAAAAGGCCAGGCACGGTGGCTCATGCCTGTAATCCCAGCACTTTAGGAGGCCGAGGTGGGTGGATCACGAGGTCTGGAGTTTGAGACCAGCCTGGCCAACATGGTGAAACCCTGTTTCTACCAAAAATACAAAAAAATTAGCTGGGCGTGGTGGCACTCGCCTGCAATCCCAGCTACTTGGGAGGCTGAGGCAGGAGAATCACTTGAACCCCAGAGGCAGAGGTTGCAGTGAGCCAAGATCGCACCATTGAACTCCAGCGGCAGAGGTTGCAGTGAGCCAAGATCGCACCACTGAACTCCAGCGGCAGAGGTTGCAGTGAGCCAAGATCGCACCACTGCACTCCAGCCTGGGCAACATAGGGAGACTCCGTCTCAAATAAATAAATAAATAAAATAAAAAGTAAAGGAGTGGGGGGCCGGGCGCAGCAACTCGTTCTTGTAATCCCAGCGCTTTGGGAGGCAGAGGCAGGCAGATCACTTGAGGTCAGGAGTTCGAGACTAGCCTGGCCAACACAGTGAAACCCTGTCTCTACTAAAAGTACAAAATTAGCTGAGCATAGTGGCACGTGCCTGTAGTCCCAGCTACTCTGGAGGCTGAGGCAGGAGAATCGCTTGAACCCAGGAGGTAGAGGTTGCAGTGAGCTGACATTGCGCCACTGCACTTCAGCTCTGGGCGACAGAGCAAGACTCCTCCTCAAAAAAAGAAAAAAAAAGAAAAAGTAAAGGAGTGGGGTTCATGGAGCATCAGGTAGGTGGTTGTTGGAGGTGGCCACATCCCTGTGAGGTTGGTGACACAGGATGAGAAAACTACCCTAGTGGCAAAATGTTTTGCGGCTCGCCAAGTTTTGCATCGCAGCCAGAGTTAACTCCGGTTAACTGGTTTAGCTGGCATTAACCTAAATGTCCCAGAGAGGACAGCAGGCACCATCCTTATCCTTTCGGAGCCTGATTTAGCTGTAGCTCTGAGGAGGACTGGGCTCAGAACCAAGGTAGGCCAGCAGGAAAGGTATTCCTGAGAAGGCGACAGAGCTGGGGCTGGGAAGCAGCAGTAGGAGTTGGGCGGGAGGGAGGAATGGAATTCACAGATGCCAGGAGGAGGGGTGGAGGCAAGCCTGGCGCCCATGGTTTTCCCAGGGGGTCCAGAGACCCCCTTATTGAGGCTCCTGGCTCTTTCCCAGAGGCACAGCTGGGACACATCTGGACTGGAAAGGGGCTTGCCTCTCCTTCCCAGCTCCAGGCCTTGGAGTAGACAGGCCCCTTCTCCCTCCCTGCCTCCTCGAATACCGGGAATTCCGACGCCGCTGGGAGCCTGGGCCAGGCTGAGAACTTTCCTTCAGCCGGGAATGTGCAGCTGGGGCGGAGGAGGGGAGCGTCGGCTGCGGTCCTGACCTTGGGGAGGCTCCAGTGGAGTGGATCACTCCAGGCTGAGGAGTTCACCTCCGTCACCACGGGGCCCCCGGGACACAGCCTCGGCCCTGGTGTACAGTAGCCAGTCAATAAACAGTAAGTGAGCAGAAGCCAGCAGCTAATATTTATTGAGCCAGGCCCTGTGCTGGCAACTGTGCTCAGCTAATTATCAGAATCCCCTGAGGTGTGCACAGTACCAGGCCACAAGCCTCATGCGGGCAAGGCAGTGTTCTCTCATGTATCCCCACTGGCAAGAACAGCACCCGGCACAGGATAGGCACATTTATTTATGTATTTCATTTTATTTTTTTGAGACAGTTTTGCTCGTCTCCCAGGCTGGAGTCTAGTGGCGCAATCTCGGTTCACTGCAACCTCCACCTCCCAGGTTCAAGTGATTCTCCTGCCTCAGCCTCCTGAGTAGCTAGGATTACCGGCACCCACCACCACGCCCAGCTAATTTTTTGTATTTTTAGTAAAGACGGGATTTCACCATGTTGGCCAGGCTGGTGTGGTCTCGAACTCCTCACTTCAAGTGATCCACCTGCCTTGGCCTCACGAAGTGTTGGGATTACAGGCGTGAGCCACCGCACCTGGCCAGGACAGGCAAATTTAATGGTAGACTTAAGCCAAGCTGTGTGGATTCGAGTCTCAGTGCTGCACCTTCCTAGCTGTGCGACTAGGCAAATCCCTTAGCCTCTCTGTGCCTGCCTCAGTTTCCTCACCTCTAGACTGAGGATTAAAAAACATGCTCACTTGCATATTAGGAATGTAATGAGGACAGTGAACGAGCTTATATAAAGCGGCTGTAATGCTCATAGTATGTGCTTAGTACCCAGGAAATCTCAGCTTATTTGCTGCTAACTGATTGCTAAAAATTCAGATTCCTGGGCAGGGTATGGTAGCTCACGCCTGTAAACCCAACACTTTGGGAGGCCGAGGTGGGCGGATCACCTGAGGTCAGGAGTCCAAGACCACTATGGCCTGGCCAATATGGCGAAATCCCGTCTCTACTACAAAATACAAAAATTAGCTGGGCGTGGTCGTGGGCGCCTGCAATCCCAGCTAGAGGCAGGAGAATCACTTGAACCTGGGAGGCAGAGGTTGCAGTGAGCCGAGATCATGCTATTGAACTCCAGCCTGGGCAACAAGAGCGAAACTCCGTCTAAAAAAAAAAAAAAATTCGGATTCCCAGCCAGGAATGATGGCTCACGCCTGTAATGCCAGCACTTTGGGAGGCCGAGGCGGGAGGATCACGAGGTCAGGAGATCGAGACCATCCTGGCTAACATGGTAAAACCCCGTCTCTACTAAAAATACCAAAAAAATTAGCCGGGCGTGGTGGCGGGCACCTGTGGTCCCAGCTACTCGGGAGGCTGAGGCAGGAGAATGGCGTGAACCCGGGAAGCGGAGCTTGCAGTGAGCCAAGATCGTGCCACTGTACTCCAGCCTGGGCAACAGAGCGAGACTCTGTCTCAAAAACAAAACAACAACAACAACAACGAAAAATTAGCTGGGCATGGTGGTGCACGCCTATAATCCCAGCTATGTCGGGAAGCTGAGGCATGAGAATTGCTTGAACCCAGGAGGTGGAGGTTGCAATGAGCCAAGATTTTGCCACTGCACTCAAGCCTGGGTGACAGAGTGAGACTTTATCTAAAAAAAAAAAAAAAAATCAGATTCCCAAGCTCCTCCTTCCCTGGGGATCCTGATTCAATAGGTTGGGACTAGATACTGGGGGATCTGTGATTTGAATGATGCTCCTAAGCAAGTCAGAGGTTCAAATATGTTTGGGAAGTGGAAGGATATGCTCCCTAAATCTTTCAATGATCCCAGGAGGGAAGTACTGTTGTCTTCATTTTGTAGATGAGAAAACCGGCTCAGAGGGAGGACCCACACCAAATAAGTAAAGATGGGACTTGAATTCACAGCCAGGACACCAGGGTGCTTCAGAGAATCCTAGGGGAGCTTACATAAATAATGTGCTAAAGCACAAGAGGCTAAGTATTTGATGAAAGTAGCTAATATCATCACCAAAGAAACCGTTTAAATTGTGCCTCTCACTGGGCATACCACTGCTGGAACAAGGGGGCAGACAGAACCTAACATAAAAGCCTTTTGTCTCCACGACCTGAATTATTTTGCTGGGGGAGGGAGCATGTGGATGAATTGTAGAGGCTGCAAACTGCGGGGAGGAGTGAAGGGATCTGAGGTATGTGAGTGGGTACAAGAACTGGGATATTCAAGAGGAACTGACGGGAAGGATGCCAAGGGAAATCAGACAGATGTGGGACAGACTTATCCCAGAGCCCCAAAATTGATCTCCCCCGTATCAGCATGGAATTGTCTCTGAAGTATCATAGTACTAAGACCCCGGAGAGTCCAGTGAGGGAGGGATGGGGTATGTCGATGGATTGGGAGATGGCTGGGTGAATATGTATGGATGGCAAAATGAGTGGATGAATGGACAGATGGAAATATGGAGGGAGAGACGGACTGATGAACGGAGTGCTGGATGGAGAAGATGGGTAAGTGGGAAGATGGATAAATGGAGGGATGGAATGCCAGATGGGGTTAGAATGATAAAGGGATGGGTGGGTGAATAAGGCAGACAGTTGGATAAGCAAGGCAGATACGTGAGATGATGGATTGGAAGATGGGTAGATGGAGCGGGAAAGCTAGATGGAGCAATAGCCAGATGGATAGGTGGAGAGATGGCAGGGTGGGTGAGATGAACGGATGGTGGGAGACGTGAACTGTATAAATTGCCAAGGGAATGGATTTCTAGTGTCTACTTGAAGCAAAGCTTCTTAACTTGGCTTTCCTGGATGGGCATCAAGCAGTTCACACACACGCCAAGTTATAGTGGGTCCATTTTCCAATAATTCTCAAAGGAGTCTGAGATTCCCCAAGCTTTCAGAACCGCTGATTTGTTCTGTGTCAGACCTTCCCATTCATTGTCTTGTCATCTCCCACAGCCTCCAGAATGGGAAAATACACATCATTGCATGAAAGAATCAGTATTAACAAAACATTAATGACATTCCTCCCTTCCCCATCCCTGTGGATCAAGGCAAGAAGGGCCATTCGCCGATGCAGATACCAGGAGTTGGAAGGCCGCAGCAGTTTTGAGGCCTGCGTTCAGTGTCTGGACTTCCAGGTCAAGTTCTGAGGGTCTATGGCATCTGGCTGAAATCCTTGCTTCAGGGAAGCCTCATGTCCTGGCTCACATGTGGAAGGGGGCATCAGGAGCCCCCTGGGCCCTGTGAAGGCCCATAGATTCCTGTGTGGAGGCCAAGAGAGCAGGGTGGTTCAACCGGACCTGGGCCTTGGCTGGCCGCAGCCGCCCACCCCCGCCCACGTGGATGTTAACCGTCGTGGCATAGCTGAGCCGCCTGGCTGGGGGAGGTGGTGGCTGGGGCTGGGGGGGCGGCGAAGATGCCCGTGACGTGGGAGCAGAGGACCAGGAGCCCCGGGAGGCTGCGGGGGCCCCTCCCCCAGGCCCCTGCCGCCGAGCCAGGCTCTGGCTGATATATGAGGCTGCCAGGTATCTGGAGAGGGCAGCTGCATTGGGGCCCAGGAGCTGACGGCTGGAAGGTGGGGGACTATGAGGTGGCGTCAAGTCTGAAGACTCCAACCTGGCAACGTGAGAGGCTAAGGAGCCTCCTGGTTTGGACAAAACCATGGTGGTCTGAACTGGGGTGGGTGAGAGGCCCTGAATGTCTAGAGAGCCTCCTCTCTCAGGTAAAGGTGTGGCAGCTGGAACATGGGCATCTATGAGGCTCTTCTGCTCCAACGAAGGTGTGAGTTTTTGGACCTGTGTATCTGTAAGGCTTGGCTCCGGAAGTGGAGGTGCAGCCGCTGGACCCTGGATGTCTGGGAGGCTTCCCTGCTTGGGTGAAGTTGGGAGGGCTTGGACCCAGATGTCTGTGAGGACTTGTGGCAGGGGCAAAGGTGTGGTAGCTGGAACCTGAGTGTCTGGGAGCTCCTGGGACAAAGACAGTGGGGCGTTGGCTGGGATCCGATGGTCCAGGTGGCTTCCATGTGCAGGCAAAGGTGAGGTACCTGGAATCTGAAGGTCTGGGAGGTGACATGGCAAGGGTGGTAGGGTGTCGCCTGGGCCCTGGGGATCCAGGCTGCTTCCATGCCAAGACAAAGGCTGGATGGGTTGACTGCAGACAGGGTCTGGGCCCTGAACATCCCTGGAACCTCCTTGCTTTGTCAGTGGGATATTGGTTGGGCTCTCGCTGTCTAGGTGACCTTCTTGCTTGGGCACAGGGGTGGTGACTGAAACTGTGAAATCAGAACAAATCTCCTTGGGCAAAGCTGGAGTGGTGGGAACGTGGATGTCCGCACAGTGTCCCTGCTCAGGACAAAAGGCGGTGGATGGAGCTGGTATAACCATGTGACTTCTATGCTCAGGCAAAGGAGTGGTGGCTGGAACTTGGATTTCTGGGTGGCCTTGATCAGAGAAAGTTGTAAGAGCCGGCACCTGGAGGTGCAGGGGGCCTTCTTGCTTGGGCAAAGGTGTGGCGGCTGGAGCCTGGACATGCCGGGAACCTCCTTGCTCAGGCAAAAGGGTAGCAGCTGAAACGTGGATGCCCGGAA
This sequence comes from Homo sapiens, assembly GCF_000001405.40. NCBI lineage: Eukaryota > Metazoa > Chordata > Mammalia > Primates > Hominidae > Homo > Homo sapiens. The sequence goes on along the minus strand of NC_000019.10, from coordinate 39,423,912 downwards.
GGTCTTGCTTAGGCAAATTGGAAACATGTAGACCCTGGCCATCCGGGCTGCCTCCCTGCTTTGACAAAGGTATGGCAGCTTGAACCCAGACAGCAGGACCCAGGGGGACAGACTCCTGGGCACATGTCAGTGGGAAGGCCAGCTCACATACCAGCACGTGTCCAAAGGCAGGCAGGAGCCCTGAATGCGAAAAGAGGATCGAGTCAGGACCACTACTCCAGCGGGGACCACCTCTGCCAACCACGTACCCGGACCTCACCTGGCTCTGCCTGCTCCTGGGGCAGACAGGGGGATGGCTGGGGTTGGGCCAGAACCCGAGGCCGGCGGCGCGGGGCATTGGCTGATGCCCGAGTCTCCGCCCGCTGCATCTGCTGGATCCGCTCGCTGTAAAGCCGGGCCAGCTCTCGCACTCGGGACGCCGTCCTTTCTGAACTCGGGGCTCCTGCCTTCCCGCTCCCGCTGTCTCCACCCAGATCCGAATCCTCCAGGATCAGCAGTGGCTCTGGGAAGCCTGGCCGGGCCAGCTGTCCCTGTTCCAATGCCTGCCAGGCGCTCCGGATTTCTGAGCAAGAGCGGAATGCCAGCTCATCTGGGAATCCCTGATGTTGGGTGACATCCTGGGGCTGGAAGTCTGTGAATGATACCCCTTCTTCATCCTCCTCTGGCCCTGCCTTGCCTCCTGAAGGCGGCTCTCCCAGTTTCCCAGGATTGCTCCCAGAAAACAGTTCTCTCCTGGTGGCTGGAGCCTCAGCTGGTTCCTGCAGAGGCCCTTGGAGCCAGGAGTCACAGGAGAGGGTGGGAGTGCTAGACAGACTGGGGGTGTTGGGGACACTAGGTATGGCTGGAAGGCAGGGCATCTCAAAAACATCGGAAATGTCAGAGAGACTAGGAAGGCGAGAACCTTCGGGAATTTCACAGCGGCTGGGAATTTCAGGAAGGTTGGGCACGTCAGGAATTTTGGTAAGGCAGGGAATGCTGGGCATTTCAGCTGCAATGGAACTTTCGAGCCCTTCCAGGACGTGGAGTGGGGAAGGCCCCCGTTCATCCATCTCCAGCCCTTCCTCTTCCTCCTCCTCCTCTTCTGAAGAGTCCCGGCTGGGCAGGGCTTGGAATGTGAGGGTTTCGCTGTCGCCAGGCACCTGGGAGTCTCCGGGGAACTTGGGAATGTCATGGGTGGACGGCTATAGTGGGCACAGGAGAACAAGCCAAACATATCAGCATGGTAGCTGGGTGTGGTGGCTCACGCCTGTAATCCCAGCACTTTGGGAGGCTGAAGTGGGCGGGTCACTTGAGGTTACGAGTTCGAGACCAGCCTGGCCAACATAGTGAAACCCTGTCTCTACTAAAAATACAAAAAAAAAAAAAAAATTAGCCGGGTGTGTTGGCGGGTGCCTGTAGTCCCAGCTACTCAGGAGGCTGAGGCAGGAGAATCGCTTGAACCTGGGAGGCAGAGCTTGCAGTGAGCCGAGATGGCGCCACTGCACTCCAGCCTCGGCAACAGAGCAAGACTCCATCTCAAATAAAAAAAAAATAAAGGTATCAGCATGGGCTGGCCTATCTGGTCCCTGGTCTGTGTGCCCACACCCAGAGGCCCAAGGACACCATGATGGGACAGCCAGCTCACCCCTGGATCTCGAAGGCCTCGCTGATTCAGCAGTTCCAGGATTTCTTCAGTGATTGAGGTCCCAGAGGGGTCCAGTGTTGGGGGTCCAGCATCCTCCAGGTCCTCAGGGGGTGCAGAGCCTGAAACTGGTGGCTGAGATTCTGGAGGGTAGAGTTCCCCTTCGCTGCCAGCGTGCTGTGAGGAGGGAAAGCAATGGAAGGCAAGAGCCAAGACTCCTCCCTCACATAGAGGACCCCAAGTCCCAATCCCCTTCTTTTGCGTTTGTTTGTTTTGAGATGGAGTCTCGCTCTGTCGCCCAGCCTGCAGTGCAATGGCGCCATCTCTGCTCACTGCAATCTCCGCCTCCCGGGTTCAAGCGATTCTGCTGCCTCAGCCTCCTGAGTAGCTGGGATTACAGGCGCCTGCCACAATGTCCAGCTAATTTTTGTATTTTTAGTAGAGTCGGGGTTTCTCCTTGTTGGCCAGCCTGGTCTCAAATTCCTGATCTCAGATGATCCACCTACCTCGGCCTCCCAAAGTGCTGGGATTACAGGTGAGCCACCGTACCTGGCTCAATTTTTAAATTTTTTTATTTTTCTCTTAAAATTTTTATTTATTTATTTGAGACAGGGTCTCACTGTGACCCATGCTGGAGTGCAGTGGTGTGTCCCAGCTCATTTTGCAACCTCTGCCTCCCAGGCTCAAGCAATCCTCCCACCTCAGTCTCCTGAGTAGCTGGGACTATGGGCATGCACTAGTGTGCCTGGCTAATTTTTTTGTACTTTTTGTAGAGATGGGGTTTTGCCATGTTGCCCAGACTGGTCTCAAACTCCTGGGCTCGAGCAATCCTCCTGCCTTGACCTCCCAAAATACTGAGATTACAGGCATGAGTTACTCTGTCTGGCCCCAATCCCCTTCTCATTCAGACCCAGGATTTTGGAACTCAAGCTCCCTTCTCCATCAGACCCAGAAGTCAAGGTGCCCAGACCCTATCTCGAGATATCTCTTACCTTGAATCCAGGCTTAGCTAAGGATGGAGAGATGAGAGAGAGAGAAGCATTAGTGAGATGTAAGGGAAAAAGAGTGATTCCCCCATAACTGATGAGCTGAAGCAACCACCCCTCCCCAACCCGCCCCAGACATCCCACCGGGCGACAGACAGGGATGGACCAGGCTGAACCGGGGCAGTCACTGACCGTTCTGTGGGAACATGACATAAGGGTCCTTCACCGGCTCTGCGGGGAGGACACAGTGATGTCAGGAGCCCAGCTCCCACCCCGATGCCTGGATCACCCTTAGGGGTGAGTGCTCACCAGACTGCCTGCGGCCTCGGCGAATCACAGAGGGCCCAGGAGATGGAGCTGTGGGAGGGAGGGCCAGAGCCCTGTGTGAGCCCAGCTCCCGGGTCCTAGGGAAGTGGGGCTGAGGGCTGGGACTCAGGGATCCACCGCCTTTACCTGTGTTCCTTCGCCCAGGGGTAAAACTTCTAGCATCTCGAGGTCGAGGAGACCCAAGTGGGGGTGTCAGGGGCTCTAGGACAGGCTTACTTTTGGGGGCACCTGTGGGGAGAGTTTTGGGGCTAAAAGCCAACTTTTTCTTGGAAGTAATTCGTCTACTTCCACACCCTCCCAGCCCAAGGCCCCAACTCACAATGCAGGCTGTTTTCAAGGAGAACTTGCTTTGCCTGAAAGACAGGAGGATGAGGGCTGAGGTGGGTCGATCTTGGAGTACCACAGAGAGGATACTTTAAGCACCGTAGTCATGCCCATTAATGGGTGCTGTTTTTGTTTTTAGATCTTGCTCTATACGCCAGGTTGGAGTACAGTGGTGCAATCATAGCTCACTCCAGCCTCTACTTCTGGGATCAAGCGATCTTCCCACCTCACCCTCCTGAGTAGCTGGGATTTCATATGTGCACCATCACATCCAGCTAATTTTTTTTTTTTTTTGAGACGGAGATTTTGCTCTTGTTGCCGAGGTTGGAGTGCAAAGGCGCGATTTCGGCTCACTGCACCCTCTGCCTCCTGGGTTCAAGCGATTCTCCTGCCTCAGCCTCTTGAGTTGCTGGGATTACAGGTGCCCGCTACCACACCCGGTAATTTTTGTGTTTTTAGTAGAGACGGGGTTTCACCATGTTGACCAGGCTGGTCTTGAACTCCTAACCTCAGGTGATCCACCCGCCTTGGCCTCCCGAAGTGCTGGGATTACAGGCGTGAACCACCACGTCCAGCCCAGCTATTTTATTTTTATTTTTTTGAGACGGAGTTTCGCTCTTCTTGCCCAGGCTGGAGTGCAATGGCATGATCTCGGCTCACCGCAAGTTCCGCCTCCCAGGTACAAGTGATTCTCCTGCCTCAGCCTCCCTAGTAGCTGGGATTACAGGCATGCGCCACCATGCCCAGCTAATTTTTCTTTTTCTTTTTTTTTTTTGAGACAGAGGCTCACTCTGTTGCCCAGTCTGGAGAGCGCAGTGACGCAACCTAGGCTCACTGCAAGCTCTTGCCTCCTGGGTTCACGCCATTCTCCTGCCTCAGCCTCCCGAGTAGCTGGGACTACGGGCACCTGCCACCACGCCTGGCTAATTTTTTGTATTTTTGGTAGAGATGGGGTTTCACCATGTTAGCCAGGATGGTCTCGATCTCCGGACCTCGTGATCCGCCCGCCTCGGCCTCCCAAAGTGCTGGGATTACAGGCATGAGCCACCGCGCCCGGCCTAATTTTGTATTTTTTAGTAGAGATGGGGTTTCTCCATGTCGGTCAGGCTGCTCTTGAACTCCTGACCTCAGGTGATCCGCCCGCCTTGGTCTCCCAAAGTGTTGGGATTACAGGTGTGAGCCACCGTGCCTGGCCAGCCCCAGCTAATTAAAAAATGTTTTTTAGAGACAGGGTCTCACTATGTTGCCCAAGCTGGTATCGAACTCCCGGGCTTAAATGATCCTCCCACATCACCCCCTCGAAGTGCTGGGATTATAGGCATGAGCCACCACAGCCAGCTGATGGGTGCTTCTATTGGTCAAGCCCATGACGTGGCTGGTGACCATTACTCATCACCACAACCCTAGGATGAAGGCGCTTTCATTCCTCTAGGTGAGGAAGTTAAGGCTCAGAGAGGTTAAGTTACTTGCCCAAGGTCACAAAGCAGGGACATGGTAGAGCTAAGATTCAAACCCAAGTAGCGGAATTCTGCACTTTTAGCAATCACATTATAACAGACTGCTCTGGCATTGGGCAGGGGCGTCTCTTAGTACTATTGGGGGAGGGTGTCTCCAGCACTCAGAGGGCCCCCGGCTGCGGCAGGAGCTGTACCTTGGCAGGGATGGAGGCAGGGTGGTTCTCAAAGAAGAGGCGCTGGAGACAGTGAATCCACAGCCTCTTCTCTTCTTGGTTCTTGGCCTAGGAGTGGGTTGGAGTAGAGTCAGGGGGCCAGGTGTGAGGTCTCGAGGCTGGGGGATCCCTGCCAGCCTGATCCCACTACATGCTCACCTGGAGCAGGTGTCTGTGCTTGGGAATGGTCAGATCAGACACCTTGAACCCTAGAGGGTCTCGGGGACTCTCGCTCACGCTCAGGTTGCAGCACTGGAAGGAAAGAGAGGGGTAGCAAGCTCAGAGTCCTTGGGCTCAGTGATGCCCCTTGTACGGAGACACCCTTGGAGGTGTATCTGGGTCCTCCTCCCTAGGAAGATGCATCCCATAAGGCTGTATGGTGGGTTTCCTCTCCCTTTTTTTTTTTTGAGACAGAGTCTTGCTCTGTCACCCAGGCTGGAGTGCAGTGGCATGATCTTGGCTTATTGCAACCTCCGCCTCCTGGGTTCAAGTAATTCTCCTGCCTCAGCCTCCCCAGTAGCTGGGATTACAGGCACTTGCCACCACGTCCAGCTAATTTTTGTATTTTTAGTAGAGACGGGGTTTCACCACGTTGGCTAGGCTGGTCTCGAACTCCTGACCTCAAGTGATCCGCCCGCCTTGACCTCCCAAAGTGCTCGGATTACAGGAATGAGCCACCACGCCCAGCCTTCTCCTTTTTTTTCTTAAGTGGGGCAGCTCTCATTCTATACACTAGAAAGAAAGCTTCCCTTGGCTTCCATTCTCTAACTCAAGAAAATGTGGCAGGGTCCCCTGGCCCACACTGCCGGGCACACAGATACAGGTATATGGGATATACTTTGTAGGTAGTATTCTAGCCCCACCCCATCCCCAAACTCACGAAGATGTGGCCTTTGTAGGTGTACTCCAGCCCCCTGCGCTTGGCCACCAGCAGCATCCGAGAGAACAGGAAGAGCAGCCGCTCACCCCCTCGTAGCCGGGGGCCACCCCCTCCGCCTCCTCGGAACGCGCCCTCCAACACCAGTTCCCCAAAAGCACTGAGCTCTGGTCCGGTCCAGCCACCCAGCCGCCGCTGCACTTCCTGCCGGGACCCCGCCAGGTGCGCCGGGGCGCAGAGACAAGCATGGGTAGGTGGCACACACATACACACCAAAACAGGGGGTTAGCAACAGGGCCATGCTGTCCCAGCCAACCCTCCAAGGCTACCTCTGAGGCACTGATTTCCCCCCACCCGCCCCAAGGCCCCCTCGCTCACTCCCTCATCCAGCAAGCCCCAGCCCACCCTGGGGCCACCTGGAGGCGCGCTGCATGCTCCTGCTTGCGCTTCATGTCGTTGATGTACCAGGCAACCGCTGTCATGGACACAATAGCTTCCTCCACCATCTCGCGACCCCCAGTGCCTGGGCCCTCCGCCCAGTGCTTCCCTAGTTCCTGTCAGGCAGCCACCAGGCACGCAGGGATGGGGAGAGAAACAGAGAAGGAGAAAGAGAATGAGAATAACAGGAGATGGAGAAATATAAAGATAGGGGCAGAGGCCAGGCGCAGTGGCTCATGTCTGTAATCCCAGCACTTTGGGAGGCTGAGGTGGGCAAATCACCTGAGGCCAGGAGTTCGAGACTAGCCCGGCCAACGTAGTGAAACCCCGTCCCTATTAAAAATACAAAAATTAGCTGGGCATGGTGGTGTGCGCCTGTAATCCTAGCTACTCAGGAGGCTGAGCAAGGAGAATCACTTGAACCCAGGAGGTGGAGGTTGCAGTGAGCCAAGATCGCACCACTGTACTCCAGCCTCATCGACAAGAGTGAAACTCCACCTCAAAGGGAAAAAAAAAAGCTAGGGCTGTGCGCGGTGGCTCACGCCTGTAATCCCAGCACTTTGGGAGGCCTTGCCCAACTCGTGGGGGGTCCATCCTCCAGATGAACCAACAGGTGGTCAAGGGACAGGACCTCCCCCTCCCCAGCCTGGCTCCAGGGGCCCCAGCTGACCTGCAGCAGCAGATGGTACTTGAGAATGCGCTGGACAGGTTTCAGCAGGAAGCTCTGCAGGGGCAGCGAGTGGCGAAGCTGGGCCTGGCGCTCCTGCAGCCACAGGGCTGCTGGCGGAGACAACGACAGCTCCCGGAGCAGGGCCAGGGAGCTGGGGGCACAGCACAGGTCAGTGGGGATTGTCAGTTCCAGTGGGCGGGGTCAAGAGGGGTTAGGGAGGGGCCAGGGTTTGGGAAGGGTCAGGGTCTGACAGGGGGCGGGGCAGTGAGGGAGAGGTCAGTTACTGTCACAGCCTGGCAGGGGTCGGTGCTGGATGGGTCGGGGGTAGAGGGAGGGTGACGGGTGACTGGCACATCAGCTTGTGGGCACAGCCTGAGGCCCAGCAGGGGCTCCTGCCCCTCACCTCGGGTAGTTCATGCAGTACAATGTGTAGATGTCAAAATCCTCGCTCTGCGGGTGACATGGGAGTCAGGGAGACCCCAGGTCCTGGCTTCCCACGACCCCCCTTCCAGCCTAGCCCAAGCCTGCTCTCCCCCCTCTACAAAGGCCCCATCCAGGACCGAGAGCCCCCCACCCCTCCACTCACCCTCTGCACGAAGCACTCGGCAATACCCCCGGCGCTGCTGCTGTTCTCCAAGTCCTCCAGGAGCTCGCTACAGGGGAGAGGGGAGGGTGAGGAACCGCCTGCCTTCACGACCCCTCCATGGGAGGCCTCCAGGAGGCTGAGGCCCCAATGGTCTGCTGGGGCTGGGGGCTTGCTGACTGCCAGCATCTCCTAAGGGGATGTCATGTCCGGAGGAAGGGTCCTCTGAGGGCTACACGGGGCATGGTAACCTGCTTAGACTTTGTCCCTGGACAGCTTCTCATTCCTCAGCTTGAACTTGTGTCAGTGCTGGCATGAGCCTAGGGGTGTTATATCATGACCCAAAGAGCTAGGATGATCTTAAGTTCCTGCTGTAATCCCGAGACCTCGTCAAGGTACTTGGAAATGTCATGATCCTTGGACCCCAGAGTCCTCCTTACCACAGTGACCAACCATCCTGGTTTGTCCGGGACTGAGCAGTTTCCTAGGACGAGGGCTTTCAGTGCTAAAACTGGAAAAGTCCCAGGCAAATCAGGCTTAGGGGGTCACTCGCATGCTCACGCTGTCTCGGCCTTCAGGCCCCATATGATTCTTGGATTCATCGTGAGCCCAGACCTGACACAGCCCCAAGGACTCGTCCTGATGCCGGGACCCTGTCCCAGTGTTTGGGCTTCATCCAGGTCCTCTGACTCCCATCCGCTATGCCCCTCCCTCACTCGGGGTCCTCCCATCCGCTATGCCCCTCCCTCACTCGGGGTCCTCCCATCCGCTATGCCCCTCCCTCACTCGGGGTCCTCCCATCCCCTATGCCCCTCCCTCACTCGGGGTCCTCCCTCCCAGTCGTGATCCCTGATCCTTGCCCAATGTCACAACCCCACGTACCAGCCTGGACAGGACACTACGAAGCTCCGAGGTTTGGATTAGGAAATAGACCCTCCAACCAATCAATGCCCCCTGCCTGTCCCCCCTGCCCCTGACCTGCTGAACTCGTAGATGTCCTCAATGTTGGCAAACAGCGTGCCCACCTGCTCCACGCTCAGCCCCAGGACCCCGCCGTCCAGCAGAGGGCCCAGGTAGTCCTGTTGGGATGACTGGGGTTATGGGGGCCAAGGGGCTGGCCTGGGTACCCACTGCCCTCTGGTGTCTGCCCGCCTTACCTCCACGATGCTGCGGAGGTCCCTGACATAGGCCCGTTCTGTCTCCACGATCTCCCGGGCCACACGCTCCAGCCTTGAGGGTCTGGCTGAACCTGGGATCCCCACCGGAGAGAGATGTAGGCGGATGGGAGGCCCTGGAAGGGGCTCTGGCCTGGAGGCTGAGCAGGCTGGAGTGGGCCCAGGGGCTGGATCCCCCTCAGAGCCCACTGTGCTCAGGGATGTGGAGCTCCCAGAACCTCGGGGGGAGGCCATGGTGGGGGCTGCAGGAGCTGCTGGGGTGTGGAACAGGAGGTCAGAGAAATCTCCCCATGCACGGACTTCCACAGCCTTTCATGCGTTCAGCCCACACCCTCACCCACACCTGTCCAACAGCTTTCCCACAGGCTCCTTCCTCCTCTCCCCACTGCCCTGTCTTGGTCCAGTCCCATCCTCTCCCATCAGGGTCCTCTCTGGACTTCTGGCCTCCATTTCTCTAATCCACCTCCATGAATCAGCTAGGTAGACATTTATTAATTTGTCTATCTGACTGTATTACTCCCGTGAGTGTAACCCCTTCATGCCCCTGGGGATAAAGTCCAAACTCCTCAGATCCACAGGGCACTGGGCAATGTGGCCAACACAGATCCCTCTAGCCAGTTCTCTTCCCACAGCCACCCCTCTTCTTACACTCTGGATGCCAGTGACACTCAACTTCTTTCAGTCACTTACATGCAGCCTTTTCTCACCGCTGGGCCTTTGCACATGCTGTTCCTTGCATGTAGAATACTCTTCCTTGTCTTTGCGCAACTCCTTCCCCCTAATCTTCCACTTCCCAGTTGAGATGTTCCCACCTCCAGGAACCTTCCCCTGACCTTCCGAGCTCAGAGGATCCACGATCACAGCCCTGACCACTCTGCCCAGCGCTGCCCCCTCTGGCCTGTCATTGCCTGGGGATGGGCCCGCCTTCCCCACCAGACTCGGAGCTTTGTGCGAGTTGGCCTGGGGTTGTCTCCATCACCCTGCCTTGACAGCATTGCCAAGGAATAAAAGCCCCACAGGCTCCGCCGCCCCTGCCTCTAGGCTCACCTGTCCGAGTCTCACACACGGTGCCACAGTCACACACTTCACCTCTTCGGCCACACCCGAGGCTTGGGCTAGGTTTGGAGAGGCTCAGTCCTTGGGCTCCCTCAGGCATGGCTGAGCGGCCCAGCAGAGTCCTGCAGAAAGAGCCCCTTCTTGGATATCAGGACCCCATGGGCCTCTCCGCCGCCCAGACTCACAGATGGGGGCTGGGAATTAGGAGCGTGGTGTAAATCCAGGGAGGGGCCCCTGGGAGTAACTAATGGGGGAGGCACAAAGTGACAGAAAGAAGGGGACAAGGAGAGAGAACCTGGCGAAAAAGATGGAAAGGCTGAGACAAAGAAGAGTGAGCGGAGCAGGAGGCGCAGAAGCTGCGAGTCCCGTTTGTCTGGGGCCGGAGGCTTAGGGATCCTGGGAACGTTTGGGCTCCAGCTGGAGCGGAGGGCGAGGGGCAGGGCTGGGAAAAGCCGTGGGCGGGAGGCCGCGGGGTCCCAGGGGAGGGCGGAGGCTGGGGGACCGGATGCCAGGGTCCTGCAGACGGCTCCCTCCCCCGCCGAGGGCTGCGCGCTGGGGCGCTGGCCCCGAGCCCTCGCACCCCCTCCGGCCGGTCTCTCCGAACCCCGATCGCCGTCCCCACAGCCACAGCCTCCCCAGCGCCTTCCCACACCCCTCCAGCCCCCAACTCCCGCCGGCGCCTCGGCTCGCCCCCCGCCGGCACGCCCCCTCATTGTTCAGCAGTGGCGCCGCCCCCTCCCCCAGTCCGCCTGGGCCCCTCGCCTCCCCCCTCACCTCCCGGGGAGCCTCCAGCCCCGGCTCGAGGCAGCCCGGCTCCTGCGCGACCCCGACGCGGTCCCCAGGGAGGTGCGGAGCCCAGACTCAGGGGCGTGAACTTCGGGCTCTCAGGCTCCAGGAATAGAATCTGGGGTCTCTCGGAGACTGGGGTCCCGCAGTCGGAATTTCTCAGTGTTCTACGTAGGGGATGCTAGGAGCCTCGACTCTGGAGTCTCAGATGGCGGCGCTGGGGACCCACATTCCTAAGTCTTCTAGGTAGGGCCGTGGGGTGGGGGATGGATTTCTGAGTTCCCCTAATTCTAGGGGCAGGAATGAAACTCCCTCCAGGTGGGAGCACAGGGGGGTCCCAAAGTCCTGGGTCCCCTTGAAGCGATGGCCGCTGCAGCCCGAAACTGGTTGGGGCGCTTAGAAGTCCGGATCTCAAGTTCCTCCAACGCGGGGTCTTGGGATCGGAGCCCTGGAGGGAGTCTGCGGTCCTGGATCCTGAGTTCTTGAAACGGGGATACGGGGCGCTCGGCCTCCAGGGTCTCGCGGGGTGACGTCCGGGCTCCCGGCTGCTCCAGGAGGGGGCGCTGCGCACCTGGATGGCTCAAGTCCTCCAGCCTGGGCGCCGGGGTCTGGACCTCGGGGTCTCTCAGGATGCGGTGCAGAAATTCCGGACGCCCGGGTCCGAGCCTCTGGACCCCTCGGGCTCCCGGCTGGGTGTCACGGGGCTCGTGTGACGGCGGCGGCGCCACATCTGGGGCGGGAGAGTCCGATCCCAGCTGTGAGGCGGGGGGCGGTCGCCCGGGGCTTCCCCTCCCCCGCTGTCGCCGGGGCTCACATCCTGTTCCCGCCTGCGGGGGGGGGAGGGGCTGCCTTCCGGCCGACCCGCCAGCGAAGGGTTAAGACCCCACCCCTTGTTTTGAATATTCATGAGGAGGCGTGTCCTTCTGGTAGGCGACACCCCTACATTCCAAACGCCTCGCGGACTTTTCCCTTTTACAGCAAGGGCCGCGAGGCGTGAGAATCCGGAACTGGCAATGCACTGTCTCCTATTGGTCAATGCAAAATGTTTAATTTGCATATATAACACAAGGCGGGGCCCTCCGGTGAGGTCACGTGGCTATGAACCACTGAAGAAGACCCCGGCGCAGGGGTGCGGCCGGAGCTCCAGTGGCGCAATCGGTTAGCGCGCGGTACTTATATGACAGTGCGAGCGGAGCAATGCCGAGGTTGTGAGTTCGATCCTCACCTGGAGCACTTTTTTTCCCCATCAGTTTTTATAAACTTACACATCTAATAAACCAACCAAAACATCTACATCACTTAGATGAATGAACGTTTCTATCTTTTGAATTATTGGGCTCAAAAGACTCCTAGGGCTTTGGCGACGGTCCTTTGGGTGTTCTGTATTGTAGGGAGGTGCCGTTTCCGTCCCAGCCACCAGGTGGGGGTATCGTCTCTTATTAGATGCTCTGGGCATGGAATTGTGTGCAAACAGTTTGACTTCTGTAGAGATGTGGGTCCTCGGCAAACTGTATATGACTCTGCCTCCTCTGTATTTCTCTGTCTTTTTAATGCCTCCTTTACAGATGAACATAGCTATCTGTCTTGGAGTTTTCGACCTCTGTTGAAAAGGAAAACTATGTTTTTGAGTCGACTTGTTTTTTCAATAAATATTGAACATTCACTATGCCTGGCTTCCTTTAGCTGTGTGTAATACAGCAGTGAACAAGTAGTCCCTGCCCCTGAGGACGCGACATTCTAGTGGGGAGGCAGATTGCTGTCAACATAAGAATTAAGTACATTTTAATGTTAGGTGGTGATGATAAATGTCATGGAAAAAGTCGAGCAAGGTAGGGAGGATGGGGTAGTTGGAGGTGGGGTGTGGATTGCAACAGCAGTGGTCAGGGAGGATCTCACAGAGAAGGCAACTTTTGAGCAGAGACATGAAGGAGGGGAGTGAGCCATGGGGACACCAGGGGAGTGTTCAGGCAGAGGGAACAGCTAGTGCAAAGCTCCTATGGATGAAGCAGACCAGACTTGGTAGAGCAGCTAGGAGGCCAGTGTGGCTGGAGCAGAGTGGCCAAGGGGGAGGGTAAGCGATGGGTGCCAGATTGTGTGGGCTGTGGGGAGGACTTCGGACTTTGACTTTTATGTGACCTGACTCAGGTCTCATAACAGGCTTCCTTTGGTTGTCTCGTGGGGGAGTGGAGAAAGGAGAGACTGAAGGCAGGGGCTAGAGCAGAGACTGGGGCTGGGGCTGCTATGAAGATGCAAATGGCAGACGATGTTGGCTAGGACCAGGGTGGGGGTCATGGTGGGGGCAGGTGGATAGTGGATCTATTTTGCAGGTGGATCAGACAGGATTGCTGTTGGACTGGGGTGTGGATTTGAGAACAAGGTGTCAAGGGATACTCCTGGGTGTCTGGCTTAAGCCCTGGTAGATGGTGAGAAGTGCCGTTTTCTTATATGAGGGATTTTTTGGGGAAGGGGCAGAGAATCAGATCTGGCTAAAGGAAGGACCAGAGATGTTGTTCTTTCAGTCTCCAAGACTGTTTCTGCAAATGTCTCTTCACTGCTTGCTCTTGGTCTCTGCCCCTCTGCTGCCTTTGCATCTCAGGGGTTCTGACTCCCTCTCGCCTGATCCTCTTCTACTTATTAGGGCCTGAGCCCTTTCCCACAAGGGAAGCAGTTTCCTGGAAGAGGAGACCAAATGTCAGTGAGCAAGGGGAGTGGGCCAAGGAGGCCTGAGAGCAGGAGGGAGGCTTGAGGAGGGTAGAGAGAAGGGAGAGGAGGGAAAGGGGCTTCAGAGGGAGAGAGAAGAGGAGAAGGAGTAAGGCTAGGGGGAGGAGGGGAAGAGGACAATGGGGAGTGGGAGGGCAAGGAAAGGGTGGAGAGGGAAAGAAGGACGGAAAAAGGGAGAGAAGGGAGACGGGAAGGAGGAGAAAGGGGGTAAGAGACGGCAGGATGGGGAGGCTGGAAGTGGGAGAGGAGTAATGAGGGAGGGGACAAATTGGAGGGGGAGAGAAGAACAGAAGGCAAAGGGTGTAGGGCGGGGCAGAAGGGTGCAGAGGAGGAAGTGAAAAAGAGGAGGAAGGGTGAGGGTAGGGAAAGGAGAGAAGAGGGAAGTGAGAGGGAGGAGGGAGGAGTGCGGGGCAAGGAGAAAAAAGAGGGGTCGCAGGGGGCGAAGGCTGGGCGGCAGGGCCGAGCCGCAGGCGCTGACGCAGGGCGGCTTCCGGGCGCGGGGCCCCGGGGTTGGTCCCGACGACGCTGGCCTTGTATGGTCTGAAGACGCGGCTCCCCCGGGGCCCCTCCTAGACGCGCGGCCCCTACCCACACGCCCTGGCCTCGCGGGGCCGACCCTGGTCGGTGTGCGAAGCCTCGGACTTCCAAGGTTCGGAAATGCCAAGACCCGGTAATTCCCGGGCTCCAGGGTCCCGGGTGGCCAGAAATCTGCAACTCCGAGCCACCAGGGGTCTAGAGTCTAAAGCGCTAGGGGATGCAACCTGTGACTCCCAAATGTTGAGATCCTAGCCTCTTGAGACCCTAAACCCGCTTCCCCAACATCCAGAAGGTGTCGAAGCCCCCCCGGAACCTCTAGTCCCGAAACGGGTTCCGCTACCCCAGGCTGCCCCGCCCCGCGCCCGCCCCCGCTCGCTCTGGGCGCGCGCCCCAGCACATTCCGTCCTCCCCACCCGGCCCCTCCCGCCTCCCGCGGCCCCGTGGGGACGGAAACATCCCGTCCCCGACCGCACCCGCCCGAAGCTGGGTCAAGGAGCCCAGCAGGACGGGAGCGCGGCGCCCCCGACGCCCGGGAACTGGCTCCCCCGGTTCCCATCTGGTGACCTCACCTGGTCCCACCCTTTCAGGTGAACGGCCAGGCCCGGTGACGTCACTTCCTGCCAGGTAAGCGCCGCGGGGCTCGGAGAGGAAGAGTTAACTGCACCCAGCTTCCAAAAAGTCACCCCCTCCCTCTCCATTCCTGTCTCTAGACCGCGAAGAAGCCAGGATCCCAGCTTACACTCAGATTGTTTATTTAAAAATGCCCAAAACACAAAAATAGACTTTTAAGGTAATAATATATATTACTAAATATATTATAGTCTACTTATAATAATTATATCGTCGTTTTCAATATTACAAAAAAAGGAAGAAAAATACAAGGGAAGCAGACGACCCAATATATATAAATACTATAAAATCATATTAGAATAAATAAAGTCGTCATAAATAAAGGGCCCATTGATTTATGGGTGGGGTTTGGCAACGGCTTTGGCTACTTGCTTTTGGAGGGTAATTTGAGCACCAGGATTCCCCCTCAGGAGAGGTTCCAGTTACCAGGAGACACTGGAACCTCAGGTCTATAAAAACTGGAGGGGCAGTGAAGGCCTATTATTCACAGCACATAAGATTCTAGGAGACAGATTTGGGCAGGGAAGAGGTGGGGGAGAGGGTTCATTGCCTCCCTTAAATATGCTACAATTTTTTTTCCCCCAAGAACCTCGGAAGACACTCCATCCCCCACCATCATGAATACTGAGCTTGCACACTTGGGGACCTGCCCCAGCGTGAGGTCAGGGGAGTGGGTTAATGCATTCTGGAAAAGGGGATTACTTGATTACTGTCCCCCAAGTCCCCACAGCCCTGGGGTCCATGCAGAGACCACAGTGCAAGAGACGTGGCTCCCCGCTGAGATCCAGCTGATCTGACCGGGCAGTCACTTTGTCACTCAGAAACAGAGATGCGATTGAAGATGGGGAGTCGCCGGGGGGCTGCCACGGGCTGGGGTGGTGCAAAAACTCCCGCCTCGAAGACGGGAGAGTCAGAGCCCCCCAGGCTGCTGCCGCTGCTGGCATATTCATCAGGGTCGGATCCCAGGGACTGTACAGAGGGGGTCCGAACCAGGCCACCCAAGGGCCCCCAGACGCTGATAGGAGTGGCCCTTCGGCAGGAGGGGCAACAGACTGGGGTGGGGTCTCTTCGAGCCAGGGGGGTGCCAGGGGCAGCAGAGAAGGCAGAGGGTGACAGTGGAAGGTCCCCAGGTGGTGGTGGGGAGCTGGAGGGCGAGAAGGAGCTGGAGGACAGGGAAGGGCCGGCCAGGCCTGGTGGTGGTGGTGAGGTCCGGCGGCCAGAGGGCAGGCCGGAGAAGCTGATGCTCTGGCGAAGCACAGGAGGGTGGCCCGGGGCCGCCAGGTCTTCGCTAGGGTTGTGGATGAAGTGGCAGCGAGAGCCGTAGGGGCAGCGGCCCTGGAGGTAGAACTTGTGACAGAGTTCCGTCTTGTATTTGGGGTGGCGATTGGCCTGGCGCAGCTCGCCCAGGCCATGGGCAAACTGGCACTTGGCCCCGTAGCGGCAGCGCCCACTCTCTGAGAAGGTCCGACATAGCTCAGTCTTGTAGCGCGAGGGGGTGGTGGAGGTTGCAGTGGGCGAAGTGGGTGAGGGTGACAGCTCAGGGCCCAGGCGGGGAGCCAGCGGTGCGAAGCCAGGGGGTGGGGGCACCCAGCCACAGCTGCGGCCCTCCACTAGGCTGGTGGAGCGGCCAGGCAGGCGGGAGGTGACCCCAGACGGGCTGGAGTCGGAGGGGCTCAGGCTCCAGGGTCCCGAGGAGCCCCAGCCTGGGCTGGACTCAGTCCCTCCATGGTCGGATGGCACGGGCACGTCAGGGCTCAGCGACAGGAGGCTCTGCGGAAATGGGTCGGTTAAGGCACCTGAAAATGCAGGGCGACGCCCCACCCCAGCTGCAGGGAACTAGAGCTTGCCAGGCCGGTTTGTGGGCTCCCCGCCTGAGCCCCACCCGCCCGCAGAAACCCCTGGGTTCCGGATGCCAGGAACCCAGAGTTGGAGGTTCTGAGTTTACCCACCACCGAGGCCTTATCCCGAGGGACCCAGGAATCCCGGCTTCCCCGGCTGGACCAAGAGGGGGACCCCGAAGTCAGGGCGCACCACTGTTTCCCAATTTTGGGTCTCTTGTCCTCCCCGGATATGACCCACGCGTCGGGATCTCCAGTTTCACAACTGGAGAAACCGGGCAAAGTTGACCTGGAAGTCCGGATTGCTTCGGTTTTAGGGTTCTCTGTCTCTACGGTCAGGGACTGGAGAGACAGAAGTCGGATCCCCCCACCCTGAGACTTCAGCCCCAGAGACGCCTCCGCGCAAAACCACGCCCTCAGCAACGACTAGGGGTGAGCCAGGTATGGGGGCCACTTCCGCCTCCAGGCAGCCTCGGTCTGAGAAAAGTTCTCCGACTTTCCACTTGCATGGGCCGCCCCACCCATGTTTGAGCGAAGAGCCGGGTGTCGCGGGTTCCATTTTCACCTCCAAATCACCAAGCTGGTCTGAGCGGGAGGCAGGGGCCCCAGGCTGGAGGGCGCGGCGCTAGGGAGCCCCAGTTGGAGAAGGGAGGCAAGCGTCCCGGGCTGGAGTTTGCGGCGCTAGAGAGGTGGGGACTCGGACTCAGGCATGCAGGTACCGGGGATGCCGTGCGGCGGGGACTCACCTCGTAGATGGCAGTCAGATCCATGGTGTAACGGTTGGCCATGAGGGGTGTCGGCCGAGAGTGGGAGCGCTGAAGTCAGGCTGAGGCTGGCACCGAGAGCCGGCTACTTATAGGAAACTGCAAGCACGGGGCGGGGCCGGGGCCGGGGCCGGGGGCGGGGCAGGAGGGGCGCTTCCCGGACGCGCGCCCCCGGCGCAGCCTGGCTGGCCCTGGACTGGTTCCCTTCCGCCCGGCCCTGGGCCAGGACGCGCCTGAGCTTGGCCGGTGGACAGCCGTGACCGAGCGGGGAATGCGTGGGGAAGGGGTGGGGGTGCGGATGGGGGGACGCCTGCCCAGTTTTCAAAGCTGGAGACTGAGGCTTGTAGAAGGAAACTGGGGCGGAGGTGGGGGCAGGGCCCCAGGGGCAATTGACAAGAGCAGAAGCCCGATGGGGGTGCGCGTGCGACACAGACGGATGGGGGCGGGGAGAGACGCAGAGGGGTACAGACAGGCAGACAGGCAGAGAGAAAAACATCGAGAGAGACACACACACCAAGAGACATACAGAGAGAGATAGACAGGGTGAGGAAGGGAGGGAAGACGGGGAGACAGAGACAGTCCCAGAGACAGATTCAGAGGGAGAAGAGGGTTGGGAGGATCACAAAAAGAAACAGAAAGGGGCTGAGCGCAGTGGCTCACACCTGTGATCCCAGCACTTTTTGTGTTTTTCTTTCCTTTTTCTTCTTCTTTTTTTTTTTTTTTGAAAGACGGGGTTTCCCTATGTTGCCCAGGCTAATCTCCAGCTCCGGGGCTCAAGCGATCCTCCCACCTCCGCCTCCCAAAGAGCTGGAATTACAGGTGTGAGCCACCAAGCCCGGCCAATCCCAGTACTTTCAGAGGATGAGGCAGGTGGATTACCTGAGATCAGGAGTTCAAGATCAGCCTGGGCAACAGTGAGATCCCATGTCTACAAAAAATACTATTTAAAAAAATTAAAAAGAAAAAGAAACTGGACAAAAAGGAGAAAGACTGTGAGAAATAAGCACTTACGGAAAGAAATCTGCAGAGCAAAGTGCCAAGAAAGAGCCAGCAGGCCTTGGAGGGGAATTCTCTGAGAACTGCCTGCCTTGTGTGGTCTCACTCCTAAACAGCCCAGACAGATAAGGAGACCTGGACTGCTCTCCCTCTCCCCACTTGCTGGGGTTGGGTGGGTGAGTGAGTGGGTTGGGTGGGGTCCAGGATACCTGGCAAGGCTGAAAAGGGGCCTCCTTTCCCAATTCACAGGGCGGCTCTAGCCCCCTCACCCTCGGGCGGATGATCTCTTCTAGGCTGAGTTAAGGAGAACTCACCTGGGCTGAGTTCTAAGTACTTTACGCACATTAATCCTAATGCCAGGTGGTATGCCCATTTAAGGCAGGAGGAAACCAAAGTGAAGTTACTCTCCTGCCCGGCTCACACCTGTAGTCCTAGCACTTTGGGCGCCCAAGGCAGGCGGATCACTAGAGCTCGGAGTCTGAGACTAGCCTGGGCAACACGGCGAATCCCCATTTCTACAAAAATGCAAAAATTAGCTGAGTGTGGTGGCGCACACCCTGTGGTCCCGCTACTCGGGGGCGGGGAGGGAGCAGGCTGGGGTGGGAGAGTCGCTTGAACCCAGGAGGCAGAGGTTGCAATGAGCCGAGATCAGGCGACTGCACTCCAGCCTGGGCCACAGAGCGAGACTCCCTCTCAGGGGGAAAAATAAAGTTACTCTCCTAGTTCGAGCTAGCAAATGGCACAGGCCTCATACTAGGGTCTGAAATTATGTCGAGGTTTGCCCTCTGAGAAAACTCAAGATTGGCAAGGTGGAGGTCTTTCACTATAACTGATGGTTGCATTGATTGAAAAAAGCTTTCAAAAAAAAAAAAAAAGGTCATCCTCAGTTGATGGCTGGATGGGTCTCTTATAGTGGGGTGTGCCTTCAGACTACATTTTCCTTTTTTTTTTTTGAGACGGAGTCGCGCTCTTTCACCCAGGCTGGAGTGCAATGGCGCGATGTCGGCTCACTGCAAGCTCCACCTCCCGGGTTCACGCATTCTCCTGCCTCAGCCTCCCGAGCAGCTGGGACTACAGGCACCCACCACCACGCCTGGCTAATTTTTTGTATTTTTAGTAGAGACGGGGTTTCACCGTGTTAGCCAGGGTGGTCTCGATCTCCTGACCTCCGTGATCAACCCGCCTCGGCCTCCCAAAGTGGTGGGATTACAGGTGTGAGCCACCAAGCCGGCCGGGCCTCCTTTTTTTTTTCTTTTTTGAGATGGAGTTTCGTTTTTGTTGCCCAGGCTGGAGTGCAATGGCGCGGTCTCAGCTCACTGCAGCCTCTGCCTCCCGGGTTCACGTGATTCTCCTGCCTCAGCCTCCCGAGTAGCTGGGATTACAGGCGCCGGCCACCACGCCCAGCTAATTTTTGTATTTTTAGTAGAGACGGGGGTTTCACCATGTTAGTCAGGCTGGTCACGAACTCCTGACCTCAGGTGATCCACCTGCCTCGGCCTCTTAAAGTGCTGGGATTACAGGTGTGAGCCACCGCACCCCGCCCAGACTACATTTTCAAGGATCATTCCCCACACTGGCACATCTTTTGTTATCAAAGGGTCGCCCTAAGTGAAAACCCTCTTAAGATCTAGGAAGACTATTTTCTAAGGGGTGCTGGAGAGCTGGATGCCCTGAGTGAAAATGTGGGGGTAGAAATCATTGCCACAGTGCGCAGTTATAATGGTGGAAAGTTCATTCTTGCAGGCTGCGGGCTTGTATTAAGGTGGGGAGATTCTGCCAGGCTCCACGTCGACCTGCTTCGTCCGAGAGCGGCGGGGGGGAATCCCTGGTGCGGCGCTTGCTGAGGGGCCTTCCCGGGCCGGTCTCGTGAGCTGGGCGGGCCGCGGGCGGCTCTGGCACGGTTGTGGCCTCCTGCTCGCCCGTGACTCACTCGCAAGGGGCGGGGGAGTGGGGGCTTCCTGGAAGCCGTGACGAGGAGGTTCAGCCCGGACACTCGGGTTCCTCTCCTGTAACCAGGGCTCCCGTCTCCTGTAAACAGAGCCTTGAGGACAACGGGGAAAAAGGGGGGAGGAGGGGGACCTGGGACCCGCCTCTAGGCCGATCTCCAAATCCTTACGCAGCTTAAAGGATTGAGGCGGGGAAAGGGGGGTTGGGGGCATCCTTGGGTTCGCGGAGCCCGGCTCAGCTCGGGCTGCGATCAATCCTGGAGGAGGGATTCCAGTTTCTACTCCCTGGAGACCGGGAGCATTTCCCATCCCTGAGTCAGGCTGTCCCCCTCCTCTCTCCCATCTGCTGAGTCATCGGCCCCAAGAGTCAGGACTTTTGGGATAGGGCCACTCTCAAAGGAGGGGGATGCTTTGCTCGCAGAAGGACTGGTCCTCCACCTCCCCAAACCCACAGACCTGGGGGACCCAGGAGCCAAGGCCTCAGTCCCTCCTCCCTCGCAGTAACCCAGGGCCCTGGGTCCCCAGCCCCTCCTCCCTCAGACCCAGGACTCCAGGCCCCCAGCACCCCCCTCCCTCGGATCCAGGGGTCCAGGCCCCCAGCCCCTCCTCCCTCGGAACCAGGGGTCCAGGCCCCCAGCTCCTCCTCCCTCAGATCCAGGGGTCCAGGCCCCTAACTCCTCCTCCTTCAGACCCGGGAGACTCCCAACCCCCCCTCCCTCAGACCCAGGGGTCCAGGCCTCCAGCCCCTCCTCCCTCAGATCCTCAGGTCCCCCGAGACCCCAGCCCCTCCTCCCTCAGACCCAGGGGTCCAGGCCCCCATCTCCTCCTCCCTCAGATCCAGCGGTTCAGGCCCCTAACTCCTCCTCCCTCAGACCCGGGAGACCCCCAGCCTGTCCTCGATCAGATCCAGGAGACCAGGCCCTCAGCCCTCCCCTCAGATCTCGGGCGTCCCAGGCCAGAAGGAAGTTCATGGCAGGACTCCTCCCTGCTCCCTACGTAGCCAGCGGGAAAATCCGCGGCCCCAGCGGCGGCCGGGAATCCCCTCTGGAATGACGGTGGGGAAGGGGATGGCCGGGGTCCCCCCGCGGGGCGCTGGGGCCAGTCCTGGGCGGGCGGGGAAAGAAGGAAAGGGGCGGAAACCAGAGAGGCTAAAAATACAGCCAACACTTCCGGCCTAGGGGGAGGGGAGGGGAGAGCAGAGTTTCCAGAAAAACAAGCGGGGACGGGAAACGCGGGGGTGTGAGAGCTGGCCGAGTGCGCGGGCGAGCTGGGGATCGTGTACCCGCGGCACGTGTGCTCGCGCCGTGTGTGCGCCTGGCGCGATTGCCTGGGCCTGAGCGGGCGTGGCCAAGGGCGGCGCTGGCCGTGTGTACCCTGGCCTGCGACTGCGTGGGCGGCGGGCCTGGGCTAGCCGTCATGTGTACCCGGTTGTGTGAACAGTATGTGTGCTTGCGGGTGCAAAGGTGTGCGCCTTGGCATCTGGGGCTGCGAGAGCCTGTGTGCCTGGGTATGCAGTGGGGGAACGTGAGGGACACGAGTGTGCCCAGTTTCCTGTGAGAAGGCTGTGTGCATACAATCCCGCATGACTTGGCTGTGTGAATCAATGTGTGAAACCGCCTGTGTGATCGACTGTACCGTGTGTACTTTGGCCATCTCTGGGTGTGGGGTGGATGCTCTGTTGTAACTGTACTGCAATTTGTCTCTGAGGCGGCATTCTTAAGAACATGAGATTTTCATCCCCACCTGCATATCTGTGCGTAGCTCTGAGCCACTGTGGGATCTGCAGTGACTAAGTGTGTGTAACTCCGCGCAGGTGCCTGGGTGAGGGAATGACTGCCCTCCCCTGTGACTGAGGCTGTGTGCACACACAACTTTGTGTGTGTGTGTTGCTTTGAGACAGGGTCTCGCTCTGTTGCCCAGGCTGGAGTGCAGCCTCGACCTCCCAGGCTGAATCGATCCTTCCACTTCAGCCTCCCAGGTAGTTGGGACTAAAGGCACGTGCCACCACACCCGGCACACACATTTGAAGCTGTGTCAGCATCTGTGACTCTGCAGCTGTGGCCGTGTGCAAGGCCTTTGTGGCTCAGTGTGTGTAGTCCCTGGGTGTGTGAAGTGTTCACATATGTCCACGTCCTTTGTCGTGGGTGTCTGAGACTGCATGTGCAGACCACAGCAGGCCGGCGTCTGAATGCAGTTCCTGTGGCCCGAGTCACAAGGCAGAGAAACCGATGAACTTTGGTTTCTGACGTCTACAGCCTGCGTGATGGGGAGAGTAGCTGGCGAGCTCCCCCCTCCATGTCACTGTTCTTGTGTCGGCCTCTGTGGGCAGAGCAGACGTGCAGACATGAGTACCTGAGAAGCTGGGGCAGCGCCGATGAGGCTGCTTCTGATAGTGCTGGGCTAAGGACAGGGCTGAGTCAGCCTGTGATGGGCAAAGTCTGCGATGGGGTGAGAGATAGCTTATCTGGTAAAGTGGTGGTTAGAGGGTTGTTTGTGTATTCATGTGGCTGGGTTGCTCCCTGAAAGTATGTTTGTGGGACTGTCAATGGGATGGGGTCCCTGGGGGCACCATGATTGTAGGATGGTGGGTTAGCTCTGCAGTGGGGCAGACATGCTGTGTGCTGGAGTCCCCACGGTCTGTTTTGTGGTGGCTGTGCACCTCACGTACACCCCGTCCCTGGAGCATGCAGTGTGCACCAGACTGTGTAGTCTCCCTCTGGGTTTAGTTACCTAGCAAACCCAAGTCCTCACCAAGGCCCTCTGTGACCTGTCTGGATTTCCTCTCCTATCCCTGCTCCCTCATTGTGCCCAAGCCTCCTTTTTATGTGTTCCATAAATCCCAGCACATTCCTGTCCCAGGTCCCTGGCACTTGCAGTTCCCTCTGTCTGGAGCACTCTTGCCTGGATGTGTGGATGTCCCCAAGCTCATTCCCTCTCCTTCGGGGCTGCTCTAATATCGCCTTCTCAGTGAGGCCTTCCTTGACCTCTGTCAAGGATTAAAACAAAAATTAAAAGGCCCACTGCAGTGGCTCGTGCCTGTGCCTGTAATCCCAGCACTTTGGGAGACCGAGGCGGGCAGATCACTTGAGGTCAGAAGCTCAAGACCAGCCTGGCCAACATGGTGAAACCCCGTCTCTACTAAAAATACAAAAATTAGCCAGGTGTGGTGATGCACGCCTGTAATCCCAGCTAGTTGGGAGGCTGAGGCAGCAGAATCACGTGAACCCAGGAGGCGGAGGTTGCAGTGAGCCGAGATGGCGTCACTGCACTCCAGCCTGGGCGACAGAGTGAGACTGGTCTCAAACATATATAAACAAGAATAAGAAAACCCTTGTCATCTATTTAATAATAAATACATGGAACATATATAAACCATAATGAATGCTCACGAAACCACAATCCAACTTAAGTTCTCAAACTTTTAATGTTTTTCAATAAAGTAACACGATTCTCCATATGCAGATGTTACATTTCATGTGTTAGATTTGCTAAGTATGATTTAATTATACATTTCCATTTTTTGATCTTCAACTTAATTACACTTAAAAAATGAGTATTTTGCTGGTGTAAACACCTCCACTTCTTTTTTTAAAAAAACAGGGTCTCCATGAACCAAGCTGGAGTGCAGTGGTGCGATCACAGCTCACTGCAGCTTCAACCTCTCAAGCTCAAGGCATCCTCCCACCTCTCAGCCTCCGAGTACCTGGGAACCTGGGCACGCACCACCACACCTGGCTAATTTTTGAATTTTTTGCAGATAAGGGCTTTTGCTATGTTGCTCGGACTGGTCTTGAATTCCTGGGCTCAAGCCATCTGCCTGCCTGCACCTCCCAAAGTGATGGGATTACAGGCCTGGGCCACTGTGCCTGGCCCCAACATCTCCACTTCTGATCTCATTTTTCTGTTTTCTCACCATCTGATATATTTTACTTTTGTCACATTTACTGTCTCTCACTAGAACATCAGCTCCACAAATACAGGCCTTGGGCACAAGATACCCAATGTGTTTGCTGAGTGCAACTCAGTGGTGCCCACCTCCGCCCTGTGCCTGATAGATGTGTATCCATCACCCCACCACCCACTGAGTGCCTCTGTGGGCTCCCTGGGTGTGGTTTTAAGCATTGGTAGGCCCTGTATCATGGGTGCTGGGCTATCAGGCCCCCCCACCTGTGTGTGATGTTGTGTTGACACCACCTGGGAGGGCCGACAGTCCCTCAGTCTTGTGTGTGCGCTCATGGACCGACATCTCCACCACTGCTGGTGGGCTCTGTTGGGGAAAGGGTTAGTTGTCTTCAGTTGTATGCAAGATAACTGCATCATGTTGGGTGGGACTATGACTATGTTATCGTACTTATTTGGAGATTAAGTGTGGTTAAGGAGATGTGTGAGGGTGCCCAGATGACAAGGACTAGATGGTCAGTTTTTTATTTTTTTTGAGACAGAGTCTTGCCCTGTCGCCCAGGCTGGAGTGCAATAGTGTGATCTTGGCTCACTGCAACCTCTGCCTCCCAGGTTCAAACGATTCTCCTGCCTCAGCCTCCCGAGTAGCTGGGACTACAGGTGTGTGCCACCACACCCGGCTAATTTTTTGTATTTTTAGTAGAGTCGGGGTTTCACCGTGTTGGCCAGGCTGGTCTCGAACTCCTGACCTTGTGATCCGCCCGCCTCGGGCTCCCAAAGTGTTGGGATTACAGGCGTGAGCCACCGCCCCCGGCCCGATGGTCAGTTTTATGTGTCAACTTGGACGGGCTACAGTCCCAGTTATTCAAACACTCATCTAGCTGTCGCCATGGAAGTGTTTTGTAGATGTGATTAAAGTCCATAATCAGTTGACTTTAGATAAGGGAGATTATCCTACAAAATCGGGGGATTGGGTAAAAAACTGATTCAATTAGATAAATGGGCAAAACTGAGGCTCCCCTGAAGGAGAAATTCCTCCTAGGGACAGCGCTTCAGCCTTCCTTCTTGCCCTACATGCTCGGGCACTTCAAGGAAGAATAAGGGGAGGAATTTCCTGGGACACACAGCTGGCCATTTCCCAGTTTTCCAGTGTGGGGACTTGGGCTCAGCGTGAATCACAGAGGTATCCATGGTCCTAGGGTTTCCTTGCAGACGTGGGGTCCAGGACAGGAGGCCATGGAGTGCGAATGTGGGAACCATGGCACAGAAGATACTGGGTGGGGCAGTTCTCCAACCAGGCTGAGTCACTTGAGGCTTTCACACCCCAACATCTGAGCCTGGGCTGGTAGCTCCGCCCTGCACTTGCTCAGGCCTGAAGGCTGAGGCTGAGCTTCCTGAAGCTTCCAGGGAAGCAGGGAGTCTGAGGGGGCACTCCCTCCTTGAAGCCCCCTCCCCAGTGCCTGCTTCCCGGAGCTGGGGCTCAGGCGCCTGGGTTCTTCCCCAGGACTGATGATTCACCCCGGCTGGGGCCTTTTCACTTCTCCTTTGGGGCTAAAAATACTGGGACCCAGGCATCCAGCTGGGCCAGCCTTGCCACAAATTGCACAACGCCCCTCACTCAAGTTCCGCTGACGCAGGCTTGGGTGGGGGCCTGAGTTGCTCCCTGCTCAGACCTGTGGAGCTCAGAGCCTGGGCCCCTCCACTGCTCCTCTCCTAGGCCAAGGACCCTGGGGTCTGGGCTGACATGCGAGCCGCTGGGGGACTCTGGGCTTGGCTGTGGCCCCTGGAAATGAAGTCCCTTCCCTTAGCCCCAGATAACCCAGGGGTGCTGGCCCCCTGCATAGACACAGAGTCCCAGTTAGGAGCTGGGGATAGAAGACAGCTAAAGGGGACTAAGAGAGAGAGGTCAGAGTGAGAGAAATAGGACCATGGGGAGAAACACATTAACAGGAACAGAGAAACAAGGGAAAAAGAGACAGGATGAGAGAGACACAACTGTAATAGAGACACAGAGGAGTGGCACACAGAGACCACCTCCCAGCTGGAGACAGTCAGGAAGGACTGAGGGAGAGGGGACAGCCAGGGCTCCACACCCAGGCAAGAATGGGGGAGGGCCTGTGGAACAGAGAAGTCATCAACACACACAGTTCAAAGTCTACCCTAGGCTAGGAGGGGGAGCAGGAAGAAGGGGCAGGGACGCAGGGGCCCGGCCTGCGAGCTCCCTGTTGGCCTCTGCTGCCCCCTGCTGGCTCCCGCTGCGGTGCTCAGGCAGGAAGAGAGGAGGCTGCTGTGTTTAGGCCCAGGACGCTCTTCATTCCCTTTGCACACCACCCACCAACCACTGCCTGCCCCACTCCCTGTCCCCCACTTCACAGAGTGCCCCCAGGGCCAGCAGGTGGTGCGGGTGTCTTGCCCGTGACCTTGTTGGCACAGTCCAGCAGGGCGGTGTGAATGTCCTTGGCACAGGAAATCTGGGCTTTGATGACCGCCAGGTACTGTGGGTAGGGGAGGCTGTCAGGCTGCACTGCGTCGGGCTTGGTGGCTGTGGGCACCAACGTTGGAGAGTGCTTGGCACTGTCACAACTCTGTGACAGGCACTCATGCGCCAGGCGCTGTGGACAGGCAGGCAAGGGGACAGCATCAGCTCCACCCGAGGTCATTCTACCCCACCCCAAGGGCCAGCTGGGGGTTGTCGGCTTGGCCTCTGGATTTCCCAGGTCTTAGAGTCAGAGGTTGGCCCTGCCAGTCATTTGCTGGGGAACCTGGGGGCATGGCGGCTACTCTTCTCTGAGCCTCAGTTTCCTCCTTTGGAAAACGGGTTTAATAACCACCTCTTCCTACCTCATAAGGTGAGAACAGTGAGAGCAGGTGTATGAGACACAGGCACGGGTCCTGGCACACTGTTTAAAGTGCCAAGAACTGTTAGCTACTATCATTGTTACTGCCCTGGCTCCAGGCCTGGTGTTGGCAGTGGCATCTCACCCCTGGTTTTCTGCCTGCTTCTCTGGCTGCTCTAGGTACTACTTTCTTTTTTTTTTTTGAGATGGAGTTTCGGTTTTGTTGCCCAGGCTGGAGTGCAATGGCACGATCTCAGCTCACTGCAACCTCCGCCTCCCAGGTTCAAGTGATTCTCCTGCCTCAGCCTCCCGAGTAGCTGGGATTACAGGCACCCGCCACCACACCCGGCTAATTTTTTTTTTATTTTTAGTAGAGACAAGGTTTCACCACATTGGCCATGCTGGTCTCAAACTCATGACCTCAGGTGACCGACCCGCCTCAGCCTCCCAAAGTGCTGGAATTACAGGCATGAGCCACCGCGCCCAGGCTTTTTTTTTTTTCTTTTGAGGTGGAATCTCGCTCTGTTGCCCAGGCTGGAGTGCAGTAGCACGATCTTGGCTCACTGCAACCTCTGCCTCCTGGGTTCAAGTGATTCTTCTGCCTCAGCCTCCAGAGGAGCTGGCACTTCAGGTGCATGCCACCAAGCCTGGCTAATTTTTGTATTTTTAGTAGAGACGGGATTTCACCATATTGGCCAGGCTGGTCTCGAACTCCTAACCTCGTGATCTACCCGCCTTGGCATCCCAAAGTGTTGGGATTACAGGCATGAGCCACTTGTGCCCGGCCCCTTTTTTTTTGGAGACAGTCTCGCTCTGTTACCCAGGCTGGAGTGCAGTGGCGCCATCTTGGTTCACTGCAACCTCCACCTCCCGGGTTCAAGAGATTCTCTTGTCTCATCCAAGTAGCTGGGATTTCAGGTGCACGCCACCATGCCTGGCTAATTTTTGTATTTTTAGTAGAGACAGGGTTTTGCCATGTTGGCCAGGCTGGTCTTGAACTCCTGACCTTGTGATCTGCCCGCCTCAGGCTCCCAAAATGCTGGAGTTACAGGCACAAGCCACCGCGCCTGACCAGCTCTAGGTACTTCTTACACTACCTAAGACGTAAGTGCAGCCATTCCTAGGCCCTGTCTTCTCTCACTGTTCAAGCCCTCCCAGGGCTGTCACACCCACGCACACCACTCAGTTTCCACCTCTGCACTAATGGCGCCCACACTGTCGCTGGCCTCCCCCTGACATTTGTAGGGCCCTTGTACTCCCCAAAACTGCTTCTCCTAGGTCCCTGTTTCGGGGACAGTCCTCCTTTTTTTTTTTTGAGACGGAGTCTCGCTCTGTCACCCAGGCTGGAGTGCAGTGGTGCGATCTCGGCTCACTGCAAGCTCTGCCTCCCGGGTTCATGCCATTCTCCTGCCTCAGCCTCCCTAGTAGCTGGGACTGCAGGCGCCTGCCACCACGCCCGGCTAATTTTTGTATTTTTAGTAGAGACGGGGTTTCATCGTGTTAGCCAGGATGGTCTCGATCTCCTGACCTTGTGATCCGCCTGCCTCGGCCTCCCAAAGTGCTGGGATTACAGGCATGAATCACCGGGCCCAGTGACAGTCCTCCATTATAAACCAGAGTCCTGGGCCTCATCCTAGAAACTTTATCTCCTTCCAGCACACCGGTCCTGTGGCCCATATACAAAGCCCTGCACACGAAGCCTCTCAAGTTCCCCCAGTCTTCCCCATTTCCTCACGACCCCGCCCTGGTGGAGCCCAGTCCAGGCGTCCTTGGATCCTGCCATGGCTGCGCCCTTGGGCTCCTGCCTCCAGGGTTCAACCTCCCCTCATTTGTCAGCCAGAGGTATATTCCTAAAAAGCAGATAGGTCCATATTCTTCCCTGCTTGAAACCCTCCATGCTTCCCCAGTGCCCTTAGGATTATATTCAAAATCCAACAAGCCCTATGCCTACCACACCTCAGCCAGAATGAATTACTTGATGTTCCTAAAACAAATTTAAAGCAAATGTTATTCCCTCTGTTTGGAACATGGTTCTGACACTACCAAGCTTCTCAACCTCCCACTTTTCCTTCAAAACCCAGGCCAGGCCCGGCACAGCGGTCTGTAATCCCAGCGCTTGGGAGGCTGAGGTGGGTGAATTGCTTGACCCCAGGAGTTCAAGACTGGCCTGAGCAACATGGCAAAACCCCGTCTCTACAAAAAATACAAAAATTAGCCAGGCATGGCAGTGCATGCCTGTAGTCCCAGCTACTTTGAGGTGGGAGGATCACTTCAGCCCAGGAAGTAGAGGCTGCAGTGAGCCGAGACTGTGCCACTGCAGTCCAGCCCGGGCGACACAGTGAGACTCTGACTTGGAGGAAAAAAAAAAAAAGCCGGGTGTGGTAGCTCACGCCTGTAATCCCAGCACTTTGGGAGGGTGAGGTGGGTGGATCACAAGGTCAAGAGATCAAGACCATCCTGGCCAACATGGTGAAACCCCATCTCTACTAAAAATACAAAAATTTGCTGGGCGTGGTGGTGCGTGCCTGTAGTCCCAGCTACTCAGGAGGCTGAGGCAAGAGAATCGCTTGAACCTGGGAGGCCAAGGTTGCAGTGAGCTGAAGTCGCGCCACTGTACTCTAGCCTGGCGACAGAGTGAGACTCTGTCTCAAAAAAAAAAAAAAAAAAAAAAAAAAGGCCGGGTGCAGTGGCTCATGCTTGTAATCCTAGCACTTTAGGAGACTGAGGCGGGTGGATCACTTGAGGCCAGGAGTTCAAGACCAGCCTGGCCAAAATGGTGAAACCCCATCTCTACTAAAAATACAAAAATTAGCCAGGCGTGGTATGCCTATAGTCCCAGTTACTTGGGAGGCTGAGGCACCAGAATCGCTTGAAACTGGGAGGAGGAGATTGCAGTGAGCCTAGATCGTGCCACTGCACTCCAGCCTGGGTGATGGTGAGACTGTCCTCCCCCACACCCCCCCACCAAAAAAACCAGTCCAAAATAATGATGATACTACAGTACACATTTGCCATATGCCTGGTATCATGTTAAGCAGTTTACACGCATAATCTAAGTTTTCCTGGAAACTCCGTTTTCCTAAGGAGGAACCCAGAGGTCAGAGGTAGAGATTGATGGTGCATCTGACTCCAGAGGCTGTATTCTTAGTCACTTACCCTCCTCTCAACTCCTGCCCCTCTTCTCTTCTTTGTTTCAGACTTGGTCAGATGTGCTGTCTAGCAGTAGCCTTCCCTAAGCCACTCTCTCCCTATCCCCACCCTGGGCTTCCACACTGAGATTTCCCCATCCCAGCCCTGATCCCTCTGCCTGTGCCTCCTCAATCATAACCCTAACCACTCTGGCCTAGGCTTCTCCCATCACAGCACTGACCACTCTGAGCTGTCACTGTTTAGGGGTGTGCTTATTATTCCACTCAACTGAAAGCTCTGCAAGGGCAAGGATCAGAGCAACCCTGTGTCCTCAGTGTTGGTGGAAGCACAGGTCTGGCCCACAGGAGGTCCCCAGTTGAGTGTGAGTTGACTGACTGACTGTTTCTGAAGACCCCAGAGACTGGGACACGGCTGTTGTTACCCCGTGTCCAGAAGGCTTCTTACCAGGCACAGCTCCAGCTGGTCACAGAGTGCATAGAACTCTTCCAGGCACTTGTCAAAGCGCTGTATGGGTCCATCACTGCTCTTTCTACAGACAAGGAAAAAAGGATGTCTGAAGAATTGATTTCTAATCTTTGGGACACCAGTATCTACCCAACCAAGTGTCCATCAGGAAACCAGGTACAGGTCCAGGAGATCTGAAGTAGTGGTTGAAAACCGGAGGGGTTCAAAAAAAAAGAAAAGGAGGCTGGGCACGGTGGCTCACGCCTGTAATCCCAGCACTTTGGGAGTCCGAGGCGAGCAGATCACCTGAGGTCAGGAGTTCAAGACCAGCCTGGACAACATGGTGAAACCCCATCTCTACTAAAAATACAAAAATTAGCCAGATGTGCTGGCACGCGCCTGTAGTCCCAGCTACTTGGGAGGCCGAGGCAGGAGAATCATTTGAACCCGGGAGGCAGAGGTTGCAGTGAGCTGAGACTACACCACTGCACTCCAGCCTGGGCGACAGAGCAAGACTCTGTCTCAAAAAAAAAAAAAAAAAAAAAAAAAAAAAAAAGAAAAGAAAGAAAGAAAGAAAGAAAAGGAAAAGGCTGGGCATGATGGTTCATGCCTGTCATCCCAGCACTTTGGGAGGCCAAGGTGGAAGGACTGTTTGAACCCAGGAGTTTGAGACCAGCCTGGACAACGTGGCAAGACCCTGTCTCTACAAAACAACAACAAAAATAAAATAAAATAGGAGAAGTGATTCGTGAGGCTGAGGGGATGGCTAGAGGCCAGGAGTTTGAGACCAGCCTGGGAAACATAGCAAGACTCCGTCTCTATAAAAAAATCTTACAAATTAGCCAGGCATCTGTAGTCTGTAGCCATGTCTGTAGTCCTGGCTACTTGGGAGGCTGAGGCAAGAGGATCTCCTAACTCAGGTGTTCAAGGCTGCAATGAGCCAAGATCGTGCCACTGTAGTCCAGCCTGGGTGACAGAGGGAGACCCTGTCTCAAAAAAAAAAAAAAAAAAAAGTAAATATAGAAGGTGAGGTGGGCGGGGAGCAGGAGAAGGAAAGATGAATTTCAAAGACTGGGAAGGCAATAGAATATCCTGGTAAAGGGGGCTGCACTCACTGTCCATTGTCGATGTTAGTGTTCTGAATCAAGTTTTGGGCCGCAACCTTCATCAAGGTCTAGTCAAAACAAAAACAAAACACGTGGGAAATGGAAAAACAAAAGGGAATACCTCTGGCAGATCTACACTCTTTCTTGAGATCACTCAGTCTCAGGTTTTCTTTTCAACTGGCACCTTCCCTCCTGACTTTCCAAAGTAATATTCGTTTCCATTCCTATAGCTGTCACCACTCCATCCTCCCAGAGGCCCGCTCTCACCTGAGCTTCTCGCCAATAACCTAAGGGTCCTCCCTCACCTATCAATCAAGGGCAGAATCTCCGTATAAGCCAGTACTCTCCTCAGGCTTTAACGACCAGAGCCCAGTTTCTCCTTTAAACAACCCCTCACTCAAGCTCCGGCCAGTCCCAGCCTCAGCATCAGCGCTGATCCCATCTCTGCCGAGCTTCGCTTAGGTCTCGCAGAAAACAACAGTTTTATTTATTTATTTATTTATTTTTTTGACGGAGTCTCGCTCTGTTGCCCAGGCTGGAGTGCAATGGCACGATGTCGGCTCACTGCAACCTCCGCCTCCTGGGTTCAAGCGATTCTCCTGCCTCAGCTTCCCGAGTAGCTGTAATTACAGGCGCGCGCCACCATGCCCGGCTAATTTTTGTATTTTTAGTAGAGACGAGGTTTCACCAGGCTGGTCTTGAACTCCTGACCTCAAGTGATCCGCCCGCCTCGGCCTCCCAAAGTGCTGGGAACACAGGCGTGCACCAGCCAGGCCAAAACAGCAGGTTCTATTCCTCTTTCTGCTTAGCGCTCTCTCCGACTAACCTGGCCCTCGGCCTGCCCCTCTAGACTACCAAATCCAGTTTGCTTCTCGCTGCTTAAGGCCAATCACCTGTAGACTCTCCTTCAGCTGCGGGATGAGCATCTTATAACGCTGCACAGGATCGAAGTCCTGTTGCTGTTGCTGCAGGAGGCCGCTCTGGGCAGGGCCCACCAGTTGTGCTGGCGGTTGCGGCTGCTGCTGGGGACCCGGGCCGCCAGCCGAACTAGGACCCGATACACCAGCAGCTGAGGAAGCCGCTGAAGCTTGCTGCTGGGATGCAGCCATCTTCCTCGCGTAGACCGCCGGAAGTGCGTTACGACTGCGTCTCTCCCCGTTGCTTTTCAGCATCCCTATTTCTAGTCCCCGTTTGCTAGTTAGTCCCGCCCCCTAGGCAATTAAGCCAATGGAGGGGAAGGAGGTGCCCCAACGTTACGTCACTCTCAAATCTGCGTCCAGACTGAGATATCTCTCCACCAATCACAGAAGCACCTCTCTCCCTCGCTCCGCCCTTCACCCAGACGCTCGCCAATCCGTGTGTGGTTCCGAGCCGGACTTCATTTCCCCGAAGGCGTCGCGGCCTGAGGAGACCCGTTGGGTCCTCAGCGTCTTGGCGGCAGTTGGTGGAACCGGAGCTTCGAGTCCGTCCCCGGTGCTGCCTGCGCGTTCACCTGAGTCTCGCTGGAGCTCTTCTCGCCCGCCCACCTCATCTCAACCCACTTTCCGCGGGGAGCGGCGCCAAGCTGGGCCTTCCTCGGATCAGGCGTCCCCTGAAGTCGGCACGCCCCTCTGCGTCCCCCTTCGGTCCCGCTAGGACCCCGTCCGGGCTGCCGTCGCCTCGTCGCTATGGCGCCCACCATCCAGACCCAGGCCCAGCGGGAGGATGGCCACAGGTAGGCGCCACGCTTTTCTGTTGCAGCAAGGCGGGGGATCGGGAGAGGGTTTCTGCTGAACAACGTCACCAGCCCCCAGGTCTGCCCGTGACGTCATGAAGCGCTCACCTTTGACGAAGGGGGCGGGTTCCTTCTGAGATTCAGGTGTTCCCCTCCTCCCCGCCGTGCAGTTCAGGGATTAGGCTTTTGGAGACTCCCTCCAGAAGGGATCCCTCCAGTCAACCGTTTGGAGACCCCTCTTCCGAAGACGATTGAGTACATGGTTCTTTATTAAAGCACTTGAAGCCATCTCCTGCAAAAGGGATTGAGCACTTGGCCTTGTTCATTAAAGCTTTTGGGGGCATTTCTTCCTAAATAAATTGAACATTTGTCTCCTTCCATTAAAGCATTTGGACACTCCCCACACCACCACCCAAAGAAACCAGCATTTGTCACCCCTCCTACCTTTTGAAAGGTTGGGGAAGCCTTTTTCATTCTCCTGTCAATCCCGTCCTCTCCACCTATCACTGTTTCTTTCTTCTCCACTAGGCCCAATTCCCACCGGACTCTGCCTGAGAGGTGAGCCCCACTGTGCTTTCCCAGGAGCGGTGGGGCAGTGGGGCTGGGAGCAGAGGTGGGGCAGCGGGGGCCCACTTTTGAGCCACTAATGTTCCTAGGTCTGGAGTGGTCTGCCGAGTCAAGTACTGCAATAGCCTCCCTGATATCCCCTTCGACCCCAAGTTCATCACCTACCCCTTCGACCAGAACAGGTGAGACTAAGGAATGGGAAAACTACTCAGGTATGAGTTCCTTGAAGGCAGGGACTGCTTGTCTCGTTGGCTGCTGTCTGCTCAGGGCCTAGCACAGTACCTACCCTAGCACATAGTAGTAGCTGCTCAATTGTTAATGGAGCAAGCAGTGTCCAAGTCCCTTCCCACTGGGGAGCCAGCTTTCAGACTCTGCCATGGGGGACACTTCATTCTGAGTTCCTCCCCAGAGAAGCTCCGCCTCTGGGAAGCAGGGCTGTGAGGGGTGAAGCTGGAATCCAAACACCACAATAGGTGTTTCCCCACCCAGGTTCGTCCAGTACAAAGCCACTTCCTTGGAGAAACAGCACAAACATGACCTCCTGACTGAGCCAGACCTGGGGGTCACCATCGATCTCATCAATCCTGACACCTACCGCATCGACCCCAATGGTGTGTGGGGAGACAGGGAGGGTCTGCTCTAGGTCAGCAAAGGCTCAGGCCTGGGCCTCCCTCATGGTCCTCCTGCCCCCCGCTCTCCTCTAGTTCTTCTAGATCCAGCTGATGAGAAACTTTTGGAAGAGGAGATTCAGGCCCCCACCAGCTCCAAGAGGTGAGTGGGTAGCAAATGGGTACTGGAGACTGGCTCAGGTGGGCCCTACAAGCAGGAGGGCAGTGGGGTCCTGAGATACCTGATTTCCCACCCCAGATCCCAGCAGCACGCGAAGGTGGTGCCATGGATGCGAAAGACAGAGTACATCTCCACTGAGTTCAACCGTTATGGCATCTCCAATGAGAAGCCTGAGGTCAAGTAAGTTACTAACAGGAAGAGAGGGAAGGTGGAGATATTAGGTGTGTCCAGTGGCCCCTAAGGACCTTTTTCTTCATTCCTAGGATTGGGGTTTCTGTGAAGCAGCAGTTTACCGAGGAAGAAATATACAAAGACAGGGATAGCCAGATCACAGCCATTGAGAAGACTTTTGAGGATGCCCAGAAATCAGTAATTGAGGGACTGGGATGGGGAGAGGCAAGGGTGCGGCTGCAGAGCTCCTCCTCACCTTGTTTTTGTTCCACCAGATCTCACAGCATTACAGCAAACCCCGAGTCACACCGGTGGAGGTCATGCCTGTCTTCCCAGACTTTAAGGTCAGGCCCAAGGTGGGAGGTAGAAAGGGACAGCCTATTTGTGCCTGTTCCCATCTAACCCCAGTGCCTCCATCTCCCTAGATGTGGATCAATCCATGTGCTCAGGTGATCTTTGACTCAGACCCAGC
Organism: Homo sapiens; assembly: GCF_000001405.40. NCBI lineage: Eukaryota > Metazoa > Chordata > Mammalia > Primates > Hominidae > Homo > Homo sapiens. The sequence goes on along the minus strand of NC_000019.10, from coordinate 39,388,818 downwards.
CCCCAAGGACACGAGTGGTGCAGCTGCGTTGGAGATGATGTCTCAGGCCATGATTAGGTAGGTGGTCCTGCTGTCCACCTTGGCCTGCTCCTTGCTGCCTCTTGTCCTCACACTTCATTGCTACTCCTTTTCCCCCAACCAGGGGCATGATGGATGAGGAAGGGAACCAGTTTGTGGCCTATTTCCTGCCTGTAGAAGAGACGTTGAAGAAACGAAAGCGGGACCAGGAGGAGGAGATGGACTATGCACCAGATGATGTGTGCGTGGGTTGCGGTTAAGTTTTGGGGATTGGGAAGTTTTGGGGATTGGGATAGGGAAGAAATGGGGCTGAACCTGTGCCCTCATCTTCAGGTATGACTACAAAATTGCTCGGGAGTACAACTGGAACGTGAAGAACAAAGCTAGCAAGGGCTATGAGGAAAACTACTTCTTCATCTTCCGAGAGGGTGACGGGGTTTACTACAATGAGTTGGAAACCAGGTACTCAGCACACTCCTATCTGATTAGCCTGGATCTGTGCTTCTTAAGACCCTGGGGCATGCAAGAGCCACCTTGGAGGTCATTTGTACCTAAGAATTTGTCATATGCATTGGTAAACAAGAGCAGCAGATGTCTGGTCATGCACATGAGCTGGACTTGGTTCTAACAGGAGGAGCCAGAAAAAAAATCTTTTTTTTTGAGATGGAGTCTCGCTCTGTTGCCCAGGCCAGAGTGCAGTGGTGTGATCTCAGCCCACTGCAACCTCCGCTTCCTGGGTTCAAGTGATTCTCCTGCCTCAGCCTCCTGAGTAGCTGGCATCACAGGCGTGTGCCAGCATGGCCAGCTAATTTTTTTTGTATTTTTAATAGAGATGGGGTTTCACCATGCTGGCCAGGCTGGTCTTGAACTCCTGACCTCAGGTGATCTGCCTGCCTCGGCCTCCCAAAGTGCTGGGATTACAGGTGTGAGCCACCACGCCCAGCCAGAATATCTTAATGCAGGAGACATTTAGAGCCTTTGCGCAAGGCAGAGGGCCAAGTTTCCCAGTATTAGTAACAGACTTCATGTGAAAGTAAACATTGCCAAAGTATGGAGTAATATATAAAATTAGCATGAATGTTTTAAATGAAATGCTTAAACCCATGTTCAAAAATGTGACTCCAAAACTCTTCCCTTATGGCTCAAAGTTTACTGCTATGCCAGCACCTCTGGTGTAGAGTTGGGAAGTCTTGAGTTTCTGTTTAAAGCAGAGATTACAAGAACTGTGACCCCATAGGCCAGGCAGGAAATGTAAAAGAGCAGTGGCTGGTAGCATCTGAGTGACCTGGAGTTCTGGGCAACCATGGAGGGCACTATTCACTTCCAGCCCACTGTTGCTGTGCTGTGGGGCCAGAAATTCCTATCTTCCAAAAGCCCCAAATCCAAATGATTTGACATCTCCTGGTTTCTCAAAGTGTTGGTAACTAACTGACACATACAGTAATGCACTGCATGTTTCAGTCAACAATGGACTGCTTATGGTGGTCCCTTAAGATAGAATACCGTATCTTTACTATACCTTTTCTATGTTTAGATACACAAATACTTACTATTGTATTACAATTGCCTGCAGTATTCAGTACAGTCACATGCTGTACAACCTTGTAGCCTAGGAGCAATAGGCTACACCATTACAGCCTAGGTATGTAGTAGGCTATACTATGTACGTTTGTGTAAGAGTACTGTATGATGTTCACATGATGTATATCTCAGAATGTGTCCCTGTTAAATGGCCCATGCCCGTATTTATGTAAATACACCGTATAACACACACACACAGTGTAGGGCAACCAAACTGGTGCCATGGGAGCCATCCTTCCTTTCCCCTGCCCTCAATACCTTGAGCTTAGCTGCCCTTATTCAATCTGTATTTATTCCCATTTACTCTAAGTATTGATGGGGAACCAAGTCAGACCAGACCCCTCACTGGGGGGCGGGGAAGTGGGAGGTGTGTCTTTAACTGCATCTTCCACTTCTCTCTCCCAAATTCACCCCCTGCAGGGTCCGCCTTAGTAAGCGCCGGGCCAAGGCTGGGGTTCAGTCAGGCACCAACGCCCTGCTTGTGGTCAAACATCGGGACATGAATGAGAAGGAACTGGAAGCTCAGGTAACAAGCACCACTGGCTCAGGGCACCCATGGCAGGGAGGGTGGTGGTTGTAGGTGAGGAGGGGGACAAAAACCCAGCAGAACACCCTCCTTCCCCTCATTCCAATCTTGCTGCTTCCAGGAGGCACGGAAGGCCCAGCTAGAAAACCACGAACCGGAGGAGGAAGAGGAAGAGGAGATGGAGACAGAAGAGAAAGAAGCTGGGGGCTCAGGTAAATCTGGACAGGCCAGACTCTGGGAGCCCTGGGAGGGTGGAAAAGTGGGTTTCATCTCTCTCCACTCCCTTCCAGATGAGGAGCAGGAGAAGGGCAGCAGCAGTGAGAAGGAGGGCAGTGAAGATGAGCACTCGGGCAGCGAGAGTGAACGGGAGGAAGGTGACAGGGACGAGGCCAGTGACAAGAGTGGCAGTGGTGAGGACGAGAGCAGCGAGGATGAGGCCCGGGCTGCCCGTGACAAAGAGGAGATCTTTGGCAGTGATGCTGATTCTGAGGACGATGCCGACTCTGATGATGAGGACAGAGGACAGGCCCAAGGTGGCAGTGACAATGATTCAGACAGCGGCAGCAATGGGGGTGGCCAGCGGAGCCGGAGCCACAGCCGCAGCGCCAGTCCCTTCCCCAGTGGCAGCGAGCACTCGGCCCAGGAGGATGGCAGTGAAGCTGCAGCTTCTGATTCCAGTGAAGCTGATAGTGACAGTGACTGAGTCCCAGGGCATTCAGGGCTGGTTCAGACACCATTATTGTGAGCAGCAAAGCACTTTTCTAGTGGTCTGTTTGTGAGCCTTTCACTTGTTTGTTCCCCACCCCCAAACCTTTGCTGTTAATAAAGTCAACTTCTCTTTACTTCCCCTCCCAGCCCCTATGATGTCATTCAGCCCAGCACATACCTCCCGCAACCCCCAGGTGCTCAAGGATCTTGGCTTGAGGCTTAGAAACACAGGCCAGAGGCAGGGCCAATGGTTTCCCACAAAATGTAGCACAACGAAGGTCAGAATTCGTTTTTTTTGTTTGTTTTTTTTTTTTCCAAAATAAGCCCAGACCATTAAACAAGTGAAACTCCAACAAATAAGTCTTCTCCAACAGCGAGAAAAACTGTACAGTTACTCAAAGCTGATTCTGCCAGTGGGGCCGGGGACAGAAGTGGGTAGGGAGGGTGAAATCATGGAGGAGGGCCTGGGGAGGGGGCTGGAGCGGGAGAGGGTCAGGGTCCTGCCCATCAGAGTGGGGCCGCCTGCGTCCTGCACACTCTGCTGTCAGGTGGGGTGGGGGGCAGCTCTTGCCTCCCTGTGTGTGTGAGACGGTGTCCCTCACCACCTCCCAGTGCCAGGCACAGTCAGCTCACCCTGATGGAGAGTGAACAAGACAGGACAGGCTGGGGAGAGGGGAGGGTCCCATGAGAGGGACACCCTGCTGATTCCAAACGAGGTGGCCCATCCATCCCACTTCCTGCAGCTAGTGGGAGGGGGACTGGAGAAGCCCTGGGAGATTGAGGGGATGAGCAAAGGCACAGAAACATGGAGGGCCGGGGTGGGGGACTTGCATAGGTTGATGAGTGTGCAAGAGGTACATAAATAAACCTGACACCCCACCCAGCCCGGCACTGGGAGAGGAAGTGGGGACCCAGAGCCAGGTTCCCAGGGCCACCCTACCCCCTGGCTTCTTCCCCCTCCCTGGGCTCAGAGCAGAGGGAAGTCCACAGACCAGGAGGGCGGGGGCAAGAAGGTCTGGGGAATGGGGTGATAGTGCAGGGAGGGTGGTGGTTTTAAAATTTTTTTTTTTTTTGTTTTTTTTGTTTTTTTCCCAACATTTTGTATCTTTAATAACATACACAATGGTTACCAGCCATATTCATAACAAAAGTTATTCATAAAATGTATCTAAAAATAACATTTTTTTTCCTTTTCGGTGTGAAAAGCTTGAGAATGTCCCAGTTGGGAAGGTGGGTTGAGGGGGAGGAGGGCGTTGAAGAGGGAGACCCTGGCTTCCCCGCAGTCTGAACCCCCAAATCCCCTCCCTCCACCTGGGCCCCAACACAACCCCTCATTAGGAATAGGGACCAGACAGTCTGTCGGACTCTGGGGCTGGGACGAATCTCTGGGTTATGATATAGTGTTCCACTTAAGTGAGGTCATGACATAATGGGGGAAGGAAAAAGGCTGAAAGAAAAGGGAGGGGCTTAGGGAAAAACCCAAAAACCAAACAATCCCCTTTCCCTTATTCCTGACTCCCAAGTCTCACCAACCAGACCTGGGAGCGGAGAAGGGTGTGTGTTCGTGGGGAAGGGGACGTTAAGGCAACAGACTTCCTGACCTCACTGGCTACCCTGGCTGCCCACCTCCAACCTCTTCATCCGGGTAGCCAGGGCTGGAGGAAAATGGGTTAGAGCTTGAGGGTCTGGAGGAGGGGGCTCTGCCCTCTCCCCTCATAAAGTTCAGGCTCTCCCTGCCACTGTCTTGGCTGAGAGAGACCTGGGGATTCTAAAAATGAGAGGAAATGATCAGAGAAAAACCGTTAAGAACTATATAAATATGTATCTTAAATAGGCCTAAGAAATTAATCATAGAGAACCTCTGGTGAACAGGGCCAGGGGAGGTGAGAGAGAGGAAGGTGGCTCCTGTCCTTGCAGAATGTGGGGAATGGTGAAGGGGAAGCAGGGAGAGGAGAGAGAGCTTCCTCTCCTTGCTCCCCTTCCTTCTCCCCAGCTCCTCTCAATAACATTCTGGAGGGCAGGTTCTCTGCCCTGCGCGTCACCCCAAATGTCAAATGTTTCTGAGCAGGCTCCACAAGGTAGTGGTCAGTTTGTCTCTGGGGAGTCTGCTCCCTTGGGGAGAGGCAGGTGGTCAGCGGTCTGGAGGAGGCAGGGGTGGGATGGGACCAGGTGGGGATGAGGAAGGAAAGGAGAGAGGCAGGCAGTCTGGCCAGTCCCTGCCCCCTTTATCCTGGCTGCCCCCAACTCCCCGGGCCTCAGCAGAGATCCCTCGACGGGCCTGGGAGTGAGCAAGGCATGTGCCAATGTTAAACAAAAGTTAAGAGGGTAAGAGAGTAGAAAAATATTAGAATATATAGCTGAGCCAGCCCACCCTCTCGCTGTCGCGGAGAAGCCCGTTGGGGGTTGGCCCCCGCCCGCCGCCCAGGGAGCCTATGGGTGCGCTGGGCTGTGGGTCCCGTCAGATGGTGGAGGTTTTGTCTGTCCCATCTGTGGTAAGAAAGGGAGGAAGGGAGGAAGATCAGGAGCTGGAGGGAGGCCCAAGAAAAGGCACTCAGGTAGCCTGTCATCCCAGTCAGGCCCTCCCTGGAGTCTGGCCTCCCCTGGGGACCCCTCAGGATGACTCTGAGTTGCTCAGTTCAGAGGCAGAGACGCTGGGTAGGTGGGAGCTGGGTCAGGGAAAGAGGAAATGCTCACCACCCAAGGCGTGTTCTGTCATGCTCAGACACAGAGACTCCAGAGTGGGATTGATCTCCAGGTCAGGCCCAGGAACCGGGCAGTCTGGGTGGGAGAGAGGAGAATGGGGGTGGTAAGGACCAACTGGACTCAGGTGAAGACAGCTGGGATGACAAAGGATGCTGGTATGGGAAGGGAGCAAGAGAGATGGAGGGGGAGAGGGAAGAACGGGAGGAGGTGGACAGGGAGAGAGGCGAGCGTGTCACACAACAGGCAGAGGAGACAATGGCAATGGCAGAGGCTTGGCAATACAGAAAAAGCCCGACTTGCAGAGAGTGGAATTGAAACTGAAGGAGCTCCTGGAGGCCACACACAGCCTGCTGTGACTACTCTGGACACAGACTGCATACTGTCTTGAGCACAGTCTGGGCATCTGCCCTGGACACTGGGCAGCCCCCAAGGCTCCCTGATTGAAGACCTGCTCTGTACTTGGTGCAAAAGCTAAATCAAAACCCTTCCTGTCCCCACTTGGACCTGCTCCTCTGGGCAGGATTCAATCCAGGCAGGCCAGGCAGGTGGGGGCAAAGTAGGACAACCACCATGGGACTTGTCCTCAAACCACACTTCTCAAAAGGGCCTCCTATTCGGGCATCTGGGAAACCACCCACCTCCCTGGGCAGACCTGACCTCCCTCACTACACTGCTTAAACCCTTCCCTGACTCCTCACTGCCATCAGGACAAAGTCCGAGCTGTTTACCTGGATTTAGACGACCCAGCTCCCATCTCCACCCTCATCTCTCATCACTGTTCCCTCTGAACCCTGAGCTCATGTCGTATCAGATCACCCAATTGTCTCTCCTTAAAAAAAAGAATTTTTTTTTTGAACTTGGGCAAGACCTGTCTCAGATTGCTGACTGATGAATAACATCAGCGTCCTTACACATACAGTTGGGAGGAGTCAATCAGTGCAGGAGAGCTGTCTGACAAAGCCTGGGACACAGCATGCTGGTAAAGAGAATGGTTCTTGTTCATTCCTGCGGTTCATCCACCTGCTTGTTTAACATCATTTACAGATGCCTACTGTGTGTCAAGCCCTGTGCTAGGATGAACATGATGGATGGGTTCCCACGGCCTCAACAGATGGCTGTCTACACAACCTCATCAAGTAAGACTCCTGACTGACTTGGCAGTTTATGACATGAATTCTGCAAATCCATGCTCTCTCTAGAGTCAGCCCATTCCAGACGAGCCTTATCTGTCTCTGCAGCCCCAGTGGCCAGCACCGTGTGGAGGAGTCAACCCCTCACTTGTTGAGCAGGGCAGGGACCTGCGGTTAGCAAGTCTCTAATCTTCCTTTTGCCCACTTGTCCCAACATCTTTTTGAGATGGGGTCTCACTGTCGCCCTGGCTGCAGTGCAGTGGCACAATCTCTGCTCACTACAGCCTTGACCTCCTGGGCTCAAGCGATCCTCCTGCCTCACCCTCCCGAGTAGCTGGGACTACGGGTGTGTGCCACCATGCCCAGATAATTTCTGTATTTTTTTGTACAGATGGGGTTTCGCCATGTTGTCCAGACTGGTCTCAAACCGATCTACTTGCCTCAGCTTCCCAAAAGTGCTGAAATTACAGGTGTGAGTTACTGTGCCCGCACTTGGCCCAACTTCTGCTCTCCCATCTCCAGGATGGTCTGTAAGCAGAGGTCAAAACAGCCCTCTCACTTCAAACACCTGTTCTAAGAGGTGAAGTCCACTGGTTCCTGTGTGGTCACCTGGCATCTGAAAGAATCCCAGTAGGCTGATGGGCAGGACTCCCCTCCACAGAAATCTCACACTTTAACTGTCCCATCCCCTCAACCCCTTCTAAGTTGAGTATTCAATGATCCTGTAAAGAAAGAGATGATGACAAAGAGCAACACAGACACTAAGATTATGACATAGGGTGGGAAACATGAGATGGGGTAGGAGTAAGGGGTGAGAGATGATGACTCAGAGGGGTGGGGGCAAGACCTGAGAGATAAAATTGAAGCAGAGGAGGAAAACAACCCCCCACAATTGGGGGAGATGGGTGCAGAGTGGTGTGAGGTATGGGGAGAGGTGCCAATGCAGTCTAGAAGAACAGTGGACATGAGACCCAGGAGAAAAAAGAAAGGTCAGCTGAGGATGTTGGCCAGGCAGAGTCCCAAGGGTGGGGCACCTCACCTGGAGGGAACATGAGAATGGCCTGGGGTGACGAGTGGACCGGGAGCGAGTGGGTGCGCTGCACAGAGCTGCGGCTCTGACTGGGCATGCTGTTGCTGCCTCCAGGGTTGGCAAACCACAGGTTCTACACAGGTCCCAGGAAGAGAGAAAGTAGTGAGTGCAGAAGAGGCCCAGACCCAAGAGTGGTGGAGGTGGTACAGGCCTTCTCCCACTCCCACCCCCGCCACCTCTAAGCTGGGTCCAGACACAGAGTATACAGGCAAATAGACATCCCAGGTACTGCCACCCCAACCCCAGGAGGCCAGGCCCCTGCTTCCAGCCAGCTTACCTGTCGGCCCTGGCCTCCAAGGCTGGGGCTGGTGAGGGCATGTCGAGGGGAGACACCCCCAATGCCCGAGGGGCTCAGGAGGCCCATCCGGCCGGGTGGGAGGGCCCGGGGAGGCATTGGGAACTGCCGCTGGGTACGCCGGGCCACTCCCATCCCCACAGAGCCAGCTATGGGGAGCGAGTTGGAGCCGAATGCCCAGCTATGAGAGAGCAGAAGGCAGGGTGTTAATTTACATAGATGGGGCCTATCTGTCCACCCCTTCCTCACCTTCCCCAACAACCCCAAGTTGTAGGAGAGAACATAAACCTCCATCACACATTCTGTCCTCATCTGCCCCAAGGGTACCCCCTGGAAGGAGATGGGACATGTACAAGGGTTTCTTCACTGTCCACTCAAAACAGTTCTCCAATCTTCAATTCTCAAAGGAGACATTTCTGTTATTTGTCTGGTCTAAGGAGGGACTTCCAGGCCCTCTGCATACAGGCGAGGAGCAAGGTACATATGAGGGGCCTGCTCATGGGACATGTGTTGTTTTTCAGCTCAGCATCCTATTCTAGTGGAAATTTTCTTCTGGGAAAGTCGCCCAGTGACTGAATAAAACTAGATTCTCAGCCCAGAACACAATCACCCCTCTAAGCACGATCTGCTAACCAGCAAAGGCCTATGGAGGGCAGGTCCCTGTAACCTGGCCACCCGCCTACCCTTTCTGCTGCCGGTAGTTCTGCATCTCTAGTGCGGCTTTGCGCGGGAATGTCCGGAGGAGCTTCAGCACTTGCTGTTTCCAGGATAGCAGCCGTTTCTTCTGCGTCTCCGTGAAAGCCTAGAATTGGCAGGACACCGGTGAAGCAGAGAGGGTGATGCTTCCTTCAGACCTCCCTTCCAGTCTTCCATTCATTTGTTCAAATATTTATTGCCTGGCCGGGCGTGGTGGCTCAAGCTGTAATCCCAGCACTTTGGGAGGCTGAGGCGGGTGGATCACTTGAGGTCAGGAGTTGGAGACCAGCCTGGACAACATGGTGAAACCCCACCTCTACTAAAAGTACAAAAATTATCCAGGCATGGTAGTGTGTGTCTGTAATCCCAGATACTTGGGAGGCTGAGGCAGGAGAATCACTTGAACCTGGGAGGCGGAGGTTGCAGTGAGCCGAGACTGCGCCATTGCACTCCAGCCTGGGCAACAGAGCGAGACTCTGTTTCCAAAAAAAAGATTCATTGCTCATCTACTCTGTGCCTGTGCCAGGCAATTCTGGGATGCAGAGGTGACCATGCCCAGAGAGCTTACAGTCTGGTTGTGAGGGAAAGATACATACATGATGATAACTGTGACAAATTATCCCTCCCTGAGGGAGAAGAACAGGAAGCAAAAGAAACTTAAATAAAAATGAGGGGTTGGTAAAGGTGTCCCTGAGGTATAAATGTTTGAACTGACAGCTGAGGGGTGAGGAGGAGGAAAGGGTACTGTTGCTGACAAAAGAGTATGTACGGGCTGGGCATGGTTGCTCATGCCTATAATCCCAGTACTTTGGGAGGCCAGGGCAGGGGATCGCTTGAGGCCAGGAGTTCGAGATCAGCCTAGGCAATAAAGCAATACTCCATCTCTAAAAAAGAAAATCGTCACGCCTGTAATCTCAGCACTTTGGGAGGCTGAGGTGGAAGGATCACTTGAGGTCAGTTCAAAACCAGCCAGGGCAACAGTGTGAGACCTCGTCTCTATTAAAAAAAAAAAAAAGAGAGAGAGAGAGGAAGAGTGTGTACAAGGGTTCTGAGAAGAAGCCTCTAAAGCCAACACTGGTAAGATACAAGACTGGAAGGGCTGGCATGTGCCACGTCAGGTAAGGCCCTATGGGCCACATACAACACAATGGTCTTGAGAAAGATGGGGCAGGCTTTCCCTCACTCTGTCGTCCAGGCTGGAGTGCAGTGGCGCGATCTTGGCTCACCACAAGCTCCACCTGCCGGGTTCACGCCATTCTGCCTCAGCCTCCCGCGTAGCTGGGACTGCAGGCACCTGCCACCACGCCCGGCTAATTTTTTGTATTTTTAGTAAAGACTGGGTTTCACTGTGTTAGCCAGGATGGTCTCGATCTCCTGACCTCATGATCCGCCCGCCTCGGTGGCCGAAGTGCTGGGACTACAGGCGTGAACCACCACGCCTGGCCGCCTTTCCCTTTTTGAGTATGCTAGGGAAGGCCTTACCTCATGAGTCAGGCACTTTTCGATGAGCTGGAGGTAACTGGTGATGTTCTCCTCGTCTGGTCGGGACACCAGCAGTTGGGTGCACACTGGGGGGACATGAGAAAGGGCAGGAGGTTAACCCCTAGTATGCCCTCTGCCATGTTCCAGCCTCCAGCTGGCTCGTGCACAAGAAGGAACAGGAGACTCAGGCTGGATGAATATCAACTATTAAGTGCTAGCCATGGTATTTGGGTTATCATGAGGATATACAACATAGTGCCTGACACAATCTTGTCACTACACACATTTTTAGCCTTAGAAACCTAAAGCTCAGAGTTGAGTCACTTGCCTCAGGTCCAGATCCAGATCTAGACTGATCTGGATCCAAGTGTAAAGTCTGCTGTATCATGCTGCTTTAGGAAAGGCTGAAGCTGTGATAAATTTCACCATCCCCATCCCCTGGACTTTGGTCCCCTCTGAGAGAAATCAATGGACTCCCCTCAACTGCTCACCCTTTACTACATGGAATTTCTTCTGACCCACTGCCCCATTTCTGCTCAGCCTGGAGACGCTTTGAGGGGAAGGGCTGTTATCCACCATCAGCCCAGACGTGCCCAAGGGCAAGGGGCCTTGTCACCCTGTCTTGGCTACTCTCTGTAGTGTTCCAGTCTCCAGTAGGCTTTACAAAGCCCTGCTCCCACCATCGAACTTGGATTTGATCCCTGGTGCTTGGGTTCACTTGGCTTTCTGCCTCAGGATTTCCTGCTAGGCTGTGGCTGGTCTCACCTTTGCCCATCACCCGTGTAAACTGGCTGGGGATGTCTCCGTCGGCGACGGGAGCCGGGGCAGGCTCACTGCCATCAGTGGGAGCTGGAGCTGGTGGAGGTGGGTAGTTCTCCACAGCTGGAGGGTCCTTGGCCTCGGTGCCTTTGTCTGTGCCGGGGTGGGCTAGGGGAGGCTCAGCACCTGGCAGCGGTGGTTCCCCCGGGGCCCCATCCTTGGCAGTAGGGGTGGTGGTGGCGGCAGCCACGGTGGCCTGGAGGACACTGTAGGCCTTGATGGGAGTGATGATGATCTGCTGCAGCTCCTGCAGAGCGTTTCGTAGGTTCCCGCCTTCCAGCACATCCTGGATGGGAGGACACAGGCTGGGGTCACATGCAGACCCTACAATGAGGGACAGAGAGTATCTACACAGAGAGTCAGACAGGGCTTGCAGAAGGCTGGGTAGGACCCTGGGTTCCAGCACATAGAGAAGGCATGTAAGGGTACTGCAAGCCCACAAACATATAGGTACACATTTCCTCTTTCCCATTAAGATGAAGTCCCACAGAACTCACGAAAAGCCAGTCTAATGTTGGAGTCTCAAGGACCCAACAAGGATAGAATCAGAGATTCAGACCTAGACACTGAGCAGGGAAAAATACAAACAGAAGGCAGTGGCAAGGAAACGGAATCAGATGTGGAAGGAAAATGAGTTTAGAAACAATCAAATGGAAAGAGAGATTGTACAGACAGAGACACTCTGCTCTACCAGAAAGACCAGTAAGAAATGGAAAAGCAAAAGGGGAGAGAAGGTGTAGAGTCAAAAGACAGAGATCCTGGAACCACAAACCAGGAAAGACAGGGAGGGGAGACTCTTAGCCACCAGCAAGTGAGCCTTTTGATGCCGGCTTGCATGTGGTCCCTGAAGTCTGGGTCCCTAGGGCTGGGAATTTTGGAGGCCACATCCGAGGAGTCTGGAGGCCAACTCAGGGCCTTTGGTCTACTGGTACCACCAAGTGGCTGGCTGGCCTTGAAGATGCAGAAACCAGGTCCTCACCTTCTCTAGGGACTTGAGGACGCTCTGTCTCTCACGCAGCTTCTGGATGCTCAGGGCTATCTTGTGGCGGGCACCTTTGGTGACGTTCTGTGATAAGGGCAGAAGGGGACAGGAAGCTAGAGATGTGAGGCTGAGATATTTGGGGGTACCCAAATAGAGATCAAGGAGACAGAGGAGGCTTGGGCTGCAAGGATGCCAAACTAGCGCTGCCCCCAGCACCTCCCTGATGGTCCCCTTGGCTTCACCTGAGACTCCAGGTGCTGCTCAGTCAGTGTCATCATCTCCTCGTAGCTCATCTGTGAGAAGAGGGCTGCATACTTGTGCAAACGGAGGCTCTTGAGCCATGAGGGCACATCTTTGGCAAAGGAGGGAGAGTGAAAGGTCAGGAGTTTGGCCCAGATTACCAGGGTAAAGGAAAAGTTGTGGGGATAAACCCACAGGAAGCCTCAAAAGATGCAAAAAATTGGGAGGGGGTTGGGGGGAGCTAAGGTTCCATCAGCTCCTTCTTCATCTGCCTAGCCAGACCCTCAGGCAGCCTTCCCTGGGAAGGACATCTGACCCTTCTAAGCTGCTAGGCTGGATGTATACCAGGATGACCTCACTGATTGCTCCAAAACTCTTGCTGGAACCTCTGTTCCATCACTTAGCTGTGTCCTGGCTTCCTTGTCAGACTGGGGTGTGTGAAGACAGGGGGCTCCTTCCCAGTCAGACTAGAACTTGTTAGGGTAGATGTGGGGTCTCTCTGCTTAGTCCTGAGCCCTAAAAGCAGGGACTATCTACTCCCCTCAGACATGTCCCCTCCTCAGAGGGGTAAGCAGGTGTCAGCTACAAGCTCCTTTCTGTCCTCTAAGCTCTGCAGAAGCCCCTGGAAAAGGGTCCTGGTGCTGCTGTCCCCAATGTACCTTTCATGCCACTGCCATCCTCCTGGAAGGTGTTCCGGCTGGAGCCCTGCTCCTCTGTCTGCTCACTGCCAGAGGAGGCCACGCTGCTCTGGGGCGAGAGAGGTGCGTGATCGGGCGTGGTAAAAGCAGCCCGGGCCCCAAGCTCCTCTGGACTCGGCCACTCACCAGGGACCTGGGGGCTTGTAGGGATGAGTGACATGGAGCGCTTCAGTGGGCTAGGGTGGATTTGGCAGGGGAGACCTGGCCAGAGTGGGAGAAAAGCAAAATATTAGACCTGGGGACCCAACCACAGGAGACCATCCCCCTGCCGTCAGTGCCAGGATGGCAGTTTGGCCCCATAACCTGCCAAGAGGAAGGGACCTGGGGTCCAAGGGTAACTGCCTACCAGATATACCTCATTCTCTTACCTCCAACACCCAACCCATCAGCAAGCTGTCAGCCACTTTCCTGAATTTCTCCAGTTCCGCTGGCTCAAGCCACCAGCACCCCTGGCAGGAATTACTGCCACAGCCTCCTCATTGGTTTCCTGCCTTCACTCTTGCCTCCTACAGTCCACGCCCCTCACAACAGCCATAAAGGTCCTTCTAAAAATGCAAATCTGACCGAGCCTGACTCCTGCTCAAATCCCTGTGACTTCCTTTCATAGTGGGAACAAAATACAAATGCTTCCACATGCCTAAAAGGCCATGCAGGACCTGGCCCCTGTTCCTCTCCCACAACCCACCACTTGGTTCATGCCTCTCTAGCCTTTGCCTCCTCCCAAACTCCCCTTTGTTCCTGAAACACTCAAGGTTGTTCCAGCCTCAGGACTTCTGGACTTGCTCTTTCTTCCTACCTTCTTGATCTCAGCGGTTGGCTCCCTCAAGTCTCATCTCAAGTGTCGCCTCCTCTGAGGCCTACCCTGAACCCTTAATCTGAAGTCACTGCCCACCTCTGCTGCCCCAATCCGTCACTCTATCACATTACTGTCTTGTCTTTCTTACAGCACCCATCACAACCTGAAATTATCAAGTTATTTGTTTATTTTTTTAAAAATTTATTTACTTTTTTGAGATGGAGTCTTGCTCTGTCACTAGGCCAGAGTGCAGTGGCACGATCTGGGCTCACTGCAACCTCTGCCTCCTGGGTTCAAGCAATTCCCCTGCCTCAGCCTCCCGAGTAGCTGGGACTACAGATGCCTGCCACCATGCTCAGCTAATTTTTTTGTATTTTAGTAGAGGCGGGGTTTCACCACATTGGCCAGGATGGTCTCAATCTCCTGACCTCGTGATCCGCCCACCTCAGCCTCCTAAAGTGCTGGGATTACAGGCGTGAGCCACTGCGCCCAGCCTGTTTACTTATTAACTACACCCCCTGCTAGAATAGAAGACCTGTGACAGCAGAAACCTGTCCCATCTTAAACATCATTATATCTTGTAATGAATGAAGTACGTAAGCTGCTTCCTCAACAACCCTGTTATGGGGCCTCACTACCTCCCATTTTTTTTCTGCAGTGAGCCCAAACTGGCCACTCATGAGGCCTGGTGACTCAGGGTGATCCCAGGTCCTCTTCTGAAGGATGCTCCATACCCTCTGTCCATCCCAAGTCTGAGGTTGGCAAAGGAATCCAACTTGATTTTTTTTTTTGAGATGGAGTTTTGCTCTGTCGCCGAGTGCGGTGGTGCAATCTTGGCTCACTGCAACCTCCACCTCCTGGGTTCAAGCGATTCTCCTGCCTCAGCCTCCCGAGTAGCTGGGACTACGGGTGGCCAACACCATGCCCAGCTAATGTTTTTCGTATTTTTAGTAGAGACAGGGTTTCACTATATTGGTCAGGCTGGTCTCAAACTCCTGACCTCAGGTGATCCACCTGCCTTGGCCTCCCAAAGTGCTGGGATTACAGGCGTAAGCCACCTGTGCCTGGTCATATATATATATATTTTTTAGAGATGGAATTTCACTCTTGTGGCCTAGCCTGGAGTGCAGTGGCACAATCTCGGCTCACTGCAACCTCTGCCTCCCGGGTTCAAGCAATTCTCCTGCCTCAGCCTCCTGAGTAGCTGGCATTACAGGCACCCACCACCACGCCTGGCTAATTTTGTATTTTTTTAGTAGAGACGGGGGTTTCTCCATGTTGCTTAGGCTGGTCTTGAACTCCCGACCTCAGGTGATCCGCCTGCCTTGGCCTCCCAAAGTGCTGAGATTACAGGTGTGAGCCACCATGCCTGGCCTCCAACTTGATTTTTAACCACTCCCAAGACAGGGCAGGTTCCCATGAGCTCCCAGACCTTTATCTGTGCTTTTTCCTCTGCCTCGCTCACCTCGCCAACTCTTCTCCATCAGCCACTTCTCCCTTCATGCCTCGGTCATGTACCCCTCTGCTGCTGCCTCAGGCCTGGCGCTTGCTGCCCTCCTCACTAGCCTCCCTCTTGCTTGCTGCCCTCCTCACTAGCCTCCCTCTTGCACTGGACTGTGGGTCCATGGAGAATGGCAGCCCAGTCCAATTACTTCTGCAATCCCATGATCAGGCACAGGGCATGACACACAGAAGTCCTTCCAACGAAGTTTCATAAAGGACAAAAGGGTGCTAAGAGGGCCTCTGAGCTCCACCTATGGCATCCAGAAGTACCCCAAGTCAGCCTAGACAAAAAGAAATGAAACAAAGCCAACGAGCCTCACCCTGGGTAGGTGAGGACATCAAGGCCCAGGGAGCTGAAGCCCTTTGCCCCAGTTCCCACGGGAGTTGACAGGCTGAGACAGAGCCCAAGCCTTGTTTCTGATGGAAAGGCTGGGGTTCCTGCCAGTGCTACAGTGACACCCAGCCCAGGAAGGAGGGCTAGCCTGGTGCAGGCCCCAGAGCATCTTCCCTCAGCTGTGACAATACTAATGCTCCTGGCTAGGAAGTCACCTAAGGGACAGGGCAAGGCAGTGGCCCACCCTTAATACCAGTTTCTGCCCTACCCCAGAGTGTCCAGGGTCCTCTTCCCAGGAGTTCTTCAGCCTCTAGACTCCCTCAGCCCTGGCTTCTGTCCCCACTCAGCACTCTTGGGGAACATGGCACACTCTGGGCCCTGGGGGACTGGGGAATCCTCAAGACAGGCCTTTTTGCCTGTTTTGGTGTCTCTGGCCTCCTTCTTTCTCCCTTCTCAGCCAAGAAGTAGGCAGGAGAGGCTGAGAGGCAGGAAATTACCCTGACTGGAATGATCGTGCAGTTCCTGAGGAGCCCTGCTTGGCTCCGCACTGGGGTGGAGGCTGGCCACAGCATGAGAATGACAAAAACAAGAATGCCGGCCAGAGATCCAGGGCCTTGCACTCTCCAAGAAATCCTGATCTGTTCTTGGCAGCACCCCAAACCCAAGCTGCCTGCCCTCAAAGGCCAATCCTTGCTCCCCACTCAAAAATATTTTAATGATTTCCTGTTTCCTGCAACTGCCTGGAATCCAAAAGCTTCTCCTGTCCTTCAACGCCCCCCAGAATGTAGCCTTCACACACTGAGGTCTGAGGGTAAAGACAGGCCTGAGTTCAAATCCTGACTCTGACTCTGTCGCCTCTGTGTGATCTTGGGCAAGTCACTTCATTCACCTCTCTGCCTCCATTTCTGCATGAAGTCCTTAGCAGAGGGATAGGCACACGGTAAGCACAAGTCTCTGCTACTGTTATTACTCATTCGAATCCACCCCAGCCAGATCTGTCTGTATACTGTCCCCTCTAATTATCCACCCCGTGCTTATTTCATGCTGTGCCTTCTACTTGGAATGCCCAATTCCTTTTCCTCTTTTGGTCCAAACCCCTATCAACATTGTTCAATCTTCATCCTTTAATGGCTGCTGGGGTACCCATGATGGGGAGCACAAAAGGTATGAAGACAAAGAAATTTATAGGCACCCTGCCTGGGTGACCCCTCCCCTTGGTGAGGGATGAGCATCTCCAGGAGAGGTACTTTTTGGTGGAGGTAGTGTAGCATAGTAGTTCAGAGTATGAAGTCTATAGTCAGAATGCCTGGCTTTAAACCTTGAGTTTATATGTATAAAGTTCTTAGAATAGCTCCTAGTAAAGACTAAGCACTCGATGTGTGTTTTTGTTTTTTTTTTTTTGAGATGGGGTCTCGCTCTGTTGCCCTGGCTGGAATGCAATGGCAAGATCTCGGCTCACTGCCACCTCCACCTCCTGGGTTCAAGCGACCTTCCTGCCTCAGCCCCCCGAGTAACTGGAATTATAGGCATGCACCACCATACCCAGCTAATTTTTATATTTTTAGTAGAGATGAGGTTTCACCATGTTGGTCAGGCTGGTCTCGAACTCCTGACCTCAGGTGATCTGCCTGCCTCGGCCTCCCAAAGTGCTGGGATTACAGGCGTGAGCCACCATGCCCGGACTAGCACTCAATATTTTTTGCCTAGAATGATCATTATTAATACATCCTCCCATCCTGGAACTGTGATGCTCCATGACTGGAAAATGAGGTCCAAGACACCTCAGGTTGCTAAGTTTCCTGAAACTGCCCTTCTATCCCTCTATCTTCCCAGGTTCTCACCAGCAACTGGGAGGGAGGCAGATGGACCAGAATAGCCACACTAACTGGGGGAAAAACAGGCTCAAGGAATAACTGATGAGCACCAGGTACCAGACAGCGGGGCATTAGGGACCCGAGGTTACCCCCACCCACTGACACATGTGACATTTCACTGTCACTCTCTCTTGTCTTGCTTTAAACCAGTGCCTGCTGAAGGTGACTAGCTACTCTGAGGTTTACATCATGAACCCTCTCCCTCACCCTGGGTCAGGTCATGCTGCCTTACCATGGCTTGGAAAATCCACCCTCCCTTATCCTGTGCATTTCAAAAAGTCACTGGGATACCAACAACTTCTGCTCACTCCCGCCTGCAGGGCTTTTACTAAGAGAGCTCTTTCAAACCTGCTTAGTTGGCAGGACAGTGTAGTGGTCAGAGGCAGGCTCTGCCATCAGACTGGTTGGGTCTGTTCCACCACTTGTTCTACGTGTGACTTTGAACACATCACTTCACCTCTGAGTCCCGATGTCCTCATCTGTTGAATAGGGCTAATGATACGGTTGTGATGCGGACTGAGATCATACCTGAAAAGTGTCTATAAAAGAGTACCTAGCATAGTCAATGCTGAAAAATGCTACCTACTATTACAAATACCTTGCAGCATGAGTTTTGTCTTATACAGACAGTGTTCTCAGAAACAAAGCTGTAAAGTGAGGCCAGATACATAAAATCCATAATGTTGTCTGAACTGGAAGGGATCTCAGATGATGGTATGCACACCTCCATCAAGCGTCATAGCCTGATGCCCTTAGAGGCCAGGTATATATCAGAAATGCCCAAAGGGGGGTTGGTGGGAGCAGAGGCAGACTAGGGCACTTGTGCAGGGTCTAAAGGGCATGCTCAACATTAAGCTCTATATTATTGCTGCCACTAGGAAAACAGATCTTGTTGAGTTGCTAGATCTTTTGACTTCTCAAGAAAGGCTGGAAATCTCATTTTTAGGGAAAAATTCTTGATTCTTTGTACCACTCACATTTATTTAAAAACCCAACACAACAAAATAAAACCAAACCAAAGTATGGGTTCAATAAGACATGTCTGTAGGTCAGATTCAGCTCTGGGAAAGCCAGTTCACAGCCTCTGCATTGCCTCATAAAGTTGAGGCCTACAGCTTATGTGACTTGTCTAATGCCACAGAGCGAGAGAGCTCTCACTGAGCCTAGTCCAACCTTTTTCAAGTAGGCATGGCCTTCTGGGACACCCCCGCCACTTACCTGTGTTTGCATTGCTCCCAATACTGTTGATGGCTGGCGGCACTGAGCTGGATGGGTGGAAGGGCACGTGTCCATTTTCCCGGGGTGGCTTGTCCTGCCAGCCTGGCCCTGCCTCCCCAGGGCCTAGCTCTGCAGGGCCCCCCCACTCATCTGAGCCTTGACGTGAATGGTAGGAGGGCTCTGGCCGGGAGCGGAAGCCACTAGCCAACCGCTCTTCCAGGTGGCTCAGCCAGAGGGCCAGTGCGTTGCGGTCCTCCAGTGTGGTGGCTGGGTGGATGAGGGCATAGGAAAGCAGCTGGCGACTCTCCTCGATGAAAGCATTGCTCTCGATTGAGTAGGCCAGCACTTTCTGCAGTAGCCTCATGTACTCCGACTTGGCCTCTGTGTTGCCTGGCTGAAGCAGGGGAAGGTGGGACAGCAGGAGGGACACCACCTTCTCTTTGGACTCCTGCTGCCACTGGCTGACGATGGCTACAGAAGGGATAAGAAGAAATATCAGGAGAGCCAGGGTGGGGTACTCCTATTCACCTGAGAGCACTGCCTATGGCCTATTCCCTCAGCTCCAATCTTCTTTTCATAACGATTTTCTTTTCATAACTCCCAAACTTATCCCTCATATAGGTGAGATCAAACACACTGACCCTGCCTCTGGAGTAATTTTTGTCTTATTTTTTTTAAGAGATGGGGTCTCACTATGTTGCCCAGGCTGCAGTGCAGTGGCTATTCACAAGTGCAATCCCACTATTGATCAGCACGGGAGTTTTGACCTGCTCCATTTCCAAACTGGGCCAGTTCACCCCTCCTTAGGCAACCTGGTGGTCCCCCACTCCTAGGAGGTCACCATACTGGGGCCACACTTAGTGCAGACACCCAATCAGCATAGCACACTATAGCCCAGAACTCCTGGACTCAGGCAATCCTCTTGCCTCAGCCTCCCAAGTAGCTGGTACTACAGTCATGTGCCCACCACAGCTGGTGTAGAGTAATTTTTCTTTGTTCTATCACTCCTGTTCTCAGAAACCTGCAGTGCCTCCCAATCAGCCAAACTTGCTACTCTGGAATCTGAACAACTCCTGTCCCCAGGCCTGCTCTCATGCTTTATCTCCATGACTCCTTCCTCCATTCTTCATGGCCTCTATGCCATTTCCCCTGCCAAAAAGCAGTCTCCTTCCTGAATGGAGAAGGCAGTGGTATATGGTAGTTAAAAGCTTGGGCTCTGGAATCAGATGGTCTAGACACCCCAGCTTACTAGCTAGATCTTGGTAAGCTACCTTGAACCTCATGGAGCACTAAATTATCTGCGAAATTTTGGAGATAATTACAGTACCCAATTCACAGTGTTGCTTTGAGATTCAATGAGCTAGCAAAGAACACAAAGTGGTTTGGCGACATAATAAATGCTTGCTATTGTTTTTTAACTGGTCTCTCTGCTTCTAGATTCTCCCCTTCCAATCGATCCCATACATCCAGATGCATTTATCTTCCTAAATCACAACAGGATGTCATGTTCCTGACCAGGAGTTTATAATGGCAACCAGCAAGCACCAACAGACTCAAGTCCAAGAACTCCTAGCCTAACATCACCTTCATTTCCAGGGCACCCTCCATCTCCCATTCCTCCAGATAAAGACTCAGCTCAGGATATCTCCCCATCTTCCTTGGGGTTCTCTCCACAGTATGTATTTATCCAAGCTCCACACCTTGGCTGAGATTCAAGGTTTTGGCCCGCAACAACCTCCTTCCTCCTATACAAATTCTCTTTTGTAGATGGCCTAACTTACTACCTTCCTCCAGGAAGCATTCCCTGGCTGTTCCATGTCATGGTCATCTTGACCTCTCCTTTCTATCCCACTGTGTGAGGACCTGAGTCTACCCTGTGGAGATAAGCCAGGTTTCCCTTTTCTTTTTTTTTGAGGCGGAGTCTCGCTCTGTCGCCCAGGCTGGAGTGCAGTGGCGCGATCTTGGCTCACTGCAAGCTCCACCTTCTGAGTTCATGCCATTCTACTGCCTCAGCCTCCCGAGTAGCTGGGACTACAGGCGCCCACCACCACGCCCAGCTTATTTTTTGTATTTTTAGTAGAGACAGGGTTTCACCGCATTAGCCAAGATGGTCTCGATCTCCTGACCTCGTGATCCACCCGCCTCAGCCTCCCAAAGTGCTGGGATTACAGGCGTGAGCCACTGCGCCCGGCCTCAGGTTTCCCCTTTCAACCCACAAGGGAGGTCCCTAAGAATATGGCCCCAGGCTGGCCACATCAAAGAAGGCTTGGGTAGGAACTGTTACAAGTCTGACTCTCCCCCTCAAAGACCTTATTAGCACTGGGCGTGGTGGCTCACGCCTGTAATCCCAGCACTCTGGGAGGCTGAGGCAGGTGGATCACCTGAGGTCAGGAGCTGGAGACCAGCCTGGCCGACATGGTGAAAGCCTGTCTCTACTAAAAATACAAAAATTAACCGGGCATGGTGGTGGATGCCTGTAATTCCAGCTACTTGGGAGGCTGAGGCAGGAGAATCACTTGAACTCGGGAGGTGGAGGTTGCAGTGAGCCGAGATCGCGCCACTGCACTCCAGCCTGGGGGCAAAGTGAGACTCCGTCTCAAAAAAAAAAAAAAAAAAAAGAAAAAGAAAAAAAAAACCTCATTAGCACTTCTGTGACTAGCTAAACAGGGTGGAAGATGGAGATAATGCTGACAGGACAAGGAGAGGGACAAAAAATACCAATACTTGGGAAAAGAGACAAAGATTTAGGTCTGAGGCCAACTACGCTCTCACCCTTGGGCAACTGAGCTCACATCTGTAGCCAAGGTGATGACTTACAAATATCTCACAAAGGAGTTCTGAGAGATGTGCTAATGGTGAGGTCTTGGAAATGGGCAAAGGAGCTGGCTCTAACCAGACAGAGCTAGGACCCCAAAGGAGTGGGTGATGAAAAGGAATAGGCAGAGATGTGGCATATGTCCCTTTACCACCACTTACTGGCCATGTGACTCTGGGCAAGTGTGATCACTTCACTGAGCTCTATTTTCTCTATCTGTAAAGTGGAGCCCAGAATCATTCCTACCTGGCATGGCTGCTATGAATTATGTGAGGCCACAGCATAGAGTAAGTCCTCAGTAAACACTAGCTGCTTTTACTAGTATTGTGGTTATTATATCTCACTGTGTCTCCCTCCTTTCAGATACACACAGAGATTCTAAAGGCACAAGCCAAATCTCTGGGCCCAGGAAACCAAGAGGCTAGGAATAAGCACCTATAAGGAAAGTCTTGGAAACCTAGACATCTGAGGGTCTTTCAACCCAAGTTCCTTAGGCCTTTACGATTCCAAGGACATCTAGCATGCTTCAGGATTGACTTAAAAAAAAAGTTCCATGGACTTCTGGTCTCCTCTGCCCACACTGAAGGATGGACACCTGGCCTTGCATACAAACTCAGAAATGCCCTGTCTGTAGCCCTATTTCTCTTAATGATCCCCTTAGAACTCTGTGGCCTAGAATTCACATACACTCCTAATTCTGCTTAAGTTTGTAGCCTTAGGAAAATGAATCTCACACAGTTCCTAACTCCTGGCTATAAAGACTGTGCATTTTCTTGGCCTGGGGCTCTTTGCTCTAAGCTTCCAAGAGAGAACACCTGTTTGTTAGTTTTTGTTTTCTATTTTTCTGAGATGGAGTCTCGCTCTATTGCCCAGGCTGGAGTGCAGTGATCTCAGCTCACTGCAACCTCCGCCTCCGGGTTAAAGTGATTCTCCTGCCTCGGCCTCCCAAGTAGCTGGGATTACAGGCGTGCACCACCATGCCTGGCTATTTTTTTTTGATGGAGTCTCACTTTGTTGCCCAGGCTGGAGTGCAGTGGCACGATCTCGGCTCACTGGAACCTCTGCCTCTGGGGTTCAAGCGATTCTCCTGCCTCAGTCTCCTGAGTAGCTGCGATTACAGCCACATACCATGACACCCGGCTAATTTTTATATTTTTAGTGGAGGGGGCGTTTAACCATGTTGCCCAGACTGGTCTGGAACTCCTGACCTCAGGTGATCCACCTACCTTTCCTCCCAAAGTGCTGGGATTATAGGCGTTAGCCACCGTGTCCTGCCTGTTACTTTTTTCACTATGTTGGCCAAGCTAGTCTCAAATTCCTGCTCTCAAATGACTTGCCCACCTCAGCCTCCCAAAGTGCTAAGATTACAGGCATGAGCCACTGTGCCCAGCCAAGGGAACACCTGTTAAATCCATTCATTCAAAGTCATCAACTCATACTATGTCTACAGCATTGGTTAAAATTAATAGTAGAACCAATACCACTATTGCTGTTGCTACTACTGACAATAGCAATAACATATGGCACTTTCATTCAGAATGAAGGATACTGTTTATTGAGCATTTACTATGTGCCAGACACTATGCTAAAAATGATTGCTTTTCATCCCTGTTTTAATCCTGTTTTGGTGTGCTCATCTTGCAGGTGAGAAAACAGATTTGGGAAGGTGAGGTCACACACCCTAAGTGACAGAGCCCATTAAGCGACACAGCTGAGATCTGAATCCAGGCTCTGTGTGCCTCCATTTTTTTTTTTTGACATGGAGGCTTGCTCTGTTGTTCAAGTTGGAGTGCAGTGGCATGATCTCGGTTCACTGCAACCTCCACCTCCTGGATTCAAGCAATTCTCCTGCCTCAGCCCCCACCAGTAGCTGGGATTACAGGCGCACGCCACCACACCTGGCTAATTTTTATATTTTGAGTAGAGACGGGCTTTTGCCATATTGGCCATGCTAGTATCAAGCTTCTAAACTCAGGTGATCCACCTGCCTCGGCCTCCCAAAGTGCTGGGATTGCAGGTGTGAGCCATGGTGTCCGGCAGGGAGGAACTTTTTTTTTTTTTTTTTTTTACGGAGTCTCGCTCTGTCACCCAGGCTGGAGTGCGGTGGCACGATCTCGGCTCACTGCAAGCTCTGCCTCCTGGGTTCACACCATTCTCCTGCCTCAGCCTCCTGAGTAGCTGGGACTACACACGCCCGCCACCACACCCGGCTAATTTATTTTTTTTTGTATTTTTAGTAGAGATGGGGTTTCACCGTGTTAGCCAGGATGGTCTCGATCTCCTGACCTCGTGATCCACTTGCCTCAGCCTCCCAAAGTGCTGGGATTCCAGGTGTGAGCCACTGCGCCCAGCCAGGGGGGAACTTTTTACCCACAACCTTTTATCTCTCCAATCCCAAGTCTCTCTTCTTCCCTGGATTTCCAGATCCCCTTCAGCATCTGCCACTCAAAGCTAGGAAACCTCATTCCCTTGTCTGTCTTCACTTGAACCGACTGCCAAGATTATGAAGCTGTCCTTCAGGCCATCTCCACATCTAAAGATCATTTTCCAAGGCAGAAAAGGCCTCACTGAAGTCACAGAACTTTTGTCTTTCCTGCCCTCCCAACTCCACCTGGCACTGGATCAAACGATAAGAACTCTGTGGTACCCTGTTTGATAACTTAGTCCTGTAGTTTTCAGTTCTTGATGAGAAAGAAGAAAGACAGTGATTCCCATTAGGGACAGAAAGTCAAGAATGAAAATAAAAAAAAATAAAAATAAGTCAAGGATATGCACCCCAGTCAAAAACACACAGTGGCCTGGGCAGTATGCTTCCTCCTCTGTAAAGTAAGGATTATAAAGCTGCTGAGAAGATGTAGGGAGATGATGCATGAAAAGCATCTGACAGAGTGTACTCATAGTAAACATTCAGTCTGTGGCTCAGTGACGGGTGTTTTCCTCTCTTCTCCAGTAGTCGAGTCAGCCTGCCCCTCCAGCCCTACCCTGACATTCTCAATCGCTGTTGTTTAGGCCTTGCAGCATAGCCAGAGGCATCTGGGACAGAGAGAAGCCTTGTCTAGTCCTTTCCCCACTCCAGAGTACTGCCAGGACCCCAGGGCTAAGGGACACAGCTTCTCTGGTACTGCCAGGGGACATGACAGAACAGCCCCAAGGGTTGGGCTCAATGCAGGACCTTGTTCTGCTGCCGAGAAAGGGGAGAGTGGTTTTGGACAAATGGAGGCTGATTCTGGGGAAATGTGTGTTCATGTGTCTGTGTGGTGGTGGTGGGGAGGGCGGGCCTCCCATGACTGAGAAGCATCAGTGAGCACTGGAACTGGCCCAAGTAATTTGTGCAGCCTCAGGCCCCTTGGGGTGAGCCCAGCTGGGGCTGTAAATAATGGGTGGGGATGGAACTTCTAGTTTCCTGCCCAGATCAGAAAAAGCCTGGCCCAGAGTGGAGGCACAGCAGAGGCCCAACGAATACCTGCACAATTGAACCCAGATGGTCCCCTGGAAGGTAGTGGTGTACTCTGTCTCAGGTCCTAGCAGAGTATACTAAGTAAGAGCACAAGTTCAACAGGCAAACTTGCTGGATTCAAAATCTAGCTCTGCCTCCATGACCTAACTCAATATCATTGTGGGCCAGTCCTTTAACCTCTCTGATCCTTGGTCTCTTCTGTAAATGGGGACTGTAAGGCCTCTACCTCACAGGATTGTTGTAAAGAGTCAATGAGACAATCATGCAAAGCGTCTGGCATGTGGTAAGTGCTCAAGTACATTTTAACTATTATTGTTGTTGCTCCTCGTTGAATCTAGAGCCCATGCTGTTTCAGGGCTGGTGGGAACAGTTCATGTACAAAAGCACATCTGGGCCTTCCCCTTAAGATTCCCGACAGGGGTGGGGAATTTCATACAGTTATTTACCAAAAACAGACACATCTCTGATTCCTTGGAGCTAGAAGTACAACAAGCAATGATGAAATTCTGGAGGTGGGCAGATGGGGGAAGGGGCTGGGGAATGCCAAGACACCAACGGCTGCTTCTCACCAAGCTGCAAACTTGGACTCTGCAAACATGGAGAGGTTGAGGAATGCTGTGCGTATAAATGTCCTCCCTGGCTATAGTGGCAGCAGGGCAGAGCTGGCCAGGTGACTAGAGCTAAGTAGGTCATGACCCTGGGTCCTGGCAAATTACAGGCACCAATCGAGACTGCTCTAAGAGCAAACCCATTTTTATGTACTGGCCTGGTGCAACAATTGGAGTAGCCTCAGGCACCAGTCAGAGGGGCTAGGGTTTGGCTCTAAACATGACCTTCTCTGCCTCACCCCTGCTCACATGGACACAGGGGAGGGCAGGGGGCTCACATTTTTGTTTGATGAACTGTCAAGCAGAGCCTGAAAGTGGAGGGTGGAGGACAGGGCTGAGCTCTGATGACTCACTTGCCATTGCCCCTCCTGACCTCAGTTTCCCCACCCAGACTGAATGAGCCAGAGAGGGAGGAGTTTAAACCTGCTAGATATGGGGACTGACTCAGAATAGGAGGTGGGAAGAAAATGCAGGAAATGTCTCCCAGGAAGCTACAGGACAGTGGAGGGAAGTGGAATTCAGCTCCCCTGACCCCCCTAGTCTCCTTCCTCCTGTCCATAGGAACAGCCTTCTGGTCCAAGTCAGCATCAGAGGAAAGGAGAGGACCAGGGTTATTGTTCTAGCTCCAAAGAGGCAGGGAAGACAGCACCTGGAGAACAAACAGGGATTACAACAAGGGGTAACCTGGGACCTCTTCTTCCCTGTTCCAGAGACCCTTGGAATATTGCTTTTCTGTTTCTAGGTGTTGCGCCTCATGTCCTACTTCCATGAAACTGATGCTGGCTGCCTGTGCTGGAGGACTTCCCTATACCTTCCCAGCTGCCTGAGAGGAAGCGATGACCTAGGCCAGGCTTTCCACAGCTATAAGCCCCGACTCCCCACTTCTAGTAGGTCACACAACAGTATCCTCACCAGCTTCCCGGGCCTACCCAAAATCAGCGTCAGCATCAAGACAAGTGGTTCTCCACTGGGTGCACCCAAGAGTCAACCAGGGAGCTTTAAATCTCCAGGGATAGGACCTGGGCTTCACATTATTTTTAGAAAGGCCCTGGGGGATTCTAACACAAAGCTAGGGACATATTCACCTAGGTCAGCTCTGTGCTACCTGATCTATCTGAGCAGGAAGCAGACAACTGGGCAGCTCTGACCCACACCCAAG